>NC_000004.12:50791424-51107579 GCF_000001405.40 Homo sapiens | reverse complement strand
GATACATTCTCAGAAATATATAGTTTGGGTACTTTGATATTTTATGTACAGTATATAATACATAATTTGGGTTCTTTGATATTTTATCTACAGTATATAATACATACTTTGGGTACTTTGATATTTTATGTACAGTATACAATACATACTTTGGGTACTTTGATATTTTCTGTACAGTATGTTATACATACTTTGGGTACTTTGATATTTTATGTACAGTATATAATATATAGTTTGGGTACTTTGATATATTTTGTACAGCATATAATACATACTTTGGGTACTTTGATATTTTATGTACAGTATATAATACATACTTTAGGTACTTCGATATTTTATGTACAGTACACTATATATAGTTGGGTACGTTGATATTTTATGTCCAAGTATAAAATAAATAGTTTTGGTACTTTGATATTTTTTTCTGTCTTCAGTTTATATGAAGAAATTCCCGTTTCCAATGAAATCTTAAAATCTATCCAAATATCCACCTGCAGATCCTACAAAAGGAGTGTTTCCAAAATGCTGTATCAAAACAAAGTTTCAACTGTGTTCGTTTAGGACACACATCACAAATGAGTTTCTGAGAATCCTTCTCTCTAGTTTTTATTTGAAGATATTTCCTTTCTCCCCATAGGCCTGAAAGCGCTTGAAATGTCCACTTCCAGATACTACAGAAAGAGTGTTTCAAACATGCACTATGAAAAGGAATGTTCAATTCTGTGACTTGAATGCAAACATCAGAAAGAAGTTCCTGAGAATGCTTCTCTCTAGATTTTATACGTCATCCCGTTTCCAACGAAATCCACAAAGCTATCCAATTATCCACTTTCAGATTCCACAAAAAGAGTGTTTTAAAACTGCTCTGTAAAAAGAAATGTTCAACGCTCTTACTTGAATACACACATCTCAAACAAGTTTCTGAGAAGGCTTCCGTCTAGCTTTTATGGGAAGATATTTCCTTTTTCACCATAGGCCTCAAAGCGCTCGAAATCTCCACTTCCAGGGAGTGCAGAAAGAGTGTTTCAAACCTGCTCTGTAAAAGAATATTTAACTCTGTGACTTGAATGCAAACATCACAAAGCAGTTTCTGACAATGCTTCCGTCTAGGATTTTATATGAAGATATTCCCGTTTCCAACGAAATCTTCAAATCTATCTAAATATCAACTTGCAGATTCTACTAAAGGAATGTTTCCAAAATGCTGTATCCAAGCAATGGTTCAACTCTGTTAATTGAGGACATACAGCACAAAGAAGTTTCTGAGAATGCTTCTGTCTAGATTTTATATGAAGATATCCCGTTTGCAACGAAATCCTCAAAGCTATCCAAATATCCACTTGCAGATTCTACAAAAAGATTGTTTCAAAACTGCTGTGTCAAAAGGAAGGTTCAACTCTGTTACTTGAGTACACACATCAAAAAGAAGTTTCTGAGAATGCTTGTTTCTGGTTTTTATGAGAAGATATTTCCTTTTTCACCATAGGCCTCAAAGCGCTGCAAATGTCCACTTCCAAATATTACAAAAAGAGTGTTTCAAACCTGCTCTATGAAAGGAAGTTTTCAACTCTATGAGTGGAATGCAAACATCACAGAGAAGTTTCTGAGAATGCATCTGTCTTGAGTTTATACGAAGAAATTCCCGTTTCCAACGAAATCTTAAAATCTATCCAAATATCCACCTGCAGATTCTACAAAGGGAGTGTTTCCAAAATGCTGTATCAAAACAAAGGTTCAACTGTGTTCGTTTAGGACACACATCACCAATAAGTTTCTGAGAATCCTTCTGTCTAGTTTTTATTTGAAGATATTTCCTTTCTCCCCATAGGCCTGAAAGCGCTGGAAATGTCCACTTCCAGATACTACAGAAAGAGTGTTTCAAACCTGCACTATGAAAAGGAATGTTCAATTCTGTGACTTGAATGCAAACATCAGAAAGAAGTTCCTGAGAATGCTTCTCTCTAGATTTTATACGTCATCCCGTTTCCAACGAAATCCACAAAGCTATCCAATTATCCACTTTCAGGTTCCACAAAAAGAGTGTTTTAAAATTGCTCTGTAAAAAGAAATGTTCAACGCTCTTAGTTGAATACACACATCTCAAACAAGTTTCTGAGAAGGCTTCTGTCTAGTTTTTATGGGAAGATATTTCCTTTTAACCATAGGCCTCAAAGAGCTCGAAATATCCACTTCCAGGTAGTGCCGAAAGAGTGTTTCAAACCTACTGTATAAAAGGGAATATTCAACTCTGTGACTTGAATGCAAACATCACAAAGCAGTTTCTGAGAATGCTTCCGTCTAGATTTTCTATGAAGATATTCCCGTTTCCAACGAAATCTTCAAAGCTATCTAAATATCAACTTGCAGATTCTACTAAAGGAATGTCTCCAAAATGCTGTATCCAAACAAAGGTTCAGCTCTGTGAATTGAGGACATACAGCACAAAGAAGTTTCTGAGAATGCTCCTGTCTGGATTTTATATGAAGATAACCCGTTTCCAACGAAATCCTCAAAGCTATCCAAATATCCACTTGCAGATTCTACCAAAAGAGTGTTTCAAAACTGCTCTGTCAAAAGGAAGGTTCAACACTGTTACTTGAGTACACACAACACAAAGAAGTTTCTGAGAATGCTTCTTTCTGGTTTTTATGAGAAGATATTTCCTTTTTCACCATAGGCCTCAAAGCGCTCGAAATGTCCGCTTCCAGGTAGTGCAGAAAGAGTGTTTCAAACCTGCTCTATGAAAGGAAGTGTTCAACTCTACTGAGTTGAATGCAAACATCACAGAGATGTTTCCGAGAATGCTTCTGTCTTGATTTTATATGAAGATATTCCGGTTTCCAACGAAATCTTCAAAGCTATCCAAATATCCACCTGCAGATTCTACAAAAGGAGTGTTTCCAAAATGCTGTATCAAAACAAAGGTTCAACTCTGTTAGTTGAGGACACACATCACAAATAAGTTTCTGAGAATGCTTCTGTCTAGTTTTTATTTGAAGGTATTTCCTTTCTCTCCATAGGCCTGAAAGCGCTTGAAATGCCCACTTCCAGATACTAGAGAAAGAGTGTTTCAAACCTGCTCTATGAAAGGGAATGTTCAATTCTGTGACTTGAATGCAAACATCACAAAGAAGTTCCTGAGAATGCTTCTGTCTAGATTTAATATGAAGATAACCCGTTTCCAACGAAATCCTCAAAGCTATCCAAATATCCACTTGCAGATTCTACAAAAAGAGTGTTTCAAAACTGCTCTGTCAAAAGGATGGTTCAACACTGTTACATGAGTACACACAACACAAAGAAGTTTCTGAGAACGCTTCTTTCTGGTTTTTATGAGAAGATATTTCCTTTTTCACCATAGGCCTCAAAGCGCTCGAAATGTCCACTTCCTGGTAGTGCAGAAAGAGTGTTTCAAACCTGCTCTATGAAAGGAAGTGTCCAACTCCATGAGCTGAATGCAAACATCACAGAGAAGTTTCTGAGAATGCTTCTGTTTGATTTTATATGAAGAAATTCCCGTTTCCAACGAAATCTTCAAAGCTATCCACATATCCACCTGCAGATTCTACAAAAGGAGTGTTTCCAAAATGCTGTATCAAAACCAAGGTTCAACTCTGTTAGTTGAGGACACACATCACAAATAAGTTTCTGAGAATGCTTCTGTCTAGATTTTATATGAAGATATCCCCTTTCCAACGACTCCCTCTAAGCTATCCAAATATCCACCTGCAGATTCTACAAAAAGAGTGTTTCCAAAATGCTGTATCAAAACAAAGTTTCAACTCTGTTAGTTGAGGACACACATCACAAATAAGTTTCTGAGGATGCTTCTGTCTAGTTTTAATTTGAAGATATTTCCTTTCTCCCCATAGGCCTGAAAGCGCTTGAAATGTCCACTTCCAGATACTACAGAATGAGTGTTTCAAACCTGCTCTATCAAAGTGAATGTTCAATTCTGTGACTTCAATGCAAACATCACAAAGTAGTTCCTGAGAATGCTTCTCTCTAGATTTTATATGTAATCCCGCTTCCAACGAAATCCTCAAAGCCATCCGAATATCCACTTTCTGATTCCACAAAAAGATTGTTTTAAAACTGCTCTGTAAAAACAAAAGTTCAAGTCTGTTAGTTGAATACACACATCACAAACAAGTTTCTGAGAATGCTTCTGTCTAGTTTTTATGGGAAGATATTTCCTTTTTCACCATAGACCTCAAAGCGCTCGAAATGTCCACTTCCAGATAGTGCAGAAAGAGTGTTTCAAACGTGCTCTATAAAAGAGAATATTCAACTCTGTGACTTGAATGGAAACATCACAAAGCAGTTTCTGAGAATGCCTCCGTCTAGATTTTATATGAAGATATTCCCGTTTCCAACGAAATCTTCAAATCTATCTAAATATCAACTTGCAGATTCTACTAAAGGAATGTTTCCAAAATGCTGTATCCAAGCAATGGTTCAACTCTGTTAATTGAGGACATACAGCACAAAGAAGTTTCTGAGAATGCTTCTGTCTAGATTTTATATGAAGATATCCCGTTTCCAACGAAATCCTCAAAGCTATCCAAATATCCACTTGCAGATTCTACAAAAAGATTGTTTCAAAACTGCTGTGTCAAAAGGAAGGTTCAACTCTGTTACTTGAGTACACACATCAAAAAGAAGTTTCTGAGAATGCTTGTTTCTGGTTTTTATGAGAAGATATTTCCTTTTTCACCATAGGCCTCAAAGCGCTGCAAATGTCCACTTCCAAATATTACAAAAAGAGTGTTTCAAACCTGCTCTATGAAAGGAAGTTTTCAACTCTATGAGTGGAATGCAAACATCACAGAGAAGTTTCTGAGAATGCATCTGTCTTGAGTTTCTATGCAGAAATTCCCGTTTCCAACGAAATCTTAAAATCTATCCAAATATCCACCTGCAGATCCTACAAAAGGAGTGTTTCCAAAATGCTGTATCAAAACAAAGGTTCAACTGTGTTCGTTTAGGACACACATCACAAATAAGTTTCTGAGAATCCTTCTGTCTAGTTTTTATTTGAAGATATTTCCTTTCTCCCCGTAGGCCTGAAAGCGCTTGAAATGTCCACTTCCAGATACTACAGAAAGAGTGTTTCAAACCTGCACTCTGAAAAGGAATGTTCAATTCTGTGACTTGAATGAAAACATCAGAAAGAAGTTCCTGAGAATGCTTCTCTCTAGATTTTATACGTCATCCCGTTTCCAACGAAATCCACAAAGCTACCCAATTATCCACTTTCAGATTCCACAGAAAGAGTGTTTTAAAATTGCTCTGTAACAGAAATGTTCAACTCTGGTAGTTGAATACACACATCACAAACAAGTTTCTGAGACGGCTTCTGTCTAGTTTTTATGGGAAGATATTTCCTTTTAACCATAGGCCTCAAAGAGCTCGAAATATCCACTTCCAGGTAGTGCCGAAAGAGTGTTTCAAACCTACTCTATAAAAGGGAATATTCAACTCTGTGACTTGAATGCAAACATCACAAAGCAGTTTCTGAGAATGCTTCCGTCTAGATTTTATATGAAGATATTCCCGTTTCCAACGAAATCTTCAAAGCTATCTAAATATCAACTTGCAGATTCTACTAAAGGAATGTTTCCAAAATGCTGTATCCAAGCAATGGTTCAACTCTGTTAATTGAGGACATACAGCACAAAGAAGTTTCTGAGAATGCTTCTGTCTAGATTTTATATGAAGATATCCCGTTTCCAACGAAATCCTCAAAGCTATCCAAATATCCACTTGCAGATTCTACAAAAAGATTGTTTCAAAACTGCTGTGTCAAAAGGAAGGTTCAACTCTGTTACTTGAGTACACACATCAAAAAGCAGTTTCTGAGAATGCTTGTTTCTGGTTTTTATGAGAAGATATTTCCTTTTTCACCATAGGCCTCAAAGCGCTGCAAATGTCCACTTCCAAATATTACAAAAAGAGTGTTTCAAACCTGCTCTATGAAAGGAAGTTTTCAACTCTATGAGTGGAATGCAAACATCACAGAGAAGTTTCTGAGAATGCATCTGTCTTGAGTTTATATGCAGAAATTCCCGTTTCCAACGAAATCTTAAAATCTATCCAAATATCCACCTGCAGATCCTACAAAAGGAGTGTTTCCAAAATGCTGTATCAAAACAAAGGTTCAACTGTGTTCGTTTAGGACACACATCACAAATAAGTTTCTGAGAATCCTTCTGTCTAGTTTTTATTTGAAGATATTTCCTTTCTCCCCATAGGCCTGAAAGCGCTTGAAATGTCCACTTCCAGATACTACAGAAAGAGTGTTTCAAACCTGCACTATGAAAAGGAATGTTCAATTCTGTGACTTGAATGCAAACATCAGAAAGAAGTTCCTGAGAATGCTTCTCTCTAGATTTTTTACGTCATCCCTTTTCCAACGAAATCCACAAAACTACCCAATTATCCACTTTCAGATTCCACAAAAAGAGTGTTTTAAAACTGCTCTGTAACAGAAATGTTCAGCTCTGTTAGTTGAATACACACATCACAAACAAGTTTCTGAGACGGCTTCTGTCTAGTTTTTATGGGAAGATATTTCCTTTTAACCATAGGCCTCAAACAGCTCGAAATATCCACTTCCAGGTAGTGCCGAAAGAGTGTTTCAAACCTACTCTGTAAAAGGGAATATTCAACTCTGTGACTTGAATGCAAACATCACAAAGCAGTTTATGAGAATGCTTCCGTCTAGATTTTCTATGAAGATATTCCCGTTTCCAACGAAATCTTCAAAGCTATCTAAATATCAACTTGCAGATTCTACTAAAGGAATGTCTCCAAAATGCTGTATCCAAACAAAGGTTCAGCTCTGTGAATTGAGGACATACAGCACAAAGAAGTTTCTGAGAATGCTCCTGTCTGGATTTTATAGGAAGATAACCCGTTTCCAACGAAATCCTCAAAGCTATCCAAATATCCACTTGCAGATTCTACCAAAAGAGTGTTTCAAAACTGCTCTGTCAAAAGGAAGGTTCAACACTGTTACTTGAGTACACACAACACAAAGAAGTTTCTGAGAATGCTTCTTTCTGGTTTTTATGAGAAGATATTTCCTTTTTCACCATAGGCCTCAAAGCGCTCGAAATGTCCACTTCCAGGTAGTGCAGAAAGAGTGTTTCAAACCTGCTCTATGAAAGGAAGTGTTCAACTCTACTGAGTTGAATGCAAACATCACAGAGATGTTTCCGAGAATGCTTCTGTCTTGATTTTATATGAAGATATTCCGGTTTCCAACGAAATCTTCAAAGCTATCCAAATATCCACCTGCAGATTCTACAAAAGGAGTGTTTCCAAAATGCTGTATCAAAACAAAGGTTCAACTCTGTTAGTTGAGGACACACATCACAAATAAGTTTCTGAGAATGCTTCTGTCTAGTTTTTATTTGAAGGTATTTCCTTTCTCTCCATAGGCCTGAAAGCGCTTGAAATGCCCACTTCCAGATACTAGAGAAAGAGTGTTTCAAACCTGCTCTATGAAAGGGAATGTTCAATTCTGTGACTTGAATGCAAACATCACAAAGAAGTTCCTGAGAATGCTTCTCTCTAGATATTATATGTCATCCCGTTTCCAACGAAATCCTCAAAGCTATCCAAATATCCACTTGCAGATTCTACAAAAAGAGTGTTTCAAAACTCCTCTGTCAAAAGGATGGTTCAACACTGTTACATGAGTACACACAACACAAAGAAGTTTCTGAGAATGCTTCTTTCTGGTTTTTATGAGAAGATATTTCCTTTTTCACCATAGGCCTCAAAGCGCTCGAAATGTCCACTTCCTGGTAGTGCAGAAAGAGTGTTTCAAACCTGCTCTATGAAAGGAAGTGTTCAACTCCATGAGCTGAATGCAAACATCACAGAGAAGTTTCTGAGAATGCTTCTGTTTGATTTTATATGAAGAAATTCCCGTTTCCAACGAAATCTTCAAAGCTATCCACATATCCACCTGCAGATTCTACAAAAGGAGTGTTTCCAAAATGCTGTATCAAAACCAAGGTTCCACTCTGTTAGTTGAGGACACACATCACAAATAAGTTTCTGAGAATGCTTCTGTCTAGATTTTATATGAAGATATCCCCTTTCCAACGAATCCCTCTAAGCTATCAAAATATCCACCTGCAGATTCTACAAAAAGAGTGTTTCCAAAATGCTGTATCAAAACAAAGTTTCAACTCTGTTAGTTGAGGACACACATCACAAATAAGTTTCTGAGGATGCTTCTGTCTAGTTTTTATTTGAAGATATTTCCTTTCTCACCATAGGCCTGAAAGCGCTTGAAATGTCCACTTCCAGATCCTACAGAATGAGTGTTTCAAACCTGCTCTATCAAAGTGAATGTTCAATTCTGTGACTTCAATGCAAACATCACAAAGAAGTTCCTGAGAATGCTTCTCTCTAGATTTTATATGTAATCCCGCTTCCAACGAAATCCTCAGAGCCATCCGAATATCCACTTTCTGATTCCACAAAAAGAGTGTTTTAAAACGGCTCTGTAAAAACAAAAGTTCAACTCTGTTAGTTGAATACACACATCACAAACAAGTTTCTGAGAATGCTTCCGTCTAGTTTTTATGGGAAGATATTTCCTTTTTCACCATAGGCCTCAAAGCGCTCGAAATCTCCATTTCCAGGGAGTGCAGAAAGAGTGTTTCAAACCTGCTCTGTAAAAGAATATTTAACTCTGTGACTTGAATGCAAACATCACAAAGCAGTTTCTGACAATGCTTCCGTCTAGATTTTTTATGAAGATATTCCCGTTTCCAACGAAATCTTCAAAGCTATCTAAATATCAACTTGCAGATTCTACTAAAGGAATGTTTCCAAAATGCTGTATCCAAACAAAGGTTCAACTCTGTGAATTGAGGACATACAGCACAAAGAAGTTTCTGAAAATGCTTCTGTCTAGATTTAATATGAAGATAACCCGTTTCCAACGAAATCCTCAAAGCTATCCAAATATCCACTTGCAGATTCTACAAAAAGAGTGTTTCAAAACTGCTCTGTCAAAAGGATGGTTCAACACTGTTACATGAGTACACACAACACAAAGAAGTTTCTGAGAACGCTTCTTTCTGGTTTCTATGAGAAGATATTTCCTTTTTCACCATAGGACTCAAAGCGCTCGAAATGTCCTCTTCCAGGTAGTGCAGAAAGAGTGTTTCAAACCGGCTCTATGAAGGGAAGTGTTCAACTCCATGAACTGAATGCAAACATCACTGAGAAGTTTCTGAGAATGCTTCTGTTTGATTTTATATGAAGAAATTCCCGTTTCCAACGAAATCTTCAGAGCTATCCACATATCCACCTGCAGATTCTACAAAAGGAGTGTTTCCAAAATGCTGTATCAAAACCAAAGTTCAACTCTGTTAGTTGAGGACACACATCACAAATAAGTTTCTGAGAATGCTTCTGTCTAGATTTTATATGAAGATATCCCCTTTCCAACGAATCCCTCTAAGCTATCCAAATATCCACCTGCAGATTCTACAAAAAGAGTGTTTCCAAAATGCTGTATCAAAACAAAGTTTCAACTCTGTTAGTTGAGGACACACATCACAAATAAGTTTCTGAGAATGCTTCTGTCTAGTTTTTATTTGAAGATATTTCCTTTCTCACCATAGGCCTGAAAGCGCTTGAAATGTCCACTTCCAGATACTACAGAATGAGTGTTTCAAACCTGCTCTATCAAAGTGAATGTTCAATTCTGTGACTTCAATGCAAACATCACAAAGAAGTTCCTGAGAATGCTTCTCTCTAGATTTTATATGTAATCCCGCTTCCAACGAAATCCTCAGAGCCATCCGAATATCCACTTTCTGATTCCACAAAAAGAGTGTTTTAAAACTGCTCTGTAGAAACAAAAGTTCAACTCAGTTGAATACACACATCACAAACAAGTTTCTGAGAATGCTTCTGTCTAGTTTTTATGGGAAGATATTTCCTTTTTCACCATAGGCCTCAAAGCGCTCGAAATGTCCACTTCCAGATAGTGCAGAAAGAGTGTTTCAAACGTGCTCTATAAAAGAGAATATTCAACTCTGTGACTTGAATGGAAACATCACAAAGCAGTTTCTGAGAATGCTTCCGTCTAGATTTTATATGAAGATATTCCCGTTTCCAACGAAATCTTCAAATCTATCTAAATATCAACTTGCAGATTCTACTAAAGGAATGTTTCCAAAATGCTGTATCCAAGCAATGGTTCAACTCTGTTAATTGAGGACATACAGCACAAAGAAGTTTCTGAGAATGCTTCTTTCTAGATTTTATATGAAGATATCCCGTTTCCAACGAAATCCTCAAAGCTATCCAAATATCCACTTGCAGATTCTACAGAAAGATTGTTTCAAAACTGCTGTGTCAAAAGGAAGGTTCAACTCTGTTACTTGAGTACACACATCAAAAAGCAGTTTCTGAGAATGCTTGTTTCTGGTTTTTATGAGAAGATATTTCCTTTTTCACCATAGGCCTCAAAGCGCTGCAAATGTCCACTTCCAAATATTACAAAAAGAGTGTTTCAAACCTGCTCTATGAAAGGAAGTTTTCAACTCTATGAGTGGAATGCAAACATCACAGAGAAGTTTCTGAGAATGCATCTGTCTTGAGTTTATATGAAGAAATTCCCGTTTCCAACGAAATCTTAAAATCTATCCAAATATCCACCTGCAGATCCTACAAAAGGAGTGTTTCCAAAATGCTGTATCAAAACAAAGGTTCAACTGTGTTCGTTTAGGACACACATCACAAATAAGTTTCTGAGAATCCTTCTGTCTAGTTTTTATTTGAAGATATTTCCTTTCTCCCCGTAGGCCTGAAAGCGCTTGAAATGTCCACTTCCAGATACTACAGAAAGAGTGTTTCAAACCTGCACTCTGAAAAGGAATGTTCAATTCTGTGACTTGAATGCAAACATCAGAAAGAAGTTCCTGAGAATGCTTCTCTCTAGATTTTATACATCATCCCGTTTCCAACGAAATCCACAAAGCTATCCAATTATCCACTTTCAGATTCCACAAAAAGAGTGTTTTAAAATTGCTCTGTAACAGAAATGTTCAACTCTGTTAGTTGAATACACACATCACAAACAAGTTTCTGAGACGGCTTCTGTCTAGTTTTTATGGGAAGATATTTCCTTTTAACCATAGGCCTCAAAGAGCTCGAAATATCCACTTCCAGGTAGTGCCGAAAGAGTGTTTCAAACCTACTCTATAAAAGGGAATATTCAACTCTGTGACTTGAATGCAAACATCACAAAGCAGTTTCTGAGAATGCTTCCGTCTAGATTTTTTATGAAGATATTCCCGTTTCCAACGAAATCTTCAAAGCTATCTAAATATCAACTTGAAGATTCTACTAAAGGAATGTTTCCAAAATGCTGTATCCAAACAAAGGTTCAACTCTGTGAATTGAGGACATACAGCACAAAGAAGTTTCTGAGAATGCCTCTGTCTAGATTTAATATGAAGATAACCCGTTTCCAACGAAATCCTCAAAGCTATCCAAATATCCACTGGCAGATTCTACAAAAAGAGTGTTTCAAAACTGCTCTGTCAAAAGGATGGTTCAACACTGTTACATGAGTACACACAACACAAAGAAGTTTCTGAGAACGCTTCTTTCTGGTTTTTATGAGAGGATATTTCCTTTTTCACCATAGGCCTCAAAGCGCTCGAAATGTCCACTTCCAGGTAGTGCAGAAAGAGTGTTTCAAACCTGCTCTATGAAAGGAAGTGTTCAACTCCATGAGCTGAATGCAAACATCACAGAGAAGTTCCTGAGAATGCTTCTGTTTGATTTTATATGAAGAAATTCCCGTTTCCAACGCAATCTTCAGAGCTATCCACATATCCACCTGCAGATTCTACAAAAGGAGTGTTTCCAAAATGCTGTATCAAAACCAAGGTTCAACTCTGTTAGTTGAGGACACACATCACAAATAAGTTTCTGAGAATGCTTCTGTCTAGATTTTATATGAAGATATCCCCTTTCCAACGAATCCCTCTAAGCTATCCAAATATCCACCTGCAGATTCTACAAAAAGAGTGTTTCCAAAATGCTGTATCAAAACAAAGTTTCAACTCTGTTAGTTGAGGACACACATCACAAATAAGTTTCTGAGGATGCTTCTGTCTAGTTTTTATTCGAAGATATTTCCTTTCTCACCATAGGCCTGAAAGCGCTTGAAATGTCCACTTCCAGATCCTACAGAATGAGTGTTTCAAACCTGCTCTATCAAAGTGAATGTTCAATTCTGTGACTTCAATGCAAACATCACAAAGAAGTTCCTGAGAATGCTTCTCTCTAGATTTTATATGTAATCCCGCTTCCAACGAAATCCTCAGAGCCATCCGAATATCCACTTTCTGATTCCACAAAAAGAGTGTTTTAAAACGGCTCTGTAAAAACAAAAGTTCAACTCTGTTACTTGAATACACACATCACAAACAAGTTTCTGAGAATGCTTCTGTCTAGTTTTTATGGGAAGATATTTCCTTTTTCACCATAGGCCTCAAAGCGCTCGAAATGTCCACTTCCAGATAGTGCAGAAAGAGTGTTTCAAACGTGCTCTATAAAAGGGAATATTCAACTCTGTGACTTGAATGGAAACATCACAAAGCAGTTTCTGAGAATGCTTCCCTCTAGATTTTATATGGAGATATTCCCTTTTCCAACGAAATCTTCAAATCTATCTAAATATCAACTTGCAGATTCTACTCAAGAAATGTTTCCAAAATGCTGTATCCAGGCAATGGTTCAACTCTGTTAATTGAGGACATACAGCACAAAGAAGTTTCTGAGAATGCTTCTGTCTAGATTTTATATGAAGATATCCCGTTTCCAACGAAATCCTCAAAGCTATCCAAATATCCACTTGCAGATTCTACAAAAAGATTGTTTCAAAACTGCTGTGTCAAGAGGAAGGTTCAACTCTGTTACTTGAGTACACACATCATAAAGAAGTTTCTGAGAATGCTTGTTTCTGGTTTTTATGAGAAGATATTTCCTTTTTCACCATAGGCCTCAAAGCGCTGCAAATGTCCACTTCCACATATTACAAAAAGAGTGTTTCAAACCTGCTCTATGAAAGGAAGTTTTCAACTCTATGAGTGGAATGCAAACATCACAGAGAAGTTTCTGAGAATGCATCTGTCTTGAGTTTATATGCAGAAATTCCCGTTTCCAACGAAATCTTAAAATCTATCCAAATATCCACCTGCAGATCCTACAAAAGGAGTGTTTCCAAAATGCTGTATCAAAACAAAGGTTCAACTGTGTTCGTTTAGGACACACATCACAAATAAGTTTCTGAGAATCCTTCTGTCTAGTTTTTATTTGAAGATATTTCCTTTCTCCCCGTAGGCCTGAAAGCGCTTGAAATGTCCACTTCCAGATACTACAGAAAGAGTGTTTCAAACCTGCACTCTGAAAAGGAATGTTCAATTCTGTGACTTGAATGCAAACATCAGAAAGAAGTTCCTGAGAATGCTTCTCTCTAGATTTTATACGTCATCCCGTTTCCAACGAAATCCACAAAGCTATCCAATTATCCACTTTCAGATTCCACAGAAAGAGTGTTTTAAAATTGCTCTGTAACAGAAATGTTCAACTCTGGTAGTTGAATACACACATCACAAACAAGTTTCTGAGACGGCTTCTGTCTAGTTTTTATGGGAAGATATTTCCTTTTAACCATAGGCCTCAAAGAGCTCTAAATATCCACTTCCAGGTAGTGCCGAAAGAGTGTTTCAAACCTACTCTATAAAAGGGAATATTCAACTCTGTGACTTGAATGCAAACATCACAAAGCAGTTTCTGAGAATGCTTCCGTCTAGATTTTCTATGAAGATATTCCCGTTTCCAACGAAATCTTCAAAGCTATCTAAATATCAACTTGCAGATTCTACTAAAGGAATGTCTCCAAAATGCTGTATCCAAACAAAGGTTCAGCTCTGTGAATTGAGGACATACAGCACAAAGAAGTTTCTGAGAATGCTCCTGTCTGGATTTTATAGGAAGATAACCCGTTTCCAAAGAAATCCTCAAAGCTATCCAAATATCCACTTGCAGATTCTACCAAAAGAGTGTTTCAAAACTACTCTGTCAAAAGGAAGGTTCAACACTGTTACTTGAGTACACACAACACAAAGAAGTTTCTGAGAATGCTTCTTTCTGGTTTTTATGAGAAGATATTTCCTTTTTCACCATAGGCCTCAAAGCGCTCGAAATGTCCGCTTCCAGGTAGTGCAGAAAGAGTGTTTCAAACCTGCTCTATGAAAGGAAGTGTTCAACTCTACTGAGTTGAATGCAAACATCACAGAGATGTTTCCGAGAATGCTTCTGTCTTGATTTTATATGAAGATATTCCGGTTTCCAATGAAATCTTCAAAGCTATCCAAATATCCACCTGCAGATTCTACAAAAGGAGTGTTTCCAAAATGCTGTATCAAAACAAAGGTTCAACTCTGTTAGTTGAGGACACACATCACAAATAAGTTTCTGAGAATGCTTCTGTCTAGTTTTTATTTGAAGGTATTTCCTTTCTCTCCATAGGCCTGAAAGCGCTTGAAATGCCCACTTCCAGATACTAGAGAAAGAGTGTTTCAAACCTGCTCTATGAAAGGGAATGTTCAATTCTGTGACTTGAATGCAAACATCACAAAGAAGTTCCTGAGAATGCTTCTGTCTAGATTTAATATGAAGATAACCCGTTTCCAACGAAATCCTCAAAGCTCTCCAAATATCCACTTGCAGATTCTACAAAAAGAGTGTTTCAAAACTGCTCTGTCAAAAGGATGGTTCAACACTGTTACATGAGTACACACAACACAAAGAAGTTTCTGAGAACGCTTCTTTCTGGTTTTTATGAGAAGATATTTCCTTTTTCACCATAGGCCTCAAAGCGCTCGAAATGTCCACTTCCTGGTAGTGCAGAAAGAGTGTTTCAAAGCTGCTCTATGAAAGGAAGTGTTCAACTCCATGAGCTGAATGCAAACATCACAGAGAAGTTTCTGAGAATGCTTCTGTTTGATTTTATATGAAGAAATTCCCGTTTCCAACGAAATCTTCAAAGCTATCCACATATCCACCTGCAGATTCTACAAAAGGAGTGTTTCCAAAATGCTGTATCAAAACCAAGGTTCAACTCTGTTAGTTGAGGACACACATCACAAATAAGTTTCTGAGAATGCTTCTGTCTAGATTTTATATGAAGATATCCCCTTTCCAACGAATCCCTCTAAGCTATCCAAATATCCACCTGCAGATTCTACAAAAAGAGTGTTTCCAAAATGCTGTATCAAAACAAAGGTTCAACTGTGTTCGTTTAGGACACACATCACCAATAAGTTTCTGAAAATCCTTCTGTCTAGTTTTTATTCGAAGATATTTCCTTTCCCACCATAGGCCTGAAAGCGCTTGAAATGTCCACTTCCAGATACTACAGAATGAGTGTTTCAAACCTGCTCTATCAAAGTGAATGTTCAATTCTGTGACTTCAATGCAAACATCACAAAGAAGTTCCTGAGAATGCTTCTCTCTAGATTTTATATGTAATCCCGCTTCCAACGAAATCCTCAGAGCCATCCGAATATCCACTTTCTGATTCCAGAAAAAGAGTGTTTTAAAACGGCTCTGTAAAAACAAAAGTTCAACTCTGTTAGTTGAATACACACATCACAAACAAGTTTCTGAGAATGCTTCTGTCTAGTTTTTATGGGAAGATATTTCCTTTTTCACCATAGGCCTCAAAGCGCTCGAAATGTCCACTTCCAGATAGTGCAGAAAGAGTGTTTCAAACGTGCTCTATAAAAGAGAATATTCAACTCTGTGACTTGAATGGAAACATCACAAAGCAGTTTCTGAGAATGCCTCCGTCTAGATTTTATATGAAGATATTCCCGTTTCCAACGAAATCTTCAAATCTATCTAAATATCAACTTGCAGATTCTACTAAAGGAATGTTTCCAAAATGCTGTATCCAAGCAATGGTTCAACTCTGTTAATTGAGGACATACAGCACAAAGAAGTTTCTGAGAATGCTTCTGTCTAGATTTTATATGAAGATATCCCGTTTCCAACGAAATCCTCAAAGCTATCCAAATATCCACTTGCAGATTCTACAAAAAGATTGTTTCAAAACTGCTGTGTCAAAAGGAAGGTTCAACTCTGTTACTTGAGTACACACATCAAAAAGAAGTTTCTGAGAATGCTTGTTTCTGGTTTTTATGAGAAGATATTTCCTTTTTCACCATAGGCCTCAAAGCGCTGCAAATGTCCACTTCCAAATATTACAAAAAGAGTGTTTCAAACCTGCTCTATGAAAGGAAGTTTTCAACTCTATGAGTGGAATGCAAACATCACAGAGAAGTTTCTGAGAATGCATCTGTCTTGAGTTTCTATGCAGAAATTCCCGTTTCCAACGAAATCTTAAAATCTATCCAAATATCCACCTGCAGATCCTACAAAAGGAGTGTTTCCAAAATGCTGTATCAAAACAAAGGTTCAACTGTGTTCGTTTAGGACACACATCACAAATAAGTTTCTGAGAACCCTTCTGTCTAGTTTTTATTTGAAGATATTTCCTTTCTCCCCGTAGGCCTGAAAGCGCTTGAAATGTCCACTTCCAGATACTACAGAAAGAGTGTTTCAAACCTGCACTCTGAAAAGGAATGTTCAATTCTGTGACTTGAATGCAAACATCAGAAAGAAGTTCCTGAGAATGCTTCTCTCTAGATTTTTTACGTCATCCCGTTTCCAACGAAATCCACAAAGCTATCCAATTATCTACTTTCAGATTCCACAAAGAGTGTTTTAAAATTGCTCTGTAACAGAAATGTTCAACTCTGTTAGTTGAATACACACATCACAAACAAGTTTCTGAGACGGCTTCTGTCTAGTTTTTATGGGAAGATATTTCCTTTTAACCATAGGCCTCAAAGAGCTCGAAATATCCACTTCCAGGTAGTGCCGAAAGAGTGTTTCAAACCTACTCTATAAAAGGGAATATTCAACTCTGTGACTTGAATGCAAACATCACAAAGCAGTTTCTGAGAATGCTTCCGTCTAGATTTTCTATGAAGATATTCCCGTTTCCAACGAAATCTTCAAAGCTATCTAAATATCAACTTGCAGATTCTACTAAAGGAATGTCTCCAAAATGCTGTATCCAAACAAAGGTTCAGCTCTGTGAATTGAGGACATACAGCAAAAAGAAGTTTCTGAGAATGCTCCTGTCTGGATTTTATATGAAGATAACCCGTTTCCAACGAAATCCTCAAAGCTATCCAAATATCCACTTGCAGATTCTACCAAAAGAGTGTTTCAAAACTGCTCTGTCAAAAGGAAGGTTCAACACTGTTACTTGAGTACACACAACACAAAGAAGTTTCTGAGAATGCTTCTTTCTGGTTTTTATGAGAAGATATTTCCTTTTTCACCATAGGCCTCAAAGCGCTCGAAATGTCCGCTTCCAGGTAGTGCAGAAAGAGTGTTTCAAACCTGCTCTATGAAAGGAAGTGTTCAACTCTACTGAGTTGAATGCAAACATCACAGAGATGTTTCCGAGAATGCTTCTGTCTTGATTTTATATGAAGATATTCCGGTTTCCAACGAAATCTTCAAAGCTATCCAAATATCCACCTGCAGATTCTACACAAGGAGTGTTTCCAAAATGCTGTATCAAAACAAAGGTTCAACTCTGTTAGTTGAGGACACACATCACAAATAAGTTTCTGAGAATGCTTCTGTCTAGTTTTTATTTGAAGGTATTTCCTTTCTCTCCATAGGCCTGAAAGCGCTTGAAATGCCCACTTCCAGATACTAGAGAAAGAGTGTTTCAAACCTGCTCTATGAAAGGGAATGTTCAATTCTGTGACTTGAATGCAAACATCACAAAGAAGTTCCTGAGAATGCTTCTCTCTAGATTTTATACGTAATCCCGCTTCCAACGAAATCCTCAGAGCCATCCGAATATCCACTTTCTGATTCCACAAAAAGAGTGTTTTAAAACGGCTCTGTAAAAACAAAAGTTCAACTCTGTTAGTTGAATACACACATCACAAACAAGTTTCTGAGAATGCTTCTGTCTAGTTTTTATGGGAAGATATTTCCTTTTTCACCATAGGCCTCAAAGCGCTCGAAATGTCCGCTTCCAGATAGTGCAGAAAGAGTGTTTCAAACGTGCTCTATAAAAGGGAATATTCAACTCTGTGACTTGAATGGAAACATCACAAAGCAGTTTCTGAGAATGCTTCCCTCTAGATTTTATATGGAGATATTCCCTTTTCCAACGAAATCTTCAAATCTATCTAAATATCAACTTGCAGATTCTACTCAAGGAATGTTTCCAAAATACTGTATCCAGGCAATGGTTCAACTCTGTTAATTGAGGACATACAGCACAAAGAAGTTTCTGAGAATGCTTCTGTCTAGATTTTATATGAAGATATCCCGTTTCCAACGAAATCCTCAAAGCTATCCAAATATCCACTTGCAGATTCTACAAAAAGATTGTTTCAAAACTGCTGTGTCAAAAGGAAGGTTCAACTCTGTTACTTGAGTACACACATCAAAAAGAAGTTTCTGAGAATGCTTGTTTCTGGTTTTTATGAGAAGATATTTCCTTTTTCACCATAGGCCTCAAAGCGCTGCAAATGTCCACTTCCAAATATTACAAAAAGAGTGTTTCAAACCTGCTCTATGAAAGGAAGTTTTCAACTCTATGAGTGGAATGCAAACATCACAGAGAAGTTTCTGAGAACGCATCTGTCTTGAGCTTCTATGAAGAAATTCCCGTTTCCAACGAAATCTTAAAATCTATCCAAATATCCACCTGCAGATCCTACAAAAGGAGTGTTTCCAAAATGCTGTATCAAAACAAAGGTTCAACTGTGTTCGTTTAGGACACACATCACAAATAAGTTTCTGAGAATCCTTCTGTCTAGTTTTTATTTGAAGATATTTCCTTTCTCCCCGTAGGCCTGAAAGCGCTTGAAATGTCCACTTCCAGATACTACAGAAAGAGTGTTTCAAACCTGCACTCTGAAAAGGAATGTTCAATTCTGTGACTTGAATGCAAACATCAGAAAGAAGTTCCTGAGAATGCTTCTCTCTAGATTTTATACGTCATCCCGTTTCCAACGAAATCCACAAAGCTATCCAATTATCCACTTTCAGATTCCACAAAGAGTGTTTTAAAATTGCTCTGTAACAGAAATGTTCAACTCTGTTAGTTGAATACACACATCACAAACAAGTTTCTGAGACGGCTTCTGTCTAGTTTTTATGGGAAGATATTTCCTTTTAACCATAGGCCTCAAAGAGCTCGAAATATCCACTTCCAGGTAGTGCCGAAAGAGTGTTTCAAACCTACTCTATAAAAGGGAATATTCAACTCTGTGACTTGAATGCAAACATCACAAAGCAGTTTCTGAGAATGCTTCCGTCTAGATTTTCTATGAAGATATTCCCGTTTCCAACGAAATCTTCAAAGCTATCTAAATATCAACTTGCAGATTCTACTAAAGGAATGTCTCCAAAATGCTGTATCCAAACAAAGGTTCAGCTCTGTGAATTGAGGACATACAGCACAAAGAAGTTTCTGAGAATGCTCCTGTCTGGATTTTATATGAAGATAACCCGTTTCCAACGAAATCCTCAAAGCTCTCCAAATATCCACTTGCAGATTCTACCAAAAGAGTGTTTCAAAACTGCTCTGTCAAAAGGAAGGTTCAACACTGTTACTTGAGTACACACAACACAAAGAAGTTTCTGAGAATGCTTCTTTCTGGTTTTTATGAGAAGATATTTCCTTTTTCACCATAGGCCTCAAAGCGCTCGAAATGTCCGCTTCCAGGTAGTGCAGAAAGAGTGTTTCAAACCTGCTCTATGAAAGGAAGTGTTCAACTCTACTGAGTTGAATGCAAACATCACAGAGATGTTTCCGAGAATGCTTCTGTCTTGATTTTATATGAAGATATTCCGGTTTCCAACGAAATCTTCAAAGCTATCCAAATATCCACCTGCAGATTCTACAAAAGGAGTGTTTCCAAAATGCTGTATCAAAACAAAGGTTCAACTCTGTTAGTTGAGGACACACATCACAAATAAGTTTCTGAGAATGCTTCTGTCTAGTTTTTATTTGAAGGTATTTCCTTTCTCTCCATAGGCCTGAAAGCGCTTGAAATGCCCACTTCCAGATACTAGAGAAAGAGTGTTTCAAACCTGCTCTATGAAAGGGAATGTTCAATTCTGTGACTTGAATGCAAACATCACAAAGAAGTTCCTGAGAATGCTTCTCTCTAGATATTATATGTCATCCCGTTTCCAACGAAATCCTCAAAGCTATCCAAATATCCACTTGCAGATTCTACAAAAAGAGTGTTTCAAAACTCCTCTGTCAAAAGGATGGTTCAACACTGTTACATGAGTACACACAACACAAAGAAGTTTCTGAGAATGCTTCTTTCTGGTTTCTATGAGAAGATATTTCCTTTTTCACCATAGGACTCAAAGCGCTCGAAATGTCCTCTTCCAGGTAGTGCAGAAAGAGTGTTTCAAACCTGCTCTATGAAAGGAAGTGTACAACTCCATGAGCTGAATGCAAACATCACTGAGAAGTTTCTGAGAATGCTTCTGTTTGATTTTATATGAAGAAATTCCCGTTTCCAACGAAATCTTCAGTAGCTATCCACATATCCACCTGCAGATTCTACAAAAGGAGTGTTTCCAAAATGCTGTATCAAAACCAAGGTTCAACTCTGTTAGTTGAGGACACACATCACAAATAAGTTTCTGAGAATGCTTCTGTCTAGATTTTATATGAATTTATCCCCTTTCCAACGAATCCCTCTAAGCTATCCAAGTATCCACCTGCAGATTCTACAAAAAGAGTGTTTCCAAAATGCTGTATCAAAACAAAGTTTCAACTCTGTTAGTTGAGGACACACATCACAAATAAGTTTCTGAGGATGCTTCTGTCTAGTTTTTATTCGAAGATATTTCCTTTCCCACCATAGGCCTGAAAGCGCTTAAAATGTCCACTTCCAGATACTACAGAATGAGTGTTTCAATCCTGCTCTATCAAAGTGAATGTTCAATTCTGTGACTTCAATGCAAACATCACAAAGAAGTTCCTGAGAATGCTTCTCTCTAGCATTTTATATGTAATCCCGCTTCCAACGAAATCCTCAGAGCCATCCGAATATCCACTTTCTGATTCCACAAAAAGAGTGTTTTAAAACGGCTCTGTAAAAACAAAAGTTCAACTCTGTTAGTTGAATACACACATCACAAACAAGTTTCTGAGAATGCTTCTGTCTAGTTTTTATGGGAAGATATTTCCTTTTTCACCATAGGCCTCAAAGCGCTCGAAATGTCCGCTTCCAGATAGTGCAGAAAGAGTGTTTCAAACGTGCTCTATAAAAGGGAATATTCAACTCTGTGACTTGAATGGAAACATCACAAAGCAGTTTCTGAGAATGCTTCCCTCTAGATTTTATATGGAGATATTCCCTTTTCCAACGAAATCTTCAAATCTATCTAAATATCAACTTGCAGATTCTACTCAAGGAATGTTTCCAAAATGCTGTATCCAAGCAATGGTTCAACTCTGTTAATTGAGGACATACAGCACAAAGAAGTTTCTGAGAATGCTTCTTTCTAGATTTTATATGAAGATATCCCGTTTCCAACGAAATCCTCAAAGCTATCCAAATATCCACTTGCAGATTCTACAGAAAGATTGTTTCAAAACTGCTGTGTCAAAAGGAAGGTTCAACTCTGTTACTTGAGTACACACATCAAAAAGCAGTTTCTGAGAATGCTTGTTTCTGGTTTTTATGAGAAGATATTTCCTTTTTCACCATAGGCCTCAAAGCGCTGCAAATGTCCACTTCCAAATATTACAAAAAGAGTGTTTCAAACCTGCTCTATGAAAGGAAGTTTTCAACTCTATGAGTGGAATGCAAACATCACAGAGAAGTTTCTGAGAATGCATCTGTCTTGAGCTTCTATGAAGAAATTCCCGTTTCCAACGAAATCTTAAAATCTATCCAAATATCCACCTGCAGATCCTACAAAAGGAGTGTTTCCAAAATGCTGTATCAAAACAAAGGTTCAACTGTGTTCGTTTAGGACACACATCACAAATAAGTTTCTGAGAATCCTTCTGTCTAGTTTTTATTTGAAGATATTTCCTTTCTCCCCATAGCCCTGAAAGCGCTGGAAATGTCCACTTCCAGATACTACAGAAAGAGTGTTTCAAACCTGCACTATGAAAAGGAATGTTCAATTCTGAGACTTGAATGCAAACATCAGAAAGAAGTTCCTGAGAATGCTTCTCTCTAGATTTTATACATAATCCTGTTTCCAACGAAATCCACAAAGCTATCCAATTATCCACTTTCAGATTCCACAAAAAGAGTGTTTTAAAATTGCTCTGTAACAGAAATGTTCAACTCTGTCAGTTGAATACACACATCACAAACAAGATTCTGAGACGGCTTCTGTCTAGTTTCTATGGGAAGATATTTCCTTTTAACCATAGGCCTCAAAGAGCTCGAAATATCCACTTCCAGGTAGTGCCGAAAGAGTGTTTCAAACCTACTCTATAAAAGGGAATATTCAACTCTGTGACTTGAATGCAAACATCACAAAGCAGTTTCTGAGAATGCTTCCGTCTAGATTTTCTATGAAGATATTCCCGTTTCCAACGAAATCTTCAAAGCTATCTAAATATCAACTTGCAGATTCTACTAAAGGAATGTCTCCAAAATGCTGTATCCAAACAAAGGTTCAGCTCTGTGAATTGAGGACATACAGCACAAAGAAGTTTCTGAGAATGCTCCTGTCTGGATTTTATAGGAAGATAACCCGTTTCCAACGAAATCCTCAAAGCTATCCAAATATCCACTTGCAGATTCTACCAAAAGAGTGTTTCAAAACTGCTCTGTCAAAAGGAAGGTTCAACACTGTTACTTGAGTACACACAACACAAAGAAGTTTCTGAGAATGCTTCTTTCTGGTTTTTATGAGAAGATATTTCCTTTTTCACCATAGGCCTCAAAGCGCTCGAAATGTCCGCTTCCAGGTAGTGCAGAAAGAGTGTTTCAAACCTGCTCTATGAAAGGAAGTGTTCAACTCTACTGAGTTGAATGCAAACATCACAGAGATGTTTCCGAGAATGCTTCTGTCTTGATTTTATATGAAGATATTCCGGTTTCCAACGAAATCTTCAAAGCTATCCAAATATCCACCTGCAGATTCTACAAAAGGAGTGTTTCCAAAATGCTGTATCAAAACAAAGGTTCAACTCTGTTAGTTGAGGACACACATCACAAATAAGTTTCTGAGAATGCTTCTGTCTAGTTTTTATTTGAAGGTATTTCCTTTCTCTCCATAGGCCTGAAAGCGCTTGAAATGCCCACTTCCAGATACTAGAGAAAGAGTGTTTCAAACCTGCTCTATGAAAGGGAATGTTCAATTCTGTGACTTGAATGCAAACATCACAAAGAAGTTCCTGAGAATGCTTCTCTCTAGATATTATATGTCATCCCGTTTCCAACGAAATCCTCAAAGCTATCCAAATAGCCACTTGCAGATTCTACAAAAAGAGTGTTTCAAAACTCCTCTGTCAAAAGGATGGTTCAACACTGTTACATGAGTACACACAACACAAAGAAGTTTCTGAGAATGCTTCTTTCTGGTTTCTATGAGAAGATATTTCCTTTTTCACCATAGGACTCAAAGCGCTCGAAATGTCCTCTTCCAAGTAGTGCAGAAAGAGTGTTTCAAACCTGCTCTATGAAAGGAAGTGTACAACTCCATGAGCTGAATGCAAACATCACTGAGAAGTTTCTGAGAATGCTTCTGTTTGATTTTATATGAAGAAATTCCCGTTTCCAACGAAATCTTCAGAGCTATCCACATATCCACATGCAGATTCTACAAAAGGAGTGTTTCCAAAATGCTGTATCAAAACCAAGGTTCAACTCTGTTAGTTGAGGACACACATCACAAATAAGTTTCTGAGAATGCTTCTGTCTAGATTTTATATGAAGATATCCCCTTTCCAACGAATCCCTCTAAGCTATCAAAATATCCACCTGCAGATTCTACAAAAAGAGTGTTTCCAAAATGCTGTATCAAAACAAAGTTTCAACTCTGTTAGTTGAGGACACACATCACAAATAAGTTTCTGAGGATGCTTCTGTCTAGTTTTAATTTGAAGATATTTCCTTTCTCACCATAGGCCTGAAAGCGCTTGAAATGTCCACTTCCAGATACTACAGCATGAGTGTTTCAAACCTGCTCTATCATAGTGAATGTTCAATTCTGTGACTTCAATGCAAACATCACAAAGTAGTTCCTGAGAATGCTTCTCTCTAGATTTTACATGTAATTCCGCTTCCAACGAAATCCTCAAAGCCATCCGAATATCCACTTTCTGATTCCACAAAAAGATTGTTTTAAAACTGCCCTGTAAAAACAAAAGTTCAAGTCTGTTAGTTGAATACACACATCACAAACAAGTTTCTGAGAATGCTTCTGTCTAGTTTTTATGGGAAGATATTTCCTTTTTCACCATAGGCCTCACAGCGCTCGAAATGTCCACTTCCAGATAGTGCAGAAAGAGTGTTTCAAACGTGCTCTATAAAAGAGAATATTCAAGTCTGTGACTTGAATGGAAACATCACAAAGCAGTTTCTGAGAATGCCTCCGTCTAGATTTTATATGAAGATATTCCCGTTTCCAACGAAATCTTCAAATCTATCTAAATATCAACTTGCAGATTCTACTAAAGGAATGTTTCCAAAATGCTGTATCCAAGCAATGGTTCAACTCTGTTAATTGAGGACATACAGCACAAAGAAGTTTCTGAGAATGCTTCTGTCTAGATTTTATATGAAGATATCCCGTTTCCAACGAAATCCTCAAAGCTATCCAAATATCCACTTGCAGATTCTACAAAAAGATTGTTTCAAAACTGCTGTGTCAAGAGGAAGGTTCAACTCTGTTACTTGAGTACACACATCAAAAAGAAGTTTCTGAGAATGCTTGTTTCTGGTTTTTATGAGAAGATATTTCCTTTTTCACCATAGGCCTCAAAGCGCTGCAAATGTCCACTTCCAAATATTACAAAAAGAGTGTTTCAAACCTGCTCTATGAAAGGAAGTTTTCAACTCTATGAGTGGAATGCAAACATCACAGAGAAGTTTCTGAGAATGCATCTGTCTTGAGCTTCTATGAAGAAATTCCCGTTTCCAACGAAATCTTAAAATCTATCCAAATATCCACCTGCAGATCCTACAAAAGGAGTGTTTCCAAAATGCTGTATCAAAACAAAGGTTCCACTGTGTTCGTTTAGGGCACACATCACAAATAAGTTTCTGAGAATCCTTCTGTCTAGTTTTTATTTGAAGATATTTCCTTTCTCCCCGTAGGCCTGAAAGCGCTTGAAATGTCCACTTCCAGATACTACAGAAAGAGTGTTTCAAACCTGCACTCTGAAAAGGAATGTTCAATTCTGTGACTTGAATGCAAACATCAGAAAGAAGTTCCTGAGAATGCTTCTCTCTAGATTTTATACGTCATCCCGTTTCCAACGAAATCCACAAAGCTATCCAATTATCCACTTTCAGATTCCACAAAGAGTGTTTTAAAATTGCTCTGTAACAGAAATGTTCAACTCTGTTAGTTGAATACACACATCACAAACAAGTTTCTGAGACGGCTTCTGTCTAGTTTTTATGGGAAGATATTTCCTTTTAACCATAGGCCTCAAAGAGCTCGAAATATCCACTTCCAGGTAGTGCCGAAAGAGTGTTTCAAACCTACTCTATAAAAGGGAATATTCAACTCTGTGACTTGAATGCAAACATCACAAAGCAGTTTCTGAGAATGCTTCCGTCTAGATTTTCTATGAAGATATTCCCGTTTCCAACGAAATCTTCAAAGCTATCTAAATATCAACTTGCAGATTCTACTAAAGGAATGTCTCCAAAATGCTGTATCCAAACAAAGGTTCAGCTCTGTGAATTGAGGACATACAGCACAAAGAAGTTTCTGAGAATGCTCCTGTCTGGATTTTATATGAAGATAACCCGTTTCCAATGAAATCCTCAAAGCTATCCAAATATCCACTTGCAGATTCTACCAAAAGAGTGTTTCAAAACTGCTCTGTCAAAAGGAAGGTTCAACACTGTTACTTGAGTACACACAACACAAAGAAGTTTCTGAGAATGCTTCTTTCTGGTTTTTATGAGAAGATATTTCCTTTTTCACCATAGGCCTCAAAGCGCTCGAAATGTCCACTTCCAGGTAGTGCAGAAAGAGTGTTTCAAACCTGCTCTATGAAAGGAAGTGTTCAACTCTACTGAGTTGAATGCAAACATCACAGAGATGTTTCCGAGAATGCTTCTGTCTTGATTTTATATGAAGATATTCCGGTTTCCAACGAAATCTTCAAAGCTATCCAAATATCCACCTGCAGATTCTACAAAAGGAGTGTTTCCAAAATGCTGTATCAAAACAAAGGTTCAACTCTGTTAGTTGAGGACACACATCACAAATAAGTTTCTGAGAATGCTTCTGTCTAGTTTTTATTTGAAGGTATTTCCTTTCTCTCCATAGGCCTGAAAGCGCTTGAAATGCCCACTTCCAGATACTAGAGAAAGAGTGTTTCAAACCTGCTCTATGAAAGGGAATGTTCAATTCTGTGACTTGAATGCAAACATCACAAAGCAAGTTCCTGAGAATGCTTCTCTCTAGATATTATATGTCATCCCGTTTCCAATGAAATCCTCAAAGCTATCCAAATATCCACTTGCAGATTCTACAAAAAGAGTGTTTCAAAACTGCTCTGTCAAAAGCATGGTTCAACACTGTTACATGAGTACACAAAACACAAGTTTCTGAGAATGCTTCTTTCTGGTTTTTATGAGAAGATATTTCCTTTTTCACCATAGGACTCAAAGCGCTCGAAATGTCCTCTTCCAGGTAGTGCAGAAAGAGTGTTTCAAACCTGCTCTAGGAAATGAAGTGTTCAACTCCATGAGCTGAATGCAAACATCACTGAGAAGTTTCTGAGAATGCTTCTGTTTGATTTTATATGAAGAAATTCCCGTTTCCAACGAAATCTTCAGAGCTATCCACATATCCACATGCAGATTCTACAAAAGGAGTGTTTCCAAAATGCTGTATCAAAACCAAGGTTCAACTCTGTTAGTTGAGGACACACATCACAAATAAGTTTCTGAGAATGCTTCTGTCTAGATTTTATATGAAGATATCCCCTTTCCAACGAATCCCTCTAAGCTATCCAAATATCCACCTGCAGATTCTACAAAAAGAGTGTTTCCAAAATGCTGTATCAAAACAAAGTTTCAACTCTGTTAGTTGAGGACACACATCACAAATAAGTTTCTGAGGATGCTTCTGTCTAGTTTTTATTCGAAGATATTTCCTTTCTCACCATAGGCCTGAAAGCGCTTGAAATGTCCACTTCCAGATACTACAGAATGAGTGTTTCAAACCTGCTCTATCAAAGTGAATGTTCAATTCTGTGACTTCAATGCAAACATCAGAAAGAAGTTCCTGAGAATGCTTCTCTCTAGATTTTATACGTAATCCCGCTTCCAACGAAATCCTCAGAGCCATCCGAATATCCACTTTCTGATTCCACAAAAAGAGTGTTTTAAAACGGCTCTGTAAAAACAAAAGTTCAACTCTGTTAGTTGAATACACACATCACAAACAAGTTTCTGAGAATGCTTCTGTCTAGTTTTTATGGGAAGATATTTCCTTTTTCACCATAGGCCTCAAAGCGCTCGAAATGTCCGCTTCCAGATAGTGCAGAAAGAGTGTTTCAAACGTGCTCTATAAAAGGGAATATTCAACTCTGTGACTTGAATGGAAACATCACAAAGCAGTTTCTGAGAATGCTTCCCTCTAGATTTTATATGGAGATATTCCCTTTTCCAACGAAATCTTCAAATCTATCTAAATATCAACTTGCAGATTCTACTCAAGGAATGTTTCCAAAATGCTGTATCCAGGCAATGGTTCAACTCTGTTAATTGAGGACATACAGCACAAAGAAGTTTCTGAGAATGCTTCTGTCTAGATTTTATATGAAGATATCCCGTTTCCAACGAAATCCTCAAAGCTATCCAAATATCCACTTGCAGATTCTACAAAAAGATTGTTTCAAAACTGCTGTGTCAAGAGGAAAGTTCAACTCTGTTACTTGAGTACACACATCAAAAAGAAGTTTCTGAGAATGCTCGTTTCTGGTTTTTATAAGAAGATATTTTTTTTTCACCATAGGCCTCAAAGCGCTGCAAATGTCCACTTCCAAATATTACAAAAAGAGTGTTTCAAACCTGCTCTATGAAAGGAAGTTTTCAACTCTATGAGTGGAATGCAAACATCACAGGGAAGTTTCTGAGAATGCATCTGTCTTGAGTTTATATGAAGAAATTCCCGTTTCCAACGAAATCTTAAAATCTATCCAAATATCCACCTGCAGATTCTACAAAAGGAGTGTTTCCAAAATGCTGTATCAAAACAAAGGTTCAACTGTGTTCGTTTAGGGCACACATCACAAATAAGTTTCTGAGAAGTCTTCTGTCTGGTTTTTATTTGAAGAGATTTCCTTTCTCCCCGTAGGCCTGAAAGCGCTTGAAATGTCCACTTCCAGATACTACAGAAAGAGTGTTTCAAACCTGCACTCTGAAAAGGAATGTTCAATTCTGTGACTTGAATGCAAACATCAGAAAGAAGTTCCTGAGAATGCTTCTCTCTAGATTTTATACGTCATCCCGTTTCCAACGAAATCCACAAAGCTATCCAATTATCCACTTTCAGATTCCACAGAAAGAGTGTTTTAAAATTGCTCTGTAACAGAAATGTTCAACTCTGGTAGTTGAATACACACATCACAAACAAGTTTCTGAGACGGCTTCTGTCTAGTTTTTATGGGAAGATATTTCCTTTTAACCATAGGCCTCAAAGAGCTCGAAATATCCAAGTCCAGGTAGTGCCGAAAGAGTGTTTCAAACCTACTCTATAAAAGGGAATATTCAACTCTGTGACTTGAATGCAAACATCACTGAGAAGTTTCTGAGAATGCTTCCGTCTAGATTTTCTATGAAGATATTCCCGTTTCCAACGAAATCTTCAAAGCTATCTAAATATCAACTTGCAGATTCTACTAAAGGAATGTCTCCAAAATGCTGTATCCAAACAAAGGTTCAGCTCTGTGAATTGAGGACATACAGCACAAAGAAGTTTCTGAGAATGCTCCTGTCTGGATTTTATAGGAAGATAACCCGTTTCCAACGAAATCCTCAAAGCTCTCCAAATATCCACTTGCAGATTCTACCAAAAGAGTGTTTCAAAACTGCTCTGTGAAAAGGAAGGTTCAACACTGTTACTTGAGTACACACAACACAAAGAAGTTTCTGAGAATGCTTCTTTCTGGTTTTTATGAGAAGATATTTCCTTTTTCACCATAGGCCTCAAAGCGCTCGAAATGTCCGCTTCCAGGTAGTGCAGAAAGAGTGTTTCAAACCTGCTCTATGAAAGGAAGTGTTCAACTCTACTGAGTTGAATGCAAACATCACAGAGATGTTTCCGAGAATGCTTCTGTCTTGATTTTATATGAAGATATTCCGGTTTCCAACGAAATCTTCAAAGCTATCCAAATATCCACCTGCAGATTCTACAAAAGGAGTGTTTCCAAAATGCTGTATCAAAACAAAGGTTCAACTCTGTTAGTTGAGGACACACATCACAAATAAGTTTCTGAGAATGCTTCTGTCTAGTTTTTATTTGAAGGTATTTCCTTTCTCTCCATAGGCCTGAAAGCGCTTGAAATGCCCACTTCCAGATACTAGAGAAAGAGTGTTTCAAACCTGCTCTATGAAAGGGAATGTTCAATTCTGTGACTTGAATGCAAACATCACAAAGAAGTTCCTGAGAATGCTTCTCTCTAGATATTATATGTCATCCCGTTTCCAACGAAATCCTCAAAGCTATCCAAATATCCACTTGCAGATTCTACAAAAAGAGTGTTTCAAAACTGCTCTGTCAAAAGGATGGTTCAACACTGTTACATGAGTACACACAACACAAAGAAGTTTCTGAGAATGCTTCTTTCTGGTTTATATGAGAAGATATTTCCTTTTTCACCATAGGACTCAAAGCGCTCGAAATGTCCTCTTCCAGGTAGTGCAGAAAGAGTGTTTCAAAGCGGCTCTATGAAGGGAAGTGTTCAACTCCATGAACTGAATGCAAACATCACTGAGAAGTTTCTGAGAATGCTTCTGTTTGATTTTATATGAAGAAATTCCCGTTTCCAACGAAATCTTCAGAGCTATCCACATATCCACCTGCAGATTCTACAAAAGGAGTGTTTCCAAAATGCTGTATCAAAACCAAGGTTCAACTCTGTTAGTTGAGGACACACATCACAAATAAGTTTCTGAGAATGCTTCTGTCTAGATTTTATATGAAGATATCCCCTTTCCAACGAATCCCTCTAAGCTATCCAAATATCCACCTGCAGATTCTACAAAAAGAGTGTTTCCAAAATGCTGTATCAAAACAAAGTTTCAACTCTGTTAGTTGAGGACACACATCACAAATAAGTTTCTGAGAATGCTTCTGTCTAGTTTTTATTCGAAGATATTTCCTTTCTCACCATAGGCCTGAAAGCGCTTGAAATGTCCACTTCCAGATACTACAGAATGAGTGTTTCAAACCTGCTCTATCAAAGTGAATGTTCAATTCTGTGACTTCAATGCAAACATCACAAAGAAGTTCCTGAGAATGCTTCTCTCTAGATTTTATACGTAATCCCGCTTCCAACGAAATCCTCAGAGCCATCCGAATATCCACTTTCTGATTCCACAAAAAGAGTGTTTTAAAACGGCTCTGTAAAAACAAAAGTTCAACTCTGTTAGTTGAATACACACATCACAAACAAGTTTCTGAGAATGCTTCTGTCTAGTTTTTATGGGAAGATATTTCCTTTTTCACCATAGGCCTCAAAGCGTTCGAAATGTCCGCTTCCAGATAGTGCAGAAAGAGTGTTTCAAACGTGCTCTATAAAAGGGAATATTCAACTCTGTGACTTGAATGGAAACATCACAAAGCAGTTTCTGAGAATGCTTCCCTCTAGATTTTATATGGAGATATTCCCTTTTCCAACGAAATCTTCAAATCTATCTAAATATCAACTTGCAGATTCTACTCAAGGAATGTTTCCAAAATGCTGTATCCAAGCAATGGTTCAACTCTGTTAATTGAGGACATACAGCACAAAGAAGTTTCTGAGAATGCTTCTGTCTAGATTTTATATGAAGATATCCCGTTTCCAACGAAATCCTCAAAGCTATCCAAATATCCACTTGCAGATTCTACAAAAAGATTGTTTCAAAACTGCTGTGTGAAAAGGAAGGTTCAACTCTGTTACTTGAGTACACACATCAAAAAGAAGTTTCTGAGAATGCTTGTTTCTGGTTTTTATGAGAAGATATTTCCTTTTTCACCATAGGCCTCAAAGCGCTGCAAATGTCCACTTCCAAATATTACAAAAAGAGTGTTTCAAACCTGCTCTATGAAAGGAAGTTTTCAACTCTATGAGTGGAATGCAAACATCACAGAGAAGTTTCTGAGAATGCATCTGTCTTGAGTTTATATGAAGAAATTCCCGTTTCCAATGAAATCTTAAAATCTATCCAAATATCCACCTGCAGATTCTACAAAAGGAGTGTTTCCAAAATGCTGTATCAAAACAAAGGTTCAACTGTGTTCGTTTAGGACACACATCACAAATAAGTTTCTGAGAATCCTTCTGTCTAGTTTTTATTTGAAGATATTTCCTTTCTCCCCGTAGGCCTGAAAGCGCTTGAAATGTCCACTTCCAGATACTACAGAAAGAGTGTTTCAAACCTGCACTATGAAAAGGAATGTTCAATTCTGTGACTTGAATGCAAACATCAGAAAGAAGTTCCTGAGAATGCTTCTCTCTAGATTTTATACGTCATCCCGTTTCCAACGAAATCCACAAAGCTATCCAATTATCCACTTTCAGATTCCACAAAAAGAGTGTTTTAAAATTGCTCTGTAACAGAAATGTTCAACTCTGTTAGTTGAATACACACATCATAAACAAGTTTCTGAGACGGCTTCTGTCTAGTTTTTATGGGAAGATATTTCCTTTTAACCATAGGCCTCAAAGAGCTCGAAATATCCACTTCCAGGTAGTGCCGAAAGAGTGTTTCAAACCTACTCTATAAAAGGGAATATTCAACTCTGTGACTTGAATGCAAACATCACAAAGCAGTTTCTGAGAATGCTTCCGTCTAGATTTTATATGAAGATATTCCCGTTTCCAACGAAATCTTCAAAGCTATCTAAATATCAACTTGCAGATTCTACTAAAGGAATGTTTCCAAAATGCTGTATCCAAGCAATGGTTCAACTCTGTTAATTGAGGACATACAGCACAAAGAAGTTTCTGAGAATGCTTCTGTCTAGGATTTTATATGAAGATATCCCGTTTCCAACGAAATCCTCAAAGCTATCCAAATATCCACTTGCAGATTCTACAAAAAGATTGTTTCAAAACTGCTGTGTCAAAAGGAAGGTTCAACTCTGTTACTTGAGTACACACATCAAAAAGCAGTTTCTGAGAATGCTTGTTTCTGGTTTTTATGAGAAGATATTTCCTTTTTCACCATAGGCCTCAAAGCGCTGCAAATGTCCACTTCCACATATTACAAAAAGAGTGTTTCAAACCTGCTCTATGAAAGGAAGTTTTCAACTCTATGAGTGGAATGCAAACATCACAGAGAAGTTTCTGAGAATGCATCTGTCTTGAGTTTATATGAAGAAATTCCCGTTTCCAATGAAATCTTAAAATCTATCCAAATATCCACCTGCAGATTCTACAAAAGGAGTGTTTCCAAAATGCTGTATCAAAACAAAGGTTCAACTGTGTTCGTTTAGGACACACATCACAAATAAGTTTCTGAGAATCCTTCTGTCTAGTTTTTATTTGAAGATATTTCCTTTCTCCCCACAGGCCTGAAAGCGCTTGAAATGTCCACTTCCAGATACTACAGAAAGAGTGTTTCAAACCTGCACTATGAAAAGGAATGTTCAATTCTGTGACTTGAATGCAAACATCAGAAAGAAGTTCCTGAGAATGCTTCTCTCTAGATTTTATACGTCATCCCGTTTCCAACGAAATCCACAAAGCTACCCAATTATCCACTTTCAGATTCCACAAAAAGAGTGTTTTAAAATTGCTCTGTAACAGAAATGTTCAACTCTGTTAGTTGAATACACACATCACAAACAAGTTTCTGAGACGGCTTCTGTCTAGTTTTTATGGGAAGATATTTCCTTTTAACCATAGGCCTCAAAGAGCTCGAAATATCCATTTCCAGGTAGTGCCGAAAGAGTGTTTCAAACCTACTCTATAAAAGGGAATATTCAACTCTGTGACTTGAATGCAAACATCACAAAGCAGTTTCTGAGAATGCTTCCGTCTAGATTTTCTATGAAGATATTCCCGTTTCCAACGAAATCTTCAAAGCTATCTAAATATCAACTTGCAGATTCTACTAAAGGAATGTCTCCAAAATGCTGTATCCAAACAAAGGTTCAGCTCTGTGAATTGAGGACATACAGCACAAAGAAGTTTCTGAGAATGCTCCTGTCTGGATTTTATAGGAAGATAACCCGTTTCCAACGAAATCCTCAAAGCTATCCAAATATCCACTTGCAGATTCTACCAAAAGAGTGTTTCAAAACTACTCTGTCAAAAGGAAGGTTCAACACTGTTACTTGAGTACACACAACACAAAGAAGTTTCTGAGAATGCTTCTTTCTGGTTTATATGAGAAGCATATTTCCTTTTTCACCATAGGACTCAAAGCGCTCGAAATGTCCTCTTCCAGGTAGTGCAGAAAGAGTGTTTCAAACCGGCTCTATGAAGGGAAGTGTTCAACTCCATGAACTGAATGCAAACATCACTGAGAAGTTTCTGAGAATGCTTCTGTTTGATTTTATATGAAGAAATTCCCGTTTCCAACGCAATCTTCAGAGCTATCCACATATCCACCTGCAGATTCTACAAAAGGAGTGTTTCCAAAATGCTGTATCAAAACCAAGGTTCAACTCTGTTAGTTGAGGACACACATCACAAATAAGTTTCTGAGAATGCTTCTGTCTAGATTTTATATGAAGATATCCCCTTTCCAACGAATCCCTCTAAGCTATCCAAATATCCACCTGCAGATTCTACAAAAAGAGTGTTTCCAAAATGCTGTATCAAAACAAAGTTTCAACTCTGTTAGTTGAGGACACACATCACAAATAAGTTTCTGAGGATGCTTCTGTCTAGTTTTTATTCGAAGATATTTCCTTTCTCACCATAGGCCTGAAAGCGCTTGAAATGTCCACTTCCAGATACTACAGAATGAGTGTTTCAAACCTGCTCTATCAAAGTGAATGTTCAATTCTGTGACTTCAATGCAAACTTCAGAAAGAAGTTCCTGAGAATGCTTCTCTCTAGATTTTATACGTAATCCAGCTTCCAACGAAATCCTCAGAGCCATCCGAATATCCACTTTCTGATTCCACAAAAAGAGTGTTTTAAAACGGCTCTGTAAAAACAAAAGTTCAACTCTGTTAGTTGAATACACACATCACAAACAAGTTTCTGAGAATGCTTCTGTCTAGTTTTTATGGGAAGGTATTTCCTTTTTCACCATAGGCCTCACAGCGCTCGAAATGTCCACTTCCAGATAGTGCAGAAAGAGTGTTTCAAACGTGCCCTATAAAAGAGAATATTCAACTCTGTGACTTGAATGGAAACATCACAAAGCAGTTTCTGAGAATGCCTTCGTCTAGATTTTATATGAAGATATTCCCGTTTCCAACGAAATCTTCAAATCTATCTAAATATCAACTTGCAGATTCTACTAAAGGAATGTTTCCAAAATGCTGTATGCAAGCAATGGTTCAACTCTGTTAATTGAGGACATACAGCACAAAGAAGGTTCTGAGAATGCTTCTGTCTAGATTTTATATGAAGATATCCCGTTTCCAACGAAATCCTCAAAGCTATCCAAATATCCACTTGCAGATTCTACAAAAAGATTGTTTCAAAACTGCTGTGTCAAAAGGAAGGTTCAACTCTGTTACTTGAGTACACACATCAAAAAGAAGTTTCTGAGAATGCTTGTTTCTGGTTTTTATCAGAAGATATTTCCTTTTTCACCATAGGCCTCAAAGCGCTGCAAATGTCCACTTCCAAATATTACAAAAAGAGTGTTTCAAACCTGCTCTATGAAAGGAAGTTTTCAACTCTATGAGTGGAATGCAAACATCACAGAGAAGTTTCTGAGAATGCATCTGTCTTGAGTTTATATGCAGAAATTCCCGTTTCCAACGAAATCTTAAAATCTATCCAAATATCCACCTGCAGATCCTACAAAAGGAGTGTTTCCAAAATGCTGTATCAAAACAAAGGTTCAACTGTGTTCGTTTAGGACACACATCACAAATAAGTTTCTGAGAATCCTTCTGTCTAGTTTTTATTTGAAGATATTTCCTTTCTCCCCGTAGGCCTGAAAGCGCTTGAAATGTCCACTTCCAGATACTACAGAAAGAGTGTGTTTCAAACCTGCACTCTGAAAAGGAATGTTCAATTCTGTGACTTGAATGCAAACATCAGAAAGAAGTTCCTGAGAATGCTTCTCTCTAGATTTTATACGTCATCCCGTTTCCAACGAAATCCACAAAGCTATCCAATTATCCACTTTCAGATTCCACAAAAAGAGTGTTTTAAAATTGCTCTGTAACAGAAATGTTCAACTCTGTTAGTTGAATACACACATCACAAACAAGTTTCTGAGACGGCTTCTGTCTAGTTTTTATGGGAAGATATTTCCTTTTAACCATAGGCCTCAAAGAGCTCGAAATATCCACTTCCAGGTAGTGCCGAAAGAGTGTTTCAAACCTACTCTATAAAAGGGAATATTCAACTCTGTGACTTGAATGCAAACATCACAAAGCAGTTTCTGAGAATGCTTCCGTCTAGATTTTCTATGAAGATATTCCCGTTTCCAACGAAATCTTCAAAGCTATCTAAATATCAACTTGCAGATTCTACTAAAGGAATGTCTCCAAAATGCTGTATCCAAACAAAGGTTCAGCTCTGTGAATTGAGGACATACAGCACAAAGAAGTTTCTGAGAATGTTCCTGTCTGGATTTTATATGAAGATAACCCGTTTCCAACGAATTCCTCAAAGCTATCCAAATATCCACTTGCAGATTCTACCAAAAGAGTGTTTCAAAACTGCTCTGTCAAAAGGAAGGTTCAACACTGTTACTTGAGTACACACAACACAAAGAAGTTTCTGAGAATGCTTCTTTCTGGTTTTTATGAGAAGATATTTCCTTTTTCACCATAGGCCTCAAAGCGCTCGAAATGTCCGCTTCCAGGTAGTGCAGAAAGAGTGTTTCAAACCTGCTCTATGAAAGGAAGTGTTCAACTCTACTGAGTTGAATGCAAACATCACAGAGATGTTTCCGAGAATGCTTCTGTCTTGATTTTATATGAAGATATTCCGGTTTCCAACGAAATCTTCAAAGCTATCCAAATATCCACCTGCAGATTCTACAAAAGGAGTGTTTCCAAAATGCTGTATCAAAACAAAGGTTCAACTCTGTTAGTTGAGGACACACATCACAAATAAGTTTCTGAGAATGCTTCTGTCTAGTTTTTATTTGAAGGTATTACCTTTCTCTCCATAGGCCTGAAAGCGCTTGAAATGCCCACTTCCAGATACTAGAGAAAGAGTGTTTCAAACCTGCTCTATGAAAGGGAATGTTCAATTCTGTGACTTGAATGCAAACATCACAAAGAAGTTCCTGAGAATGCTTCTCTCTAGATATTATATGTCATCCCGTTTCCAACGAAATCCTCAAAGCTATCCAAATATCCACTTGCAGATTCTACAAAAAGAGTGTTTCAAAACTGCTCTGTCAAAAGGATGGTTCAACACTGTTACATGAGTACACACAACACAAAGAAGTTTCTGAGAATGCTTCTTTCTGGTTTCTATGAGAAGATATATCCTTTTTCACCATAGGACTCAAAGCGCTCGAAATGTCCTCTTCCAGGTAGTGCAGAAAGAGTGTTTCAAACCTGCTCTATGAAAGGAAGTGTACAACTCCATGAGCTGAATGCAAACATCACTGAGAAGTTTCTGAGAATGCTTCTGTTTGATTTTATATGAAGAAATTCCCGTTTCCAACGAAATCTTCAGAGCTATCCACATATCCACCTGCAGATTCTACAAAAGGAGTGTTTCCAAAATGCTGTATCAAAACCAAAGTTCAACTCTGTTAGTTGAGGACACACATCACAAATAAGTTTCTGAGAATGCTTCTGTCTAGATTCTATATGAAGATATCCCCTTTCCAACGAATCCCTCTAAGCTATCCAAATATCCACCTGCAGATTCTACAAAAAGAGTGTTTCCAAAATGCTGTATCAAAACAAAGTTTCAACTCTGTTAGTTGAGGACACACATCACAAATAAGTTTGAGGATGCTTCTGTCTAGTTTTTATTCGAAGATATTTCCTTTCTCACCATAGGCCTGAAAGCGCTTGAAATGTCCACTTCCAGATACTACAGAATGAGTGTTTCAAACCTGCTCTATCAAAGTGAATGTTCAATTCTGTGACTTCAATGCAAACATCACAAAGAAGTTCCTGAGAATGCTTCTCTCTAGATTTTATACGTAATCCCGCTTCCAACGAAATCCTCAGAGCCATCCGAATATCCACTTTCTGATTCCACAAAAAGAGTGTTTTAAAACGGCTCTGTAAAAACAAAAGTTCAACTCTGTTAGTTGAATACACACATCACAAACAAGTTTCTGAGAATGCTTCTGTCTAGTTTTTATGGGAAGATATTTCCTTTTTCACCATAGGCCTCAAAGCGCTCGAAATGTCCACTTCCAGATAGTGCAGAAAGATTGTTTCAAACGTGCTCTATGAAAGGGAATATTCAACTCTGTGACTTGAATGGAAACATCATAAAGCAGTTTCTGAGAATGCTTCCCTCTAGATTTTATATGGAGATATTCCCTTTTCCAACGAAATCTTCAAATCTATCTAAGTATCAACTTGCAGATTCTACTCAAGGAATGTTTCCAAAATGCTGTATCCAAGCAATGGTTCAACTCTGTTAATTGAGGACATACAGCACAAAGAAGTTTCTGAGAATGCTTCTGTCTAGATTTTATATGAAGATATCCCGTTTGCAACGAAATCCTCAAAGCTATCCAAATATCCACTTGCAGATTCTACAAAAAGATTGTTTCAAAACTGCTGTGTCAAAAGGAAGGTTCAACTCTGTTTCTTGAGTACACACATCAAAAAGTAGTTTCTGAGAATGCTTGTTTCTGGTTTTTATGAGAAGATATTTCCTTTTTCACCATAGGCCTCAAAGCGCTGCAAATGTCCACTTCCAAATATTACAAAAAGAGTGTTTCAAACCTGCTCTATGAAAGGAAGTTTTCAACTCTATGAGTGGAATGCAAACATCACAGAGAAGTTTCTGAGAACGCATCTGTCTTGAGCTTCTATGAAGAAATTCCCGTTTCCAACGAAATCTTAAAATCTATCCAAATATCCACCTGCAGATCCTACAAAAGGAGTGTTTCCAAAATGCTGTATCAAAACAAAGGTTCAACTGTGTTCGTTTAGGACACACATCACAAATAAGTTTCTGAGAATCCTTCTGTCTAGTTTTTATTTGAAGATATTTCCTTTCTCCCCATAGGCCTGAAAGCGCTGGAAATGTCCACTTCCAGATAGTACAGAAAGAGTGTTTCAAACCTGCACTATGAAAAGGAATGTTCAATTCTGTGACTTGAATGCAAACATCAGAAAGAAGTTTCTGAGAATGCTTCTCTCTAGATTTTATACGTCATCCCGTTTCCAACGAAATCCACAAAGCTATCCAATTATCCACTTTCAGATTCCACAAAAAGAGTGTTTTAAAATTGCTCTGTAACAGAAATGTTCAACTCTGTTAGTTGAATACACACATCACAAACAAGTTTCTGAGACGGCTTCTGTCTAGTTTTTATGGGAAGATATTTCCTTTTAACCATAGGCCTCAAAGAGCTCGAAATATCCACTTCCATGTAGTGCCGAAAGAGTGTTTCAAACCTACTCTATAAAAGGGAATATTCAACTCTGTGACTTGAATGCAAACATCACAAAGCAGTTTCTGAGAATGCTTCCGTCTAGATTTTCTATGAAGATATTCCCGTTTCCAACGAAATCTTCAAAGCTATCTAAATATCAACTTGCAGATTCTACTAAAGGAATGTCTCCAAAATGCTGTATCCAAACAAAGGTTCAGCTCTGTGAATTGAGGACATACAGCACAAAGAAGTTTCTGAGAATGCTCCTGTCTGGATTTTATAGGAAGATAACCCGTTTCCAACGAAATCCTCAAAGCTATCCAAATATCCACTTGCAGATTCTACCAAAAGAGTGTTTCAAAACTACTCTGTCAAAAGGAAGGTTCAACACTGTTACTTGAGTACACACAACACAAAGAAGTTTCTGAGAATGCTTCTTTCTGGTTTTTATGAGAAGATATTTCCTTTTTCACCATAGGCCTCAAAGCGCTCGAAATGTCCGCTTCCAGGTAGTGCAGAAAGAGTGTTTCAAACCTGCTCTATGAAAGGAAGTGTTCAACTCTACTGAGTTGAATGCAAACATCACAGAGATGTTTCCGAGAATGCTTCTGTCTTGATTTTATATGAAGATATTCCGGTTTCCAACGAAATCTTCAAAGCTATCCAAATATCCACCTGCAGATTCTACAAAAGGAGTGTTTCCAAAATGCTGTATCAAAACAAAGGTTCAACTCTGTTAGTTGAGGACACACATCACAAATAAGTTTCTGAGAATGCTTCTGTCTAGTTTTTATTTGAAGGTATTTCCTTTCTCTCCATAGGCCTGAAAGCGCTTGAAATGCCCACTTCCAGATACTAGAGAAAGAGTGTTTCAAACCTGCTCTATGAAAGGGAATGTTCAATTCTGTGACTTGAATGCAAACATCACAAAGAAGTTCCTGAGAATGCTTCTCTCTAGATATTATATGTCATCCCGTTTCCAACGAAATCCTCAAAGCTATCCAAATATCCACTTGCAGATTCTACAAAAAGAGTGTTTCAAAACTCCTCTGTCAAAAGGATGGTTCAACACTGTTACATGAGTACACACAACACAAAGAAGTTTCTGAGAATGCTTCTTTCTGGTTTCTATGAGAAGATATTTCCTTTTTCACCATAGGACTCAAAGCGCTCGAAATGTCCTCTTCCAGGTAGTGCAGAAAGAGTGTTTCAAACCTGCTCTATGAAAGGAAGTGTACAACTCCATGAGCTGAATGCAAACATCACTGAGAAGTTTCTGAGAATGCTTCTGTTTGATTTTATATGAAGAAATTCCCGTTTCCAACGAAATCTTCAGAGCTATCCACATATCCACCTGCAGATTCTACAAAAGGAGTGTTTCCAAAATGCTGTATCAAAACCAAGGTTCAACTCTGTTAGTTGAGGAAACACATCACAAATAAGTTTCTGAGAATGCTTCTGTCTAGATTTTATATGAAGATATCCCCTTTCCAACGAATCCCTCTAAGCTATCCAAATATCCACCTGCAGATTCTACAAAAAGAGTGTTTCCAAAATGCTGTATCAAAACAAAGTTTCAACTCTGTTAGTTGAGGACACACATCACAAATAAGTTTGAGGATGCTTCTGTCTAGTTTTTATTCGAAGATATTTCCTTTCTCACCATAGGCCTGAAAGCGCTTGAAATGTCCACTTCCAGATACTACAGAATGAGTGTTTCAAACCTGCTCTATCAAAGTGAATGTTCCATTCTGTGACTTCAATGCAAACATCACAAAGAAGTTCCTGAGAATGCTTCTCTCTAGATTTTATACGTAATCCCGCTTCCAACGAAATCCTCAGAGCCATCCGAATATCCACTTTCTGATTCCACAAAAAGAGTGTTTTAAAACGGCTCTGTAAAAACAAAAGTTCAACTCTGTTAGTTGAATACACACATCACAAACAAGTTTCTGAGAATGCTTCTGTCTAGTTTTTATGGGAAGATATTTCCTTTTTCACCATAGGCCTCAAAGCGCTCGAAATGTCCGCTTCCAGATAGTGCAGAAAGAGTGTTTCAAACGTGCTCTATAAAAGGGAATATTCAACTCTGTGACTTGAATGGAAACATCACAAAGCAGTTTCTGAGAATGCTTCCGTCTAGGATTTTATATGAAGATATTCCCGTTTCCAACGAAATCTTCAAATCTATCTAAATATCAACTTGCAGATTCTACTAAAGGAATGTTTCCAAAATGCTGTATCCAAGCAATGGTTCAACTCTGTTAATTGAGGACATACAGCACAAAGAAGTTTCTGAGAATGCTTCTGTCTAGATTTTATATGAAGATATCCCGTTTCCAACGAAATCCTCAAAGCTATCCAAATATCCACTTGCAGATTCTACAAAAAGATTGTTTCAAAACTGCTGTGTCAAAACGAAGGTTCAACTCTGTTACTTGAGTACACACATCAAAAAGAAGTTTCTGAGAATGCTTGTTTCTGGTTTTTATGAGAAGATATTTCCTTTTTCACCATAGGCCTCAAAGCGCTGCAAATGTCCACTTCCAAATATTACAAAAAGAGTGTTTCAAACCTGCTCTATGAAAGGAAGTTTTCAACTCTATGAGTGGAATGCAAACATCACAGAGAAGTTTCTGAGAATATATCTGTCTTGAGCTTGTATGAAGAAATTCCCGTTTCCAACGAAATCTTAAAATCTATCCAAATATCCACCTGCAGATCCTACAAAAGGAGTGTTTCCAAAATGCTGTATCAAAACAAAGGTTCAACTGTGTTCGTTTAGGACACACATCACAAATAAGTTTCTGAGAATCCTTCTGTCTAGTTTTTATTTGAAGATATTTCCTTTCTCCCCGTAGGCCTGAAAGCGCTTGAAATGTCCACTTCCAGATACTACAGAAAGAGTGTTTCAAACCTGCACTCTGAAAAGGAATGTTCAATTCTGTGACTTGAATGCAAACATCAGAAAGAAGTTCCTGAGAATGCTTCTCTCTAGAATTTTATACGTCATCCCGTTTCCAACGAAATCCACAAAGCTATCCAATTATCCACTTTCAGATTCCACAGAAAGAGTGTTTTAAAATTGCTCTGTAACAGAAATGTTCAACTCTGGTAGTTGAATACACACATCACAAACAAGTTTCTGAGACGGCTTCTGTCTAGTTTTTATGGGAAGATATTTCCTTTTAACCATAGGCCTCAAAGAGCTCGAAATATCCACTTCCAGGTAGTGCCGAAAGAGTGTTTCAAACCTACTCTATAAAAGGGAATATTCAACTCTGTGACTTGAATGCAAACATCACAAAGCAGTTTCTGAGAATGCTTCCGTCTAGATTTTCTATGAAGATATTCCCGTTTCCAACGAAATCTTCAAAGCTATCTAAATATCAACTTGCAGATTCTACTAAAGGAATGTCTCCAAAATGCTGTATCCAAACAAAGGTTCAGCTCTGTGAATTGAGGACATACAGCACAAAGGAGTTTCTGAGAATGCTCCTGTCTGGATTTTATAGGAAGATAACCCGTTTCCAACGAAATCCTCAAAGCTATCCAAATATCCACTTGCAGATTCTACCAAAAGAGTGTTTCAAAACTCCTCTGTCAAAAGGATGGTTCAACACTGTTACATGAGTACACACAACACAAAGAAGTTTCTGAGAATGCTTCTTTCTGGTTTTTATGAGAAGATATTTCCTTTTTCACCATAGGCCTCAAAGCGCTCAAAATGTCCGCTTCCAGGTAGTGCAGAAAGAGTGTTTCAAACCTGCTCTATGAAAGGAAGTGTTCAACTCTACTGAGTTGAATGCAAACATCACAGAGATGTTTCCGAGAATGCTTCTGTCTTGATTTTATAGGAAGATATTCCGGTTTCCAACGAAATCTTCAAAGCTATCCACATATCCACCTGCAGATTCTACAAAAGGAGTGTTTCCAAAATGCTGTATCAAAACAAAGGTTCAACTCTGTTAGTTGAGGACACACATCACAAATAAGTTTCTGAGAATGCTTCTGTCTACTTTTTATTTGAAGGTATTTCCTTTCTCTCCATAGGCCTGAAAGCGCTTGAAATGCCCACTTCCAGATACTAGAGAAAGAGTGTTTCAAACCTGCTCTATGAAAGGGAATGTTCAATTCTGTGACTTGAATGCAAACATCACAAAGAAGTTCCTGAGAATGCTTCTCTCTAGATATTATATGTCATCCCGTTTCCAACGAAATCCTCAAAGCTATCCAAATATCCACTTGCAGATTCTACAAAAAGAGTGTTTCAAAACTGCTCTGTCAAAAGGATGGTTCAACACTGTTACATGAGTACACACAACACAAAGAAGTTTCTGAGAATGCTTCTTTCTGGTTTATATGAGAAGATATTTCCTTTTTCACCATAGGACTCAAAGCGCTCGAAATGTCCTCTTCCAGGTAGTGCAGAAAGAGTGTTTCAAACCGGCTCTATGAAGGGAAGTGTTCAACTCCATGAACTGAATGCAAACATCACTGAGAAGTTTCTGAGAATGCTTCTGTTTGATTTTATATGAAGAAATTCCCGTTTCCAACGAAATCTTCAGAGCTATCCACATATCCACCTGCAGATTCTACAAAAGGAGTGTTTCCAAAATGCTGTATCAAAACCAAGGTTCAACTCTGTTAGTTGAGGACACACATCACAAATAAGTTTCTGAGAATGCTTCTGTCTAGATTTTATATGAAGATATCCCCTTTCCAACGAATCCCTCTAAGCTATCCAAATATCCACCTGCAGATTCTACAAAAAGAGTGTTTCCAAAATGCTGTATCAAAACAAAGTTTCAACTCTGTTAGTTGAGGACACACATCACAAATAAGTTTCTGAGGATGCTTCTGTCTAGTTTTTATTCGAAGATATTTCCTTTCTCACCATAGGCCTGAAAGCGCTTGAAATGTCCACTTCCAGATACTACAGAATGAGTGTTTCAAACCTGCTCTATAAAAGTGAATGTTCAATTCCGTGACTTCAATGCAAACATCACAAAGAAGTTCCTGAGAATGCTTCTCTCTAGATTTTATACGTAATCCCGCTTCCAACGAAATCCTCAGAGCCATCCGAATATCCACTTTCTGATTCCACAAAAAGAGTGTTTTAAAACGGCTCTGTAAAAACAAAAGTTCAACTCTGTTAGTTGAATACACACATCACAAACAAGTTTCTGAGAATGCTTCTGTCTAGTTTTTATGGGAAGATATTTCCTTTTTCACCATAGGCCTCACAGCGCTCGAAATGTCCACTTCCAGATAGTGCAGAAAGAGTGTTTCAAACGTGCTCTATAAAAGAGAATATTCAACTCTGTGACTTGAATGGAAACATCACAAAGCAGTTTCTGAGAATGCCTCCGTCTAGATTTTATATGAAGATATTCCCGTTTCCAACGAAATCTTCAAATCTATCTAAATATCAACTTGCAGATTCTACTAAAGGAATGTTTCCAAAATGCTGTATCCAAGCAATGGTTCAACTCTGTTAATTGAGGACATACAGCACAAAGAAGTTTCTGAGAATGCTTCTGTCTAGATTTTATATGAAGATATCCCGTTTCCAACGAAATCCTCAAATCTATCCAAATATCCACTTGCAGATTCTACAAAAAGATTGTTTCAAAACTGCTGTGTCAAAAGGAAGGTTCAACTCTGTTACTTGAGTACACACATCAAAAAGAAGTTTCTGAGAATGCTTGTTTCTGGTTTTTATGAGAAGATATTTCCTTTTTCACCATAGGCCTCAAAGCGCTGCAAATGTCCACTTCCAAATATTACAAAAAGAGTGTTTCAAACCTGCTCTATGAAAGGAAGTTTTCAACTCTATGAGTGGAATGCAAACATCACAGAGAAGTTTCTGAGAATGCATCTGTCTTGAGTTTATATGAAGAAATTCCCGTTTCCAACGAAATCTTAAAATCTATCCACATATCCACCTGCAGATTCTACAAAGGGAGTGTTTCCAAAATGCTGTATCAAAACAAAGGTTCAACTGTGTTCGTTGAGGACACACATCACCAATAAGTTTCTGAGAATCCTTCTGTCTAGTTTTTATTTGAAGATCTTTCCTTTCTCCCCATAGGCCTGAAAGCGCTTGAAATGTCCACTTCCAGATACTACAGAAAGAGTGTTTCAAACCTGCACTATGAAAAGGAATGTTCATTTCTGTGACTTGAATGCAAACATCAGAAAGAAGTTCCTGAGAATGCTTCTCTCTAGATTTTATACGTCATCCCGTTTCCAACGAAATCCACAAAGCTATCCAATTATCCACTTTCAGATTCCACAAAAAGAGTGTTTTAAAACTGCTCTGTAAAAAGAAATTTTCAACGCTCTTAGTTGAATGCACACATCTCAAACAAGTTTCTGAGAAGGCTTCTGTCTAGTTTTTATGGGAAGATATTTCCTTTTAACCATAGGCCTCAAAGAGCTCGAAATATCCACTTCCAGGTAGTGCCGAAAGAGTGTTTCAAACCTACTCTATAAAAGGGAATATTCAACTCTGTGACCTGAATGCAAACATCACAAAGCAGTTTCTGAGAATGCTTCCGTCTAGATTTTTTATGAAGATATTCCCGTTTCCAACGAAATCTTCAAAGCTATCTCAATATCAACTTGCAGATTCTACTAAAGGAATGTTTCCAAAATGCTGTATCCAAACAAAGTTCAACTCTGTGAATTGAGGACATACAGCACAAAGAAGTTTCTGAGAATGCTTCTGTCTAGATTTAATATGAAGATAACCCGTTTGCAACGACATCCTCAAAGCTATCCAAATATCCACTGGCAGATTCTACAAAAAGAGTGTTTCAAAACTGCTCTGTCAAAAGGATGGTTCAACACTGTTACATGAGTACACACAACACAAAGAAGTTTCTGAGAACGCTTCTTTCTGGTTTTTATGAGAAGATATTTCCTTTTTCACAATAGGCCTCAAAGCGCTCGAAAGGTCCACTTCCAGGTAGTGCAGAAAGAGTGTTTCAAACCTGCTCTATGAAAGGAAGTGTTCAACTCCATGAGCTGAATGCAAACATCACAGAGAAGTTCCTGAGAATGCTTCTGTTTGATTTTATATGAAGAAATTCCCGTTTCCAACGAAATCTTCAAAGCTATCCACATATCCACCTGCAGATTCTTCAAAAGGAGTGTTTCCAAAATGCTGTATCAAAACCAAGGTTCAACTCTGTTAGTTGAGGACACACATCACAAATAAGTTTCTGAGAATGCTTCTGTCTAGATTTTATATGAAGATATCCCCTTTCCAACGAATCCCTCTAAGCTATCCAAATATCCACCTGCAGATTCTACAAAAAGAGTGTTTCCAAAATGCTGTATCAAAACAAAGTTTCCACTCTGTTAGTTGAGGACACACATCACAAATAAGTTTCTGAGGATGCTTCTGTCTAGTTTTTATTTGAAGATATTTCCTTTCTCACCATAGGCCTGAAAGCGCTTGAAATGTCCACTTCCAGATACTACAGCATGAGTGTTTCAAACCTGCTCTATCATAGTGAATGTTCAATTCTGTGACTTCAATGCAAACATCACAAAGTAGTTCCTGAGAATGCTTCTCTCTAGATTTTATATGTAATCACGCTTCCAACGAAATCCTCAAAGCCATCCGAATATCCACTTTCTGATTCCACAAAAAGATTGTTTTAAAACTGCTCTGTAAAAACAAAAGTTCAAGTCTGTTAGTTGAATACACACATCACAAACAAGTTTCTGAGAATGCTTCTGTCTAGTTTTTATGGGAAGATATTTCCTTTTTCACCATAGGCCTCAAAGCGCTCGAAATGTCCACTTCCAGATAGTGCCGAAAGAGTGTTTCAAACGTGCTCTATAAAAGGGAATATTCAACTCTGTGACTTGAATGGAAACATCACAAAGCTGTTTCTGAGAATGCCTCCGTCTAGATTTTATATGAAGATATTCCCGTTTCCAACGAAATCTTCAAATCTATCTAAATATCAACTTGCAGATTCTACTAAAGGAATGTTTCCAAAATGCTGTATCCAAGCAATGGTTCAACTCTGTTAATTGAGGACATACAGCACAAAGAAGTTTCTGAGAATGCTTCTGTCTAGATTTTATATGAAGATATCCCGTTTGCAACGAAATCCTCAAAGCTATCCAAATATCCACTTGCAGATTCTACAAAAAGATTGTTTCAAAACTGCTGTGTCAAAAGGAAGGTTCAACTCTGTTACTTGAGTACACACATCAAAAAGAAGTTTCTGAGAATGCTTGTTTCTGGTTTTTATGAGAAGATATTTCCTTTTTCACCATAGGCCTCAAAGCGCTGCAAAGGTCCACTTCCAAATATTACAAAAAGAGTGTTTCAAACGTGCTCTATGAAAGGAAGTTTTCAACTCTATGAGTGGAATGCAAACATCACAGAGAAGTTTCTGAGAATGCATCTGTCTTGAGTTTATATGAAGAAATTCCCGTTTCCAACGAAATCTTAAAATCTATCCAAATATCCACCTGCAGATTCTACAAAAGACTGTTTCCCAAATGCTGTATCAAAACAAAGGTTCAACTGTGTTCATTTAGGACACACATCACAAATAAGTTTCTGAGAATCCTTCTGTCTAGTTTTTAATTTGAAGATATTTCCTTTCTCCCCATAGGCCTGAAAGCGCTTGAAATGTCCACTTCCAGATACTACAGAAAGAGTGTTTCAAACCTGCACTATGAAAAGGAATGTTCAATTCTGTGACTTGAATGCAAACATCAGAAAGAAGTTCCTGAGAATGCTTCTCTCTAGATTTTATACCTCATCCCGTTTCCAACGAAATCCACAAAGCTATCCAATTATCCACTTTCAGATTCCAGAAAAAGAGTGTTTTAAAACTGCTCTGTAACAGAAATGTTCAGCTCTGTTTGTTGAATACACACATCACAAACAAGTTTCTGAGATGGCTTCTGTCTAGTTTTTATGGGAAGATATTTCCTTTTAACCATAGGCCTCAAACAGCTCGAAATATCCACTTCCAGGTAGTGCCGAAAGAGTGTTTCAAACCTACTCTGTAAAAGGGAATATTCAACTCTGTGACTTGAATGCAAACATCACAAAGCAGTTTATGAGAATGCTTCCGTCTAAATTTTATATGAAGATATTCCCGTTTCCAACGAAATCTTCAAAGCTATCTAAATATCAACTTGCAGATTCTACTAAAGGAATGTCTCCAAAATGCTGTATCCAAACAAAGGTTCAGCTCTGTGAATTGAGGACATACAGCACAAAGAAGTTTCTGATAATGCTCCTGTCTGGATTTTATATGAAGATAACCCGTTTCCAACGAAATCCTCAAAGCTCTCCAAATATCCACTTGCAGATTCTACCAAAAGAGTGTTTCAAAACTGCTCTGTCAAAAGGAAGGTTCAACACTGTTACTTGAGTACACACAACACAAAGAAGTTTCTGAGAATGCTTCTTTCTGGTTTTTATGAGAAGATATTTCCTTTTTCACCATAGGCCTCAAAGCGCTCGAAATGTCCGCTTCCAGGTAGTGCAGAAAGAGTGTTTCAAACATGCTCTATGAAAGGAAGTGTTCAACTCTACTGAGTTGAATGCAAACATCACAGAGATGTTTCCGAGAATGCTTCTGTCTTGATTTTATATGAAGATATTCCGGTTTCCAACGAAATCTTCAAAGCTATCCAAATATCCACCTGCAGATTCTACAAAAGGAGTGTTTCCAAAATGCTGTATCAAAACAAAGGTTCAACTCTGTTAGTTGAGGACACACATCACAAATAAGTTTCTGAGAATGCTTCTGTCTAGTTTTTATTTGAAGGTATTTCCTTTCTCTCCATAGGCCTGAAAGCGCTTGAAATGCCCACTTCCAGATACTAGAGAAAGAGTGTTTCAAACCTGCTCTATGAAAGGGAATGTTCAATTCTGTGACTTGAATGCAAACATCACAAAGAAGTTCCTGAGAATGCTTCTCTCTAGATATTATATGTCATCCCGTTTCCAACGAAATCCTCAAAGCTATCCAAATATCCACTTGCAGATTCTACAAAAAGAGTGTTTCAAAACTCCTCTGTCAAAAGGATGGTTCAACACTGTTACATGAGTACACACAACACAAAGAAGTTTCTAAGAATGCTTCTTTCTGGTTTCTATGAGAAGATATTTCCTTTTTCACCATAGGACACAAAGCGCTCGAAATGTCCTCTTCCAGGTAGTGCAGAAAGAGTGTTTCAAACCTGCTCTATGAAAGGAAGTGTACAACTCCATGAGCTGAATGCAAACATCACTGAGAAGTTTCTGAGAATGCTTCTGTTTGATTTTATATGAAGAAATTCCCGTTTCCAACGAAATCTTCAGAGCTATCCACATATCCACCTGCAGATTCTACAAAAGGAGTGTTTCCAAAATGCTGTATCAAAACCAAGGTTCAACTCTGTTAGTTGAGGACACACATCACAAATAAGTTTCTGAGAATGCTTCTGTCTAGATTTTATATGAAGATATCCCCTTTCCAACGAATCCCTCTAAGCTATCCAAATATCCACCTGCAGATTCTACAAAAAGAGTGTTTCCAAAATGCTGTATCAAAACAAAGTTTCAACTCTGTTAGTTGAGGACACACATCACAAATAAGTTTCTGAGGATGCTTCTGTCTAGTTTTTATTCGAAGATATTTCCTTTCTCACCATAGGCCTGAAAGCGCTTGAAATGTCCACTTCCAGATCCTACAGAATGAGTGTTTCAAACCTGCTCTATCAAAGTGAATGTTCAATTCTGTGACTTCAATGCAAACATCACAAAGAAGTTCCTGAGAATGCTTCTCTCTAGATTTTATATGTAATCCCGCTTCCAACGAAATCCTCAGAGCCATCCGAATATCCACTTTCTGATTCCACAAAAAGAGTGTTTTAAAACGGCTCTGTAAAAACAAAAGTTCAACTCTGTTAGTTGAATACACACATCACAAACAAGTTTCTGAGAATGCTTCTGTCTAGTTTTTATGGGAAGATATTTCCTTTTTCACCATAGGCCTCAAAGCGCTCGAAATGTCCACTTCCAGATAGCGCAGAAAGAGTGTTTCAAACGTGCTCTATAAAAGGGAATATTCAACTCTGTGACTTGAATGGAAACATCACAAAGCAGTTTCTGAGAATGCTTCCCTCTAGATTTTATATGGAGATATTCCGTTTTCGAACGAAATCTTCAAATCTATCTAAATATCAACTTGCAGATTCTACTCAAGGAATGTTTCCAAAATGCTGTATGCAAGCAATGGTTCAACTCTGTTAATTGAGGTCATACAGCACAAAGAAGTTTCTGAGAATGCTTCTGTCTAGATTTTATATGAAGATATCCCGTTTCCAACGAAATCCTCAAAGCTATCCAAATATCCACTTGCAGATTCTACAAAAAGATTGTTTCAAAACTGCTGTGTCAAAAGGGAAGGTTCAACTCTGTTACTTGAGTACACACATCAAAAAGAAGTTTCTGAGAATGCTTGTATCTGGTTTTTATGAGAAGATATTTCCTTTTTCACCATAGGCCTCAAAGCGCTGCAAATGTCCACTTCCAAATATTACAAAAAGAGTGTTTCAAACCTGCTCTATGAAAGGAAGTTTTCAACTCTATGAGTGGAATGCAAACATCACAGAGAAGTTTCTGAGAATGCATCTGTCTTGAGTTTATATGAAGAAATTCCCGTTTCCAATGAAATCTTAAAATCTATCCAAATATCCACCTGCAGATTCTACAGAGGGAGTGTTTCCAAAATGCTGTATCAAAACAAAGGTTCAACTGTGTTCGTTTAGGACACACATCACCAATAAGTTTCTGAGAATCCTTCTGTCTAGTTTTTATTTGAAGATATTTCCTTTCTCCCCATAGGCCTGAAAGCGCTTGAAATGTCCAATTCCAGATACTACAGAAAGAGCGTTTCAAACCTGCACTATGAAAAGGAATGTTCAATTCTGTGACTTGAATGCAAACATCAGAAAGAAGTTCCTGAGAATGCTTCTCTCTAGATTTTATACGTCATCCCGTTTCCAACGAAATCCACAAAGCTATCCAATTATCCACTTTCAGATTTCACAGAAAGAGTGTTTTAAAATTGCTCTGTAACAGAAATGTTCAACTCTGTTAGTTGAATACACACATCACAAACAAGTTTCTGAGACGGCTTCTGTCTAGTTTTTATGGGAAGATATTTCCTTTTAACCATAGGCCTCAAAGAGCTCGAAATATCCACTTCCAGGTAGTGCCGAAAGAGTGTTTCAAACCTACTCTATAAAAGGGAATATTCAACTCTGTGACTTGAATGCAAACATCACAAAGCAGTTTCTGAGAATGCTTCCGTCTAGATTTTCTATGAAGATATTCCCGTTTCCAACGAAATCTTCAAAGCTATCTAAATATCAACTTGCAGATTCTACTAAAGGAATGTCTCCAAAATGCTGTATCCAAACAAAGGTTCAGCTCTGTGAATTGAGGACATACAACACAAAGAAGTTTCTGAGAATGCTCCTGTCTGGATTTTATAGGAAGATAACCCGTTTCCAACGAAATCCTCAAAGCTATCCAAATATCCACTTGCAGATTCTACCAAAAGAGTGTTTCAAAACTGCTCTGTCAAAAGGAAGGTTCAACACTGTTACTTGAGTACACACAACACAAAGAAGTTTCTGAGAATGCTTCTTTCTGGTTTTTATGAGAAGATATTTCCTTTTTCACCATAGGCCTCAAAGAGCTCGAAATGTCCGCTTCCAGGTAGGGCAGAAAGAGTGTTTCAAACCTGCTCTATGAAAGGAAGTGTTCAACTCTACTGAGTTGAATGCAAACATCACAGAGATGTTTCCGAGAATGCTTCTGTCTTGATTTTATAGGAAGATATTCCGGTTTCCAACGAAATCTTCAAAGCTATCCACATATCCACCTGCAGATTCTACAAAAGGAGTGTTTCCAAAATGCTGTATCAAAACAAAGGTTCAACTCTGTTAGTTGAGGACACACATCACAAATAAGTTTCTGAGAATGCTTCTGTCTAGTTTTTATTTGAAGGTATTTCCTTTCTCTCCATAGGCCTGAAAGCGCTTGAAATGCCCACTTCCAGATACTAGAGAAAGAGTGTTTCAAACCTGCTCTATGAAAGGGAATGTTCAATTCTGTGACTTGAATGCAAACATCACAAAGAAGTTCCTGAGAATGCTTCTCTCTAGATATTATATGTCATCCCGTTTCCAACGAAATCCTCAAAGCTATCCAAATATCCACTTGCAGATTCTACAAAAAGAGTGTTTCAAAACTGCTCTGTCAAAAGGATGGTTCAACACTGTTACATGAGTACACACAACACAAAGAAGTTTCTGAGAATGCTTCTTTCTGGTTTTTATGAGAAGATATTTCCCTTTTCACCATAGGCCTCAAAGCGCTCGAAATGTCCACTTCCAGGTAGTGCAGAAAGAGTGTTTCAAACCTGCTCTATGAAAGGAAGTGTTCAACTCCATGAGCTCAATGCAAACATCACAGAGAAGTTCCTGAGAATGCTTCTGTTTGATTTTATATGAAGAAATACCCGTTTCCAACGAAATCTTCAAAGCTATCCACATATCCACGGGCAGATCCTTCAAAAGGAGTGTTTCCAAAATGCTGTATCAAAACCAAGGTTCAACTCTGTTAGTTGAGGACACACATCACAAATAAGTTTCTGAGAATGCTTCTGTCTAGATTTTATATGAAGATATCCCCTTTCCAACGAATCCCTCTAAGCTATCCAAATATCCACCTGCAGATTCTACAAAAAGAGTGTTTCCAAAATGCTGTATCAAAACAAAGTTTCCACTCTGTTAGTTGAGGACACACATCACAAATAAGTTTCTGAGGATGCTTCTGTCTAGTTTTTATTTGAAGATATTTCCTTTCTCACCATAGGCCTGAAAGCGCTTGAAATGTCCACTTCCAGATACTACAGCATGAGTGTTTCAAACCTGCTCTATCATAGTGAATGTTCAATTCTGTGACTTCAATGCAAACATCACAAAGTAGTTCCTGAGAATGCTTCTCTCTAGATTTTATACGTAATCCCGCTTCCAACGAAATCCTCAGAGCCATCCGAATATCCACTTTCTGATTCCACAAAAAGAGTGTTTTAAAACGGCTCTGTAAAAACAAAAGTTCAACTCTGTTAGTTGAATACACACATCACAAACAAGTTTCTGAGAATGCTTCTGTCTAGTTTTTATGGGAAGATATTTCCTTTTTCACCATAGGCCTCACAGCGCTCGAAATGTCCACTTCCAGAGAGTGCAGAAAGAGTGTTTCAAACGTGCTCTATAAAGAGAATATTCAACTCTGTGACTTGAATGGAAACATCACAAAGCAGTTTCTGAGAATGCCTCCGTCTAGATTTTATATGAAGATATTCCCGTTTCCAACGAAATCTTCAAATCTATCTAAATATCAACTTGCAGATTCTACTAAAGGAATGTTTCCAAAATGCTGTATCCAAGCAATGGTTCAACTCTGTTAATTGAGGACATACAGCACAAAGAAGTTTCTGAGAATGCTTCTGTCTAGATTTTATATGAAGATATCCCGTTTCCAACGAAATCCTCAAAGCTATCCAAATATCCACTTGCAGATTCTACAAAAAGATTGTTTCAAAACTGCTGTGTCAAAAGAAAGTTCAACTCTGTTACTTGAGTACACACATCAAAAAGAAGTTTCTGAGAATGCTTGTTTCTGGTTTTTATGAGAAGATATTTCCTTTTTCACCATAGACCTCAAAGCGCTGCAAATGTCCACTTCCAAATATTACAAAAAGAGTGTTTCAAACCTGCTCTATGAAAGGAAGTTTTCAACTCTATGAGTGGAATGCAAACATCACAGAGAAGTTTCTGAGAATGCATCTGTCTTGAGTTTATATGAAGAAATTCCCGTTTCCAACGAAATCTTAAAATCTATCCAAATATCCACCTGCAGATTCTAGAAAGGGAGTGTTTCCAAAATGCTGTATCAAAACAAAGGTTCAACTGTGTTCGTTTAGGACACACATCACCAATAAGTTTCTGAGAATCCTTCTGTCTAGTTTTTATTTGAAGATATTTCCTTTCTCCCCATAGGCCTGAAAGCGCTTGAAATGTCCACTTCCAGATACTACAGAAAGAGTGTTTCAAACCTGCACTATGAAAAGGAATGTTCAATTCTGTGACTTGAATGCAAACATCAGAAAGAAGTTCCTGAGAATGATTCTCTCTAGATTTTATACGTCATCCCGTTTCCAACGAAATCCACAAAGCTATCCAATTATCCACTTTCAGATTCCACAAAAAGAGTGTTTTAAAATTGCTCTGTAACAGAAATGTTCAACTCTGGTAGTTGAATACACACATCACAAACAAGTTTCTGAGATGGCTTCTGTCTAGTTTTTATGGGAAGATATTTCCTTTTAACCATAGGCCTCAAAGAGCTCGAAATATCCACTTCCAGGTAGTGCCGAAAGAGTGTTTCAAACCTACTCTATAAAAGGGAATATTCAACTCTGTGACTTGAATGCAAACATCACAAAGCAGTTTCTGAGAATGCTTCCGTCTAGATTTTCTATGAAGATATTCCCGTTTCCAACGAAATCTTCAAAGCTATCTAAATATCAACTTGCAGATTCTACTAAAGGAATGTCTCCAAAATGCTGTATCCAAACAAAGGTTCAGCTCTGTGAATTGAGGACATACAGCACAAAGAAGTTTCTGAGAATGCTCCTGTCTGGATTTTATATGAAGATAACCCGTTTCCAACGAAATCCTCAAAGCTATCCAAATATCCACTTGCAGATTCTACCAAAAGAGTGTTTCAAAACTGCTCTGTCAAAAGGAAGGTTCAACACTGTTACTTGAGTACACACAACACAAAGAAGTTTCTGAGAATGCTTCTTTCTGGTTTTTATGAGAAGATATTTCCTTTTTCACCATAGGCCTCAAAGAGCTCGAAATGTCCGCTTCCAGGTAGGGCAGAAAGAGTGTTTCAAACCTGCTCTATGAAAGGAAGTGTTCAACTCTACTGAGTTGAATGCAAACATCACAGAGATGTTTCCGAGAATGCTTCTGTCTTGATTTTATAGGAAGATATTCCGGTTTCCAACGAAATCTTCAAAGCTATCCAAATATCCACCTGCAGATTCTACAAAAGGAGTGTTTCCAAAATGCTGTATCAAAACAAAGGTTCAACTCTGTTAGTTGAGGACACACATCACAAATAAGTTTCTGAGAATGCTTCTGTCTAGTTTTTATTTGAAGGTATTTCCTTTCTCTCCATAGGCCTGAAAGCGCTTGAAATGCCCACTTCCAGATACTAGAGAAAGAGTGTTTCAAACCTGCTCTATGAAAGGGAATGTTCAATTCTGTGACTTGAATGAAAACATCACAAAGAAGTTCCTGAGAATGCTTCTCTCTAGATATTATATGTCATCCCGTTTCCAACGAAATCCTCAAAGCTATCCAAATATCCACTTGCAGATTCTACAAAAAGAGTGTTTCAAAACTGCTCTGTCAAAAGGATGGTTCAACACTGTTACATGAGTACACACAACACAAAGAAGTTTCTGAGAATGCTTCTTTCTGGTTTTTATGAGAAGATATTTCCTTTTTCACCATAGGCCTCAAAGCGCTCGAAATGTCCACTTCCTGGTAGTGCAGAAAGAGTGTTTCAAACCTGCTCTATGAAAGGAAGTGTTCAACTCCATGAGCTGAATGCAAACATCACAGAGAAGTTTCTGAGAATGCTTCTGTTTGATTTTATATGAAGAAATTCCCGTTTCCAACGAAATCTTCAAAGCTATCCACATATCCACCTGCAGATTCTACAAAAGGAGTGTTTCCAAAATGCTGTATCAAAACCAAGGTTCCACTCTGTTAGTTGAGGACACACATCACAAATAAGTTTCTGAGAATGCTTCTGTCTAGATTCTATATGAAGATATCCCCTTTCCAACGAATCCCTCTAAGCTATCCAAATATCCACCTGCAGATTCTACAAAAAGAGTGTTTCCAAAATGCTGTATCAAAACAAAGTTTCAACTGCTGTTAGTTGAGGACACACATCACAAATAAGTTTGAGGATGCTTCTGTCTAGTTTTTATTCGAAGATATTTCCTTTCTCACCATAGGCCTGAAAGCGCTTGAAATGTCCACTTCCAGATACTACAGAATGAGTGTTTCAAACCTGCTCTATCAAAGTGAATGTTCAATTGTGTGACTTCAATGCAAACATCACAAAGAAGTTCCTGAGAATGCTTCTCTCTAGATTTTATACGTAATCCCGCTTCCAACGAAATCCTCAGAGCCATCCGAATATCCACTTTCTGATTCCACAAAAAGAGTGTTTTAAAACGGCTCTGTAAAAACAAAAGTTCAACTCTGTTAGTTGAATACACACATCACAAACAAGTTTCTGAGAATGCTTCTGTCTAGTTTTTATGGGAAGATATTTCCTTTTTCACCATAGGCCTCAAAGCGCTCGAAATGTCCGCTTCCAGATAGTGCAGAAAGAGTGTTTCAAACGTGCTCTATAAAAGGGAATATTCAACTCTGTGACTTGAATGGAAACATCACAAAGCAGTTTCTGAGAATGCTTCCGTGTAGATTTTATATGAAGATATTCCCGTTTCCAATGAAATCTTCAAATCTATCTAAATATCAACTTGCAGATTCTACTAAAGGAATGTTTCCAAAATGCTGTATCCAAGCAATGGTTCAACTCTGTTAATTGAGGACATACAGCACAAAGAAGTTTCTGAGAATGCTTCTGTCTAGATTTTATATGAAGATATCCCGTTTCCAACGAAATCCTCAAAGCTATCCAAATATCCACTTGCAGATTCTACAAAAAGATTGTTTCAAAACTGCTGTGTCAAAAGGAAGGTTCAACTCTGTTACTTGAGTACACACATCAAAAAGAAGTTTCTGAGAATGCTTGTTTCTGGTTTTAATGAGAAGATATTTCCTTTTTCACCATAGGTCTCAAAGCGCTGCAAATGCCAACTTCCAAATATTACAAAAAGAGTGTTTCAAACCTGCTCTATGAAAGGAAGTTTTCAACTCTATGAGTGGAATGCAAACATCACAGAGAAGTTTCTGAGAATGCATCTGTCTTGAGTTTATATGAAGAAATTCCCGTTTCCAACGAAATCTTAAAATCTATCCAAATATCCACCTGCAGATTCTACAAAGGGAGTGTTTCCAAAATGCTGTATCAAAACAAAGGTTCAACTGTGTTCGTTTAGGACACACATCACCAATAAGTTTCTGAAAATCCTTCTGTCTAGTTTTTATTTGAAGATATTTCCTTTCTCCCCATAGGCCTGAAAGCGCTTGAAATGTCCACTTCCAGATACTACAGAAAGAGTGTTTCAAACCTGCACTATGAAAAGGTGTGTTCAATTCTGTGACTTGAATGCAAACATCAGAAAGAAGTTCCTGAGAATGCTTCTCTCTAGATTTTATACGTCATCCCGTTTCCAACGAAATCCACGAAGCTATCCAATTATCCACTTTCAGATTCCACAAAAGAGTGTTTTAAAACTGCTCTGTAAAAAGAAATGTTCAACGCTCTTAGTTGAATACACACATCTCAAACAAGTTTCTGAGAAGGCTTCCGTCTAGTTTTTATGGGAAGATATTTCCTTTTTCACCATAGGCCTCAAAGCGCTCGAAATCTCCACTTTCAGGGATTGCAGAAAGAGTGTTTCAAACCTGCTCTGTAAAAGAATATTTAACTCTGTGACTTGAATGCAAACATCACAAAGCAGTTTCTGACAATGCTTCCGTCTAGATTTTTTATGAAGATATTCCCGTTTCCAACGAAATCTTCAAAGCTATCTAAATATCAACTTGCAGATTCTACTAAAGGAATGTTTCCAAAATGCTGTATCCAAACAAAGGTTCAACTCTGTGAATTGAGGACATACAGCACAAAGAAGTTTCTGAGAATGCTCCTGTCTGGATTTTATAGGAAGATAACCCGTTTCCAACGAAATCCTCAAAGCTATCCAAATATCCACTTGCAGATTCTACCAAAAGAGTGTTTCAAAACTACTCTGTCAAAAGGAAGGTTCAACACTGTTACTTGAGTACACACAACACAAAGAAGTTTCTGAGAATGCTTCTTTCTGGTTTTTATGAGAGAATTTCCTTTTTCACCATAGGCCTCAAAGCGCTCGAAATGTCCGCTTCCAGGTAGTGCAGAAAGAGTGTTTCAAACCTGCTCTATGAAAGGAAGTGTTCAACTCTACTGAGTTGAATGCAAACATCACAGAGATGTTTCCGAGAATGCTTCTGTCTTGATTTTATATGAAGATATTCCGGTTTCCAACGAAATCTTCAAAGCTATCCAAATATCCACCTGCAGATTCTACAAAAGGAGTGTTTCCAAAATGCTGTATCAAAACAAAGGTTCAACTCTGTTAGTTGAGGACACACATCACAAATAAGTTTCTGAGAATGCTTCTGTCTAGTTTTTATTTGAAGGTATTTCCTTTCTCTCCATAGGCCTGAAAGCGCTTGAAATGCCCACTTCCAGATACTAGAGAAAGAGTGTTTCAAACCTGCTCTATGAAAGGGAATGTTCAATTCTGTGACTTGAATGCAAACATCACAAAGAAGTTCCTGAGAATGCTCAGTCTAGATTTAATATGAAGATAACCCGTTTCCAACGAAATCCTCAAAGCTATCCAAATATCCACTTGCAGATTCTACAAAAAGAGTGTTTCAAAACTGCTCTGTCAAAAGGATGGTTCAACACTGTTACATGAGTACACACAACACAAAGAAGTTTCTGAGAACGCTCTCTTTCTGGTTTTTATGAGCAGGATATTTCCTTTTTCACCATAGGCCTCAAAGCGCTCGAAATGTCCACTTCCAGGTAGTGCAGAAAGAGTGTTTCAAACCTGCTCTATGAAAGGAAGTGTTCAACTCCATGAGCTGAATGCAAACATCACAGAGAAGTTCCTGAGAATGCTTCTGTTTGATTTTATATGAAGAAATTCCCGATTCCAACGAAATCTTCAAAGCTATCCACATATCCACCTGCAGATTCTACAAAAGGAGTGTTTCCAAAATGCTGTATCAAAACCAAGGTTCAACTCTGTTAGTTGAGGGCACACATCACAAATAAGTTTCTGAGAATGCTTCTGTCTAGATTTTATATGAAGATATCCCCTTTCCAACGAATCCCTCTAAGCTATCCAAATAGCCACCTGCAGATTCTACAAAAGGAGTGTTTCCAAAAGGCTGTATCAAAACAAAGTTTCAACTCTGTTAGTTGAGGACACACATCACAAATAAGTTTCTGAGGATGCTTCTGTCTAGTTTTTATTTGAAGATATCTCCTTTCTCACCATAGGCCTGAAAGCGCTTGAAATGTCCACTTCCAGATACTACAGAATGAGTGTTTCAACCCTGCTCTATAAAAGTGAATGTTCAATTCTGTGACTTCAATGCAAACATCACAAAGAAGTTCCTGAGAATGCTTCTCTCTAGATTTTATATGTAATCCCGCTTCCAACGAAATCCTCAATGCCATCCGAATATCCACTTTCTGATTCCACAAAAAGAGTGTTTTAAAACGGCTCTGTAAAAACAAAAGTTCAACTCTGTTAGTTGAATACACCCATCACAAACAAGTTTCTGAGAATGCTTCTGTCTAGTTTTTATGGGAAGATATTTCCTTTTTCACCATAGGCCTCAAAGCGCTCGAAATGTCCACTTCCAGATAGTGCAGAAAGAGTGTTTCAAACGTGCTCTATAAAAGAGAATATTCAACTCCGTGACTTGAATGGGAACGTCACAAAGCAGTTTCTGAGAATGCTTCCGTCTAGATTTTATATGAAGATATTCCCGTTTCCAACGAATTCTTCAAATCTATCTAAATATCAACTTGCAGATTCTACTAAAGGAATGTTTCCAAAATGCTGTATCCAAGCAATGGTTCAACTCTGTTAATTGAGGACATACAGCACAAAGAAGTTTCTGAGAATGCTTCTGTCTAGATTTTATATGAAGATATCCCGTTTCCAACGAAATCCTCAAAGCTATCCAAATATCCACTTGCAGATTCTACAGAAAGATTGTTTCAAAACTGCTGTGTCAAAAGGAAGGTTCAACTCTGTTACTTGAGTACACACATCAAAAAGCAGTTTCTGAGAATGCTTGTTTCTGGTTTTTATGAGAAGATATTTCCTTTTTCACCATAGGCCTCAAAGCGCTGCAAATGTCCACTTCCAAATATTACAAAAAGAGTGTTTCAAACCTGCTCTATGAAAGGAAGTTTTCAACTCTATGAGTGGAATGCAAACATCACAGAGAAGTTTCTGAGAATGCATCTGTCTTGAGTTTATATGAAGAAATTCCCGTTTCCAATGAAATCTTAAAATCTATCCAAATATCCACCTGCAGATTCTACAAAAGGAGTGTTTCCAAAATGCTGTATCAAAACAAAGGTTCAACTGTGTTCGTTTAGGACACACATCACAAATAAGTTTCTGAGAATCCTTCTCTCTAGTTTTTATTTGAAGATATTTCCTTTCTCCCTGTAGGCCTGAAAGCGCTTGAAATGTCCACTTCCAGATACTACAGAAAGAGTGTTTCAAACCTGCACTCTGAAAAGGAATGTTCAATTCTGTGACTTGAATGCAAACATCAGAAAGAAGTTCCTGAGAATGCTTCTCTCTAGATTTTAAACGTAATCCCGTTTCCAACGAAATCCACAAAGCTATCCAATTATCCACTTTCAGATTCCACCAAAAGAGTGTTTTAAAACTGCTCTGTAAAAAGAAATGTTCAACGCTCTTAGTTGAATACACACATCTCAAACAAGTTTCTGAGAAGGCTTCCGTCTAGTTTTTACGGGAAGATATTTCCTTTTTCACCATAGGCCTCAAAGCGCTCGAAATCTCCACTTCCAGGGAGTGCAGAAAGAGTGTTTCAAACCTGCTCTATAAAAGAATATTTAACTCTGTGACTTGAATGCAAACATCACAGAGCAGTTTCTGACAATGCTTCCGTCTAGATTTTTTATGAAGATATTCCCGTTTCCAACGAAATCTTCAAAGCTATCTCAATATCAACTTGCAGATTCTACTAAAGGAATGTTTCCAAAATGCTGTATCCAAACAAAGGTTCAACTCTGTGAATTGAGGACATACAGCACAAAGAAGTTTCTGAGAATGCTTCTGTCTAGATTTAATATGAAGATAACCCGTTTCCAACGAAATCCTCAAAGCTATCCAAATATCCACTTGCAGATTCTACAAAAAGAGTGTTTCAAAACTGCTCTGTCAAAAGGATGGTTCAACACTGTTACATGAGTACACACAACACAAAGAAGTTTCTGAGAACGCTTCTTTCTGGTTTTTATGAGAAGGATATTTCCTTTTTCACCATAGGCCTCAAAGCGCTCGAAATGTCCACTTCCTGGTAGTGCAGAAAGAGTGTTTCAAAGCTGCTCTATGAAAGGAAGTGTTCAACTCCATGAGCTGAATGCAAACATCACAGAGAAGTTTCTGAGAATGCTTCTGTTTGATTTTGTACGAAGAAATTCCCGTTTCCAACGAAATCTTCAAAGCTATCCACATATCCACCTGCAGATTCTACAAAAGGAGTGTTTCCAAAATGCTGTATCAAAACCAAGGTTCAACTCTGTTAGTTGAGGACACACATCACAAATAAGTTTCTGAGAATGCTTCTGTCTAGATTTTATATGAAGATATCCCCTTTCCAACGAATCCCTCTAAGCTATCAAAATATCCACCTGCAGATTCTACAAAAAGAGTGTTTCCAAAATGCTGTATCAAAACAAAGTTTCAACTCTGTTAGTTGAGGACACACATCACAAATAAGTTTCTGAGGATGCTTCTGTCTAGTTTTTATTCGAAGATATTTCCTTTCTCACCATAGGCCTGAAAGCGCTTGAAATGTCCACTTCCAGATACTACAGAATGAGTGTTTCAAACCTGCTCTATCAAAGTGAATGTTCCATTCTGTGACTTCAATGCAAACATCACAAAGAAGTTCCTGAGAATGCTTCTCTCTAGATTTTATATGTAATCCCGCTTCCAACGAAATCCTCAGAGCCATCCGAATATCCACTTTCTGATTCCACAAAAAGAGTGTTTTAAAACGGCTCTGTAAAAACAAAAGTTCAACTCTGTTAGTTGAATACACACATCACAAACAAGTTTCTGAGAATGCTTCTGTCTAGTTTTTATGGGAAGATATTTCCTTTTTCACCATAGGCCTCAAAGCGCTCGAAATGTCCGCTTCCAGATAGTGCAGAAAGAGTGTTTCAAACGTGCTCTATAAAAGGGAATATTCAACTCTGTGACTTGAATGGAAACATCACAAAGCAGTTTCTGAGAATGCTTCCCTCTAGATTTTATATGGAGATATTCCCTTTTCCAACGAAATCTTCAAATCTATCTAAATATCAACTTGCAGATTCTACTCAAGGAATGTTTCCAAAATGCTGTATCCAAGCAATGGTTCAACTCTGTTAATTGAGGACATACAGCACAAAGAAGTTTCTGAGAATGCTTCTGTCTAGATTTTATATGAAGATATCCCGTTTCCAACGAAATCATCAAAGCTATCCAAATGTCCACTTGCAGATTCTACAAAAAGATTGTTTCAAAACTGCTGTGTCAAAAGGAAGGTTCAACTCTGATATTTGAGTACACACATCAAAAAGAAGTTTCTGAGAATGCTTGTTTCTGGTTTTTATGAGAAGATATTTCCTTTTTCACCATAGGCCTCAAAGCGCTGCAAATGTCCACTTCCAAATATTACAAAAAGAGTGTTTCAAACCTGCTCTATGAAAGGAAGTTTTCAACTCTATGAGTGGAATGCAAACATCACAGAGAAGTTTCTGAGAATGCATCTGTCTTGAGTTTCTATGAAGAAATTCCCGTTTCCAACGAAATCTTAAAATCTATCCAAATATCCACCTGCAGATTCTACAAAAGGAGTGTTTCCAAAATGCTGTATCAAAACAAAGGTTCAACTGTGTTCGTTTAGGACACACATCACAAATAAGTTTCTGAGAAGCCTTCTGTCTAGTTTTTATTTGAAGATATTTCCTTCCTCCCCAGAGGCCTGAAAGCGCTTGAAATGTCCCCTTCCAGATACTACAGAAAGAGTGTTTCAAACCTGCACTATGAAAAGGAATGTTCAATTCTGTGACTTGAATGCAAACATCAGAAAGAAGTTCCTGAGAATGCTTCTCTCTAGATTTTATACGTCATCCCGTTTCCAACGAAATCCACAAAGCTATCCAATTATCCACTTTCAGATTTCACAGAAAGAGTGTTTTAAAATTGCTCTGTAACAGAAATGTTCAACTCTGTTAGTTGAATACACACATCACAAACAAGTTTCTGAGACGGCTTCTGTCTAGTTTTTATGGGAAGATATTTCCTTTTAAGCATAGGCCTCAAAGAGCTCGAAATATCCACTTCCAGGTAGTGCCGAAAGAGTGTTTCAAACCTACTCTATAAAAGGGAATATTCAACTCTGTGACTTGAATGCAAACATCACAAAGCAGTTTATGAGAATGCTTCCGTCTAGATTTTCTATGAAGATATTCCCGTTTCCAATGAAATCTTCAAAGCTATCTAAATATCAACTTGCAGATTCTACTAAAGGAATGTTTCCAAAATGCTGTATCCAAACATAGGTTCAGCTCTGTGAATTGAGGACATACAGCACAAAGAAGTTTCTGTGAATGCTCCTGTCTGGATTTTATATGAAGATAACCCGTTTCCAACGAAATCCTCAAAGCTATCCAAATATCCACTTGCAGATTCTACCAAAAGAGTGTTTCAAAACTGCTCTGTCAAAAGGAAGGTTCAACACTGTTACTTGAGTACACACAACACAAAGAAGTTTCTGAGAATGCTTCTTTCTGGTTTTTATGAGAAGATATTTCCTTTTTCACCATAGGCCTCAAAGCGCTCGAAATGTCCACTTCCAGGTAGTGCAGAAAGAGTGTTTCAAACCTGCTCTATGAAAGGAAGTGTTCAACTCTACTGAGTTGAATGCAAACATCACAGAGATGTTTCCGAGAATGCTTCTGTCTTGATTTTATATGAAGATATTCCGGTTTCCAACGAAATCTTCAAAGCTATCCAAATATCCACCTGCAGATTCTACAAAAGGAGTGTTTCCAAAATGCTGTATCAAAACAAAGGTTCAACTCTGTTAGTTGAGGACACACATCACAAATAAGTTTCTGAGAATGCTTCTGTCTAGTTTTTATTTGAAGGTATTTCCTTTCTCTCCATAGGCCTGAAAGCGCTTGAAATGCCCACTTCCAGATACTAGAGAAAGAGTGTTTCAAACCTGCTCTATGAAAGGGAATGTTCAATTCTGTGACTTGAATGCAAACATCACAAAAAGTTCCTGAGAATGCTTCTCTCTAGATATTATATGTCATCCCGTTTCCAACGAAATCCTCAAAGCTATCCAAATATCCACTTGCAGATTCTACAAAAAGAGTGTTTCAAAACTCCTCTGTCAAAAGGATGGTTCAACACTGTTACATGAGTACACACAACACAAAGAAGTTTCTGAGAATGCTTCTTTCTGGTTTCTATGAGAAGATATTTCCTTTTTCACCATAGGACTCAAAGCGCTCGAAATGTCCTCTTCCAGGTAGTGCAGAAAGAGTGTTTCAAACCTGCTCTATGAAAGGAAGTGTACAACTCCATGAGCTGAATGCAAACATCACTGAGAAGTTTCTGAGAATGCTTCTGTTTGATTTTATATGAAGAAATTCCCGTTTCCAACGAAATCTTCAAAGCTATCCACATATCCACCTGCAGATTCTTCAAAAGGAGTGTTTCCAAAATGCTGTATCAAAACCAAGGTTCAACTCTGTTAGTTGAGGACACACATCACAAATAAGTTTCTTAGAATGCTTCTGTCTAGATTTTATATGAAGATATCCCCTTTCCAACGAATCCCTCTAAGCTATCCAAATATCCACCTGCAGATTCTACAAAAAGAGTGTTTCCAAAATGCTGTATCAAAACAAAGTTTAAACTCTGTTATTTGAGGACACACATCATAAATAAGTTTCTGAGGTTGCTTCTGTCTAGTTTTCATTTGAAGACATTTCCTTTCTCACCATAGGCCTGAAAGCGCTTGAAATGTCCACTTCCAGATACTACAGAATGAGTGTTTCATACCTGCTCTATCAAAGTGAATGTTCAATTCTGTGACTTCAATGCAAACATCACAAAGTAGTTCCTGAGAATGCTTCTCTCTAGATTTTATATGTAATCCCGCTTCCAACGAAATCCTCAAAGCCATCCGAATATCCACTTTCTGATTCCACAAAAAGATTGTTTTAAAACTGCTCTGTAAAAACAAAAGTTCAAGTCTGTTAGTTGTATACACACATCACAAACAAGTTTCTGAGAATGCTTCTGTCTAGTTTTTATGGGAAGATACTTCCTTTTTCACCATAGGCCTCAAAGCGCTCGAAATGTCCACTTCCAGATAGTGCAGAAAGAGTGTTTCAAACGTGCTCTATAAAAGAGAATATTCAACTCTGTGACTTGAATGGAAACATCACAAAGCAGTTTCTGAGAATGCCTCCGTCTAGATTTTATATGAAGATATTCCCGTTTCCAACGAAATCTTCAAATCTATCTAAATATCTACTTGCAGATTCTACTAAAGGAATGTTTCCAAAATGCTGTATCCAAGCAATGGTTCAACTCTGTTAATTGAGGACATACAGCACAAAGAAGTTTCTGAGAATGCTTCTGTCTAGATTTTATATGAAGATATCCCGTTTCCAACGAAATCCTCAAAGCTATCCAAATATCCACTTGCAGATTCTACAAAAAGATTGTTTCAAAACTGCTGTGTCAAAAGGAAGGTTCAACTCTGTTACTTGAGTACACACATCAAAAAGCAGTTTCTGAGAATGCTTGTTTCTGGTTTTTATGAGAAGATATTTCCTTTTTCACCATAGGCCTCAAAGCGCTGCAAATGTCCACTTCCAAATATTACAAAAAGAGTGTTTCAAACCTGCTCTATGAAAGGAAGTTTTCAACTCTATGAGTGGAATGCAAACATCACAGAGAAGTTTCTGAGAATGCATCTGTCTTGAGTTTATATGAAGAAATTCCCGATTCCAACGAAATCTTAAAATCTATCCAAATATCCACCTGCAGATTGTACAAAGGGAGTGTTTCCAAAACGCTGTATCAAAACAAAGGTTCAACTGTGTTCGTTTAGGACACACATCACCAAAAAGTTTCTGAGAATCCTTCTGTCTAGTTTTTATTTGAAGATATTTCCTTTCTCCCCACAGGCCTGAAAGCGCTTGAAATGTCCACTTCCAGATACTACAGAAAGAGTGTTTCAAACCTGCACTATGAAAAGGAATGTTCAATTCTGTGACTTGAATGCAAACATCAGAAAGAAGTTCCTGAGAATGCTTCTCTCTAGATTTTATACGTCATCCCGTTTCTAACGAAATCCACAAAGCTACCCAAATATCCACTTTCAGATTCCACAAAAAGAGTGTTTTAAAATTGCTCTGTAACAGAAATGTTCAACTCTGTTAGTTGAATACACACATCACAAACAAGTTTCTGAGACGGCTTCTGTCTAGTTTTTATGGGAAGATATTTCCTTTTAACCATAGGCCTCAAAGAGCTCGAAATATCCATTTCCAGGTAGTGCCGAAAGAGTGTTTCAAACCTACTCTATAAAAGGGAATATTCAACTCTGTGACTTGAATGCAAACATCACAAAGCAGTTTCTGAGAATGCTTCCGTCTAGATTTTCTATGAAGATATTCCCGTTTCCAACGAAATCTTCAAAGCTATCTAAATATCAACTTGCAGATTCTACTAAAGGAATGTCTCCAAAATGCTGTATCCAAACAAAGGTTCAGCTCTGTGAATTGAGGACATACAGCACAAAGAAGTTTCTGAGAATGCTCCTGTCTGGATTTTATAGGAAGATAACCCGTTTCCAACGAAATCCTCAAAGCTATCCAAATATCCACTTGCAGATTCTACCAAAAGAGTGTTTCAAAACTACTCTGTCAAAAGGAAGGTTCAACACTGTTACTTGAGTACACACAACACAAAGAAGTTTCTGAGAATGCTTCTTTCTGGTTTTTATGAGAAGATATTTCCTTTTTCACCATAGGCCTCAAAGCGCTCGAAATGTCCGCTTCCAGGTAGGGCAGAAAGAGTGTTTCAAACCTGCTCTATGAAAGGAAGTGTTCAACTCTACTGAGTTGAATGCAAACATCACAGAGATGTTTCCGAGAATGCTTCTGTCTTGATTTTATATGAAGATATTCCGGTTTCCAACGAAATCTTCAAAGCTATCCACATATCCACCTGCAGATTCTACAAAAGGAGTGTTTCCAAAATGCTGTATCAAAACAAAGGTTCAACTCTGTTAGTTGAGGACACACATCACAAATAAGTTTCTGAGAATGCTTCTGTCTAGTTTTTATTTGAAGGTATTTCCTTTCTCTCCATAGGCCTGAAAGCGCTTGAAATGCCCACTTCCAGATACTAGAGAAAGAGTGTTTCAAACCTGCTCTATGAAAGGGAATGTTCAATTCTGTGACTTGAATGCAAACATCACAAAGAAGTTCCTGAGAATGCTTCTGTCTAGATTTAATATGAAGATAACCCGTTTCCAACGAAATCCTCAAAGCTATCCAAATATCCACTGGTAGATTCTACAAAAAGAGTGTTTCAAAACTGCTCTGTCAAAAGGATGGTTCAACACTGTTACATGAGTACACACAACACAAAGAAGTTTCTGAGAACGCTTCCTTCTGGTTTTTATGAGAAGATATTTCCTTTTTCACCATAGGCCTCAAAGCGCTCGAAATGTCCACTTCCAAGTAGTGCAGAAAGAGTGTTTCAAACCTGCTCTATGAAAGGAAGTGTTCAACTCCATGAGCTGAATGCAAACATCACAGAGAAGTTTCTGAGAATGCTTCTGTTTGATTTTATATGAAGAAATTCCCGATTCCAACGAAATCTTCAAAGCTATCCACATATCCACCTGCAGATTCTACAAAAGGAGTGTTTCCAAAATGCTGTATCAAAACCAAGGTTCAACTCTGTTAGTTGAGGGCACACATCACAAATAAGTTTCTGAGAATGCTTCTGTCTAGATTTTATATGAAGATATCCCCTTTCCAACGAATCCCTCTAAGCTATCCAAATAGCCACCTGCAGATTCTACAAAAGGAGTGTTTCCAAAAGGCTGTATCAAAACAAAGTTTCAACTCTGTTAGTTGAGGACACACATCACAAATAAGTTTCTGAGGATGCTTCTGTCTAGTTTTTATTCGAAGATATTTCCTTTCTCACCATAGGCCTGAAAGCGCTTGAAATGTCCACTTCCAGATACTACAGAATGAGTGTTTCAAACCTGCTCTATCAAAGTGAATGTTCAATTCTGTGACTTCAATGCAAACATCACAAAGAAGTTCCTGAGAATGCTTCTCTCTAGATTTTATATGTAATCCCGCTTCCAACGAAATCCTCAGAGCCATCCGACTATCTACTTTCTGATTCCACAAAAAGAGTGTTTTAAAACTGCTCTGTAAAAACAAAAGTTCAACTCTGTTAGTTGAATACACACATCACAAACAAGTTTCTGAGAATGCTTCTGTCTAGTTTTTATGGGAAGATATTTCCTTTTTCACCATAGGCCTCAAAGCGCTCGAAATGTCCACTTCCAGATAGTGCAGAAAGAGTGTTTCAAACGTGCTCTATAAAAGAGAATATTCAACTCCGTGACTTGAATGGAAACGTCACAAAGCAGTTTCTGAGAATGCTTCCGTCTAGATTTTATATGAAGATATTCCCGTTTCCAACGAAATCTTCAAAACTATCTACATATCAACTTGCAGATTCTACTCAAGGAATGTTTCCAAAATGCTGTATCCAAGCCATGGTTCAACTCTGTTAATTGAGGACATACAGCACAAAGAAGTTTCTGAGAATGCTTCTGTCTAGATTTTATATGAAGATATCCCGTTTCCAATGAAATCCTCAAAGCTATCCAAATATCCACTTGCAGATTCCACAAAAAGATTGTTTCAAAACTGCTGTGTCAAAAGGAAGGTTCAACTCTGTTACTTGAGTACACACATCAAAAAGAAGTTTCTGAGAATGCTTGTTTCTGGTTTTTATGAGAAGATATTTCCTTTTTCACCATAGGCCTCAAAGCGCTGCAAATGTCCACTTCCAAATATTACAGAAAGAGTGTTTCAAACCTGCTCTATGAAAGGAAGTTTTCAACTCTATGAGTGGAATGCAAACATCACAGAGAAGTTTCTGAGAATGCATCTGTCTTGAGCTTCTATGAAGAAATTCCCGTTTCCAACGAAATCTTAAAATCTATCCAAATATCCACCTGCAGATCCTACAAAAGGAGTGTTTCCAAAATGCTGTATCAAAACAAAGGTTCAACTGTGTTCGTTTAGGGCACACATCACAAATAAGTTTCTGAGAATCCTTCTGTCTAGTTTTTATTTGAAGATATTTCCTTTCTCCCCGTAGGCCTGAAAGCGCTTGAAATGTCCACTTCCAGATACTACAGAAAGAGTGTTTCAAACCTGCACTCTGAAAAGGAATGTTCAATTCTGTGACTTGAATGCAAACATCAGAAAGAAGTTCCTGAGAATGCTTCTCTCTAGATTTTATACGTCATCCCGTTTCCAACGAAATCCACAAAGCTATCCAATTATCCACTTTCAGATTCCACAAAAGAGTGTTTTAAAACTGCTCTGTAAAAAGAAATGTTCAACGCTCTTAGTTGAATACACACATCTCAAACAAGTTTCTGAGAAGGCTTCCGTCTAGTTTTTATGGGAAGATATTTCCTTTTTCACCATAGGCCTCAAAGTGCTCGAAATCTCCACTTCCAGGGAGTGCAGAAAGAGTGTTTCAAACCTGCTCTGTAAAAGAATATTTAACTCTGTGACTTGAATGCAAACATCACAAAGCAGTTTCTGACAATGCTTCCGTCTAGATTTTTTATGAAGATATTCCCGTTTCCAACGAAATCTTCAAAGCTATCTAAATATCAACTTGCAGATTCTACTAAAGGAATGTTTCCAAAATGCTGTATCCAAACAAAGGTTCAACTCTGTGAATTGAGGACATACAGCACAAAGAAGTTTCTGAGAATGCTTCTGTCTAGATTTAATATGAAGATAACCCGTTTCCAACGAAATCCTCAAGGCTATCCAAATATCCACTTGCAGATTCTACAAAAAGAGTGTTTCAAAACTGCTCTGTCAAAAGGATGGTTCAACACTGTTACATGAGTACACACAACACAAAGAAGTTTCTGAGAACGCTTCTTTCTGGTTTTTATGAGAAGATATTTCCTTTTTCACCATAGGCCTCAAAGCGCTCGAAATGTCCACTTCCAGGTAGTGCAGAAAGAGTGTTTCAAAGCTGCTCTCTGAAAGGAAGTGTTCAACTCCATGAGCTGAATGGATACATCACAGAGAAGTTTCTGAGAATGCTTCAGTTTGATTTTATATGAAGAAATTCCCGTTTCCAACGAAATCTTCAAAGCTATCCACATATCCACCTGCAGATTCTACAAAAGGAGTGTTTCCAAAATGCTGTATCAAAACCAAGGTTCAACTCTGTTAGTTGAGGACACACATCACAAATAAGATTCTGAGAATGCTTCTGTCTAGATTTTATATGAAGATATCCCCTTTCCAACGAATCCCTCTAAGCTATCCAAATATCCACCTGCAGATTCTACAAAAAGAGTGTTTCCAAAATGCTGTATCAAAACAAAGTTTCAACTCTGTTAGTTGAGGACACACATCACAAATAAGTTTCTGAGGATGCTTCTGTCTAGTTTTTATTCGAAGATATTTCCTTTCTCACCATAGGCCTGAAAGCACTTGAAATGTCCACTTCCAGATACTACAGAATGAGTGTTTCAAACCTGCTCTATCAAAGTGAATGTTCAATTCTGTGACTTCAATGCAAACATCACAAAGAAGTTCCTGAGAATGCTTCTCCCTAGATTTTATATGTAATCCCGCTTCCAACGAAATCCTCAGAGCCATCCGAATATCCACTTTCTGATTCCACAAAAAGAGTGTTTTAAAACGGCTCTGTAAAAACAAAAGTTCAACTCTGTTAGTTGAATACACACATCACAAACAAGGTTCTGAGACGGCTTCTGTCTAGTTTTTATGGGAAGATATTTCCTTTTTCACCATAGGCCTCAAAGCGCTCGAAATGTCCACTTCCAGATAGTGCAGAAAGAGTGTTTCAAACCTGCTCTATGAAAGGAAGTGTTCAACTCTACTGAGTTGAATGCAAACATCACAGAGATGTTTCCGAGAATGCTTCTGTCTTGATTTTATATGAAGATATTCCGGTTTCCAACGAAATCTTCAAAGCTATCCACATATCCACCTGCAGATTCTACAAAAGGAGTGTTTCCAAAATGCTGTATCAAAACAAAGGTTCAACTCTGTTAGTTGAGGACACACATCACAAATAAGTTTCTGAGAATGCTTCTGTCTAATTTTTATTTGAAGGTATTTCCTTTCTCTCCATAGGCCTGAAAGCGCTTGAAATGCCCACTTCCAGATACTAGAGAAAGAGTGTTTCAAACCTGCTCTATGAAAGGGAATGTTCAATTCTGTGACTTGAATGCAAACATCACAAAGAAGTTCCTGAGAATGCTTCTCTCTAGATATTATATGTCATCCCGTTTCCAACGAAATCCTCAAAGCTATCCAAATATCCACTTGCAGATTCTACAAAAAGAGTGTTTCAAAACTGCTCTGTCAAAAGGATGGTTCAACACTGTTACATGAGTACACACAACACAAAGAAGTTTCTGAGAATGCTTCTTTCTGGTTTCTATGAGAAGATATTTCCTTTTTCACCATAGGACTCAAAGCGCTCGAAATGTCCTCTTCCAGGTAGTGCAGAAAGAGTGTTTCAAACTGGCTCTATGAAGGGAAGTGTTCAACTCCATGAACTGAATGCAAACATCACTGAGAAGTTTCTGAGAATGCTTCTGTTTGATTTTATATGAAGAAATTCCCGTTTCCAACGAAATCTTCAAAGCTATCCACATATCCACCTGCAGATTCCACAAAAGGAGTGTTTCCGAAATGCTGTATCAAAACCAAGGTTCAACTCTGTTAGTTGAGGACACACATCACAAATAAGTTTCTGAGAATGCTTCTGTCTAGATTTTATATGAAGATATCCCCTTTCCAACGAATCCCTCTAAGCTATCAAAATATCCACCTGCAGATTCTACAAAAAGAGTGTTTCCAAAATGCTGTATCAAAACAAAGTTTTAACTCTGTTAGTTGAGGACACACATCACAAATAAGTTTCTGAGGATGCTTCTGTCTAGTTTTTATTCGAAGATATTTCCTTTCCCACCATAGGCCTGAAAGCGCTTGAAATGTCCACTTCCAGATACTACAGAATGAGTGTTTCAAACCTGCTCTATCAAAGTGAATGTTCAATTCTGTGACTTCAATGCAAACATCACAAAGAAGTTCCTGAGAATGCTTCTCTCTAGATTTTATATGTAATCCCGCTTCCAACGAAATCCTCAGAGCCATCCGAATATCCACTTTCTGATTCCACAAAAAGGGTGTTTTAAAACGGCTCTGTAAAAACAAAAGTTCAACTCTGTTAGTTGAATACACACATCACAAACAAGTTTCTGAGAATGCTTCTGTCTAGTTTTTATGGGAAGATATTTCCTTTTTCACCATAGGCCTCAAAGCGCTCGAAATGTCCGCTTCCAGATAGTGCAGAAAGAGTGTTTCAAACGTGCTCTATAAAAGGGAATATTCAACTCTGTGACTTGAATGGAAACATCACAAAGCAGTTTCTGAGAATGCTTCCCTCTAGATTTTATATGGAGATATTCCTGTTTTCGAACGAAATCTTCAAATCTATCTAAATATCAACTTGCAGATTCTACTCAAGGAATGTTTCCAAAATGCTGTATGCAAGCAATGGTTCAACTCTGTTAATTGAGGTCATACAGCACAAAGAAGTTTCTGAGAATGCTTCTGTCTAGATTTTATATGAAGATATCCCGTTTCCAACGAAATCCTCAAAGCTATCCAAATATCCACTTGCAGATTCTACAAAAAGATTGTTTCAAAACTGCTGTGTCAAAAGGAAGGTTCAACTCTGTTACTTGAGTACACACATCAAAAAGAAGTTTCTGAGAATGCTTGTTTCTGGTTTTTATGAGAAGATATTTCCTTTTTCACCATAGGCCTCAAAGCGCTGCAAATGTCCACTTCCAAATATTACAAAAAGAGTGTTTCAAACCTGCTCTATGAAAGGAAGTTTTCAACTCTATGAGTGGAATGCAAACATCACAGAGAAGTTTCTGAGAATGCATCTGTCTTGAGCTTCTATGAAGAAATTCCCGTTTCCAACGAAATCTTAAAATCTATCCAAATATCCACCTGCAGATCCTACAAAAGGAGTGTTTCCAAAATGCTGTATCAAAACAAAGGTTCAACTGTGTTCGTTTAGGACACACATCACAAATAAGTTTCTGAGAATCCTTCTGTCTAGTTTTTATTTGAAGATATTTCCTTTCTCCCCGTAGGCCTGAAAGCGCTTGAAATGTCCACTTCCAGATACTACAGAAAGAGTGTTTCAAACCTGCACTCTGAAAAGGAATGTTCAATTCTGTGACTTGAATGCAAACATCAGAAAGAAGTTCCTGAGAATGCTTCTCTCTAGATTTTATACGTCATCCCGTTTCCAACGAAATCCACAAAGCTATCCAATTATCCACTTTCAGATTCCACAAAGAGTGTTTTAAAATTGCTCTGTAACAGAAATGTTCAACTCTGTTAGTTGAATACACACATCACAAACAAGTTTCTGAGACGGCTTCTGTCTAGTTTTTATGGGAAGATATTTCCTTTTAACCATAGGCCTCAAAGAGCTCGAAATATCCACTTCCAGGTAGTGCCGAAAGAGTGTTTCAAACCTACTCTATAAAAGGGAATATTCAACTCTGTGACTTGAATGCAAACATCACAAAGCAGTTTCTGAGAATGCTTCCGTCTAGATTTTCTATGAAGATATTCCCGTTTCCAACGAAATCTTCAAAGCTATCTAAATATCAACTTGCAGATTCTACTAAAGGAATGTCTCCAAAATGCTGTATCCAAACAAAGGTTCAGCTCTGTGAATTGAGGACATACAGCACAAAGAAGTTTCTGAGAATGCTCCTGTCTGGATTTTATATGAAGATAACCCGTTTCCAACGAAATCCTCAAAGCTCTCCAAATATCCACTTGCAGATTCTACCAAAAGAGTGTTTCAAAACTGCTCTGTCAAAAGGAAGGTTCAACACTGTTACTTGAGTACACACAACACAAAGAAGTTTCTGAGAATGCTTCTTTCTGGTTTTTATGAGAAGATATTTCCTTTTTCACCATAGGCCTCAAAGCGCTCGAAATGTCCGCTTCCAGGTAGTGCAGAAAGAGTGTTTCAAACCTGCTCTATGAAAGGAAGTGTTCAACTCTACTGAGTTGAATGCAAACATCACAGAGATGTTTCCGAGAATGCTTCTGTCTTGATTTTATATGAAGATATTCCGGTTTCCAACGAAATCTTCAAAGCTATCCAAATATCCACCTGCAGATTCTACAAAAGGAGTGTTTCCAAAATGCTGTATGAAAACAAAGGTTCAACTCTGTTAGTTGAGGACACACATCACAAATAAGTTTCTGAGAATGCTTCTGTCTAGTTTTTATTTGAAGGTATTTCCTTTCTCTCCATAGGCCTGAAAGCGCTTGAAATGCCCACTTCCAGATACTAGAGAAAGAGTGTTTCAAACCTGCTCTATGAAAGGGAATGTTCAATTCTGTGACTTGAATGCAAACATCACAAAGAAGTTCCTGAGAATGCTTCTCTCTAGATATTATATGTCATCCCGTTTCCAACGAAATCCTCAAAGCTATCCAAATATCCACTTGCAGATTCTACAAAAAGAGTGTTTCAAAACTCCTCTGTCAAAAGGATGGTTCAACACTGTTACATGAGTACACACAACACAAAGAAGTTTCTGAGAATGCTTCTTTCTGGTTTCTATGAGAAGATATTTCCTTTTTCACCATAGGCCTCAAAGCGCTCGAAATGTCCTCTTCCAGGTAGTGCAGAAAGAGTGTTTCAAACCTGCTCTATGAAAGGAAGTGTACAACTCCATGAGCTGAATGCAAACATCACTGAGAAGTTTCTGAGAATGCTTCTGTTTGATTTTATATGAAGAAATTCCCGTTTCCAACGAAATCTTCAGAGCTATCCACATATCCACCTGCAGATTCTACAAAAGGAGTGTTTCCAAAATGCTGTATCAAAACCAAGGTTCAACTCTGTTAGTTGAGGACACACATCACAAATAAGTTTCTGAGAATGCTTCTGTCTAGATTTTATATGAAGATATCCCCTTTCCAACGAATCCCTCTAAGCTATCCAAATATCCACCTGCAGATTCTACAAAAAGAGTGTTTCCAAAATGCTGTATCAAAACAAAGTTTCAACTCTGTTAGTTGAGGACACACATCACAAATAAGTTTGAGGATGCTTTCTGTCTAGTTTTTATTTGAAGATATTTCCTTTCTCACCATAGGCCTGAAAGCGCTTGAAATGTCCACTTCCACATACTACAGAATGAGTGTTTCAAACCTGCTCTATCAAAGTGAATGTTCAATTCTGTGACTTCAATGCAAACATCACAAAGAAGTTCCTGAGAATGCTTCTCTCTAGATTTTATATGTAATCCCGCTTCCAACGAAATCCTCAAAGCCATCCGAATATCCACTTTCTGATTCCACAAAAAGATTGTTTTAAAACTGCTCTGTAAAAACAAAAGTTCAAGTCTGTTAGTTGAATACACACATCACAAACAAGTTTCTGAGAATGCTTCTGTCTAGTTTTTATGGGAAGATATTTCCTTTTTCACCATAGGCCTCAAAGCGCTCGAAATGTCCACTTCCAGATAGTGCCGAAAGAGTGTTTCAAACGTGCTCTATAAAAGGGAATATTCAACTCTGTGACTTGAATGGAAACATCACAAAGCAGTTTCTGAGAATGCCTCCCTCTATATTTTATATGGAGATATTCCCTTTTCCAACGAAATCTTCAAATCTATCTAAATATCAACTTGCAGATTCTACTCAAGGAATGTTTCCAAAATGCTGTATCCAGGCAATGGTTCAACTCTGTTAATTGAGGACATACAGCACAAAGAAGTTTCTGAGAATGCTTCTGTCTAGATTTTATATGAAGATATCCCGTTTCCAACGAAATCCTCAAAGCTATCCAAATATCCACTTGCAGATTCTACAAAAAGATTGTTTCAAAACTGCTGTGTCAAAAGGAAGGTTCAACTCTGTTACTTGAGTACACACATCAAAAAGAAGTTTCTGAGAATGCTTGTTTCTGGTTTTTATGAGAAGATATTTCCTTTTTCACCATAGGCCTCAAAGCGCTGCAAATGTCCACTTCCAAATATTACAAAAAGAGTGTTTCAAACCTGCTCTATGAAAGGAAGTTTTCAACTCTATGAGTGGAATGCAAACATCACAGAGAAGTTTCTGAGAATGCATCGGTCTTGAGTTTATATGAAGAAATTCCCGTTTCCAACGAAATCTTAAAATCTATCCAAATATCCACCTGCAGATCCTACAAAAGGAGTGTTTCCAAAATGCTGTATCAAAACAAAGGTTCAACTGTGTTCGTTTAGGACACACATCACAAATAAGTTTCTGAGAATCCTTCTGTCTAGTTTTTATTTGAAGATATTTCCTTTCTCCCCGTAGGCCTGAAAGCGCTTGAAATGTCCACTTCCAGATACTACAGAAAGAGTGTTTCAAACCTGCACTATGAAAAGGAATGTTCAATTCTGTGACTTGAATGCAAACATCAGAAAGAAGTTCCTGAGAATGCTTCTCTCTAGATTTTATACGTCATCCCGTTTCCAACGAAATCCACAAAGCTATCCAATTATCCACTTTCAGATTCCACAAAAAGAGTGTTTTAAAACTGCTCTGTAAAAAGAAATGTTCAACACTCTTAGTTGAATACACACATCTCAAACAAGTTTCTGAGAAGGCTTCCGTCTAGTTTTTATGGGAAGATATTTCCTTTTTCACCATAGGCCTCAAAGCGCTCGAAATCTCCACTTCCAGGGAGTGCAGAAAGAGTGTTTCAAACCTGCTCTGTAAAAGAATATTTAACTCTGTGACTTGAATGCAAACATCACAAAGCAGTTTCTGACAATGCTTCCGTCTAGATTTTTTATGAAGATATTCCCGTTTCCAACGAAATCGTCAAAGCTATCTAAATATCAACTTGCAGATTCTACTAAAGGAATGTTTCCAAAATGCTGTATCCAAACAAAGGATCAACTCTGTGAATTGAGGACATACAGCACAAAGAAGTTTCTGAGAATTCTTCTGTCTAGATTTAATATGAAGATAACCCGTTTCCAACGAAATCCTCAAAGCTATCCAAATATCCACTTGCAGATTCTACAAAAAGAGTGTTTCAAAACTGCTCTGTCAAAAGGATGGTTCAACACTGTTACATGAGTACACACAACACAAAGAAGTTTCTGAGAATGCTTCCTTCTGGTTTTTATGAGAAGATATTTCCTTTTTCACCATAGGCCTCAAAGCGCTCGAAATGTCCACTTCCAGGTAGTGCAGAAAGAGTGTTTCAAACCTGCTCTATGAAAGGAAGTGTTCTACTCCATGAGCTGAATGCAAACATCACAGAGAAGTTTCTGAGAATGCTTCTGTTTGATTCTATATGAAGAAATTCCTGATTCCAACGAAAACTTCAAAGCTATCCACATATCCACCTGCAGATTCTACAAAAGGAGTGTTTCCGAAATGCTGTATCAAAACCAAGGTTCAACTCTGTTAGTTGAGGACACACATCACAAATAAGTTTCTGAGAATGCTTCTGTCTAGATTTTATATGAAGATATCCCCTTTCCAACGAATCCCTCTAAGCTATCCAAATAGCCACCTGCAGATTCTACGAAAGGAGTGTTTCCAAAATGCTGTATCAAAACAAAGTTTCAACTCTGTTAGTTGAGGACACACATCACAAATACGTTTCTGAGGATGCTTCGGTCTAGTTTTTATTTGAAGATATTTCCTTTCTCACCATAGGCCTGAAAGCGCTTGAAATGTCCACTTCCAGATACTACAGAATGAGTGTTTCAAACCTGCTCTATAAAAGTGAATGTTCAATTCTGTGACTTCAATGCAAACATCACAAAGAAGTTCCTGAGAATGCTTCTCTCTAGATTTTATATGTAATCCCGCTTCCAACGAAATCCTCAATGCCATCCGAATATCCACTTTCTGATTCCACAAAAACAGTGTTTTAAAACGGCTCTGTAAAAACAAAAGTTCAACTCTGTTAGTTGAATACACACATCACAAACAAGTTTCTGAGAATGCTTCTGTCTAGTTTTTATGGGAAGATATTTCCTTTTTCACCATAGGCCTCAAAGCGCTCGAAATGTCCACTTCCAGATAGTGCAGAAAGATTGTTTCAAACGTGCTCTATAAAAGAGAATATTCAACTCTGTGACTTGAATGGAAACATCATAAAGCAGTTTCTGAGAATGCTTCCCTCTAGGATTTTATATGGAGATATTCCCTTTTCCAACGAAATCTTCAAATCTATCTAAATATCAACTTGCAGATTCTACTCAAGGAATGTTTCCAAAATGCTGTATCCAGGCAATGGTTCAACTCTGTTAATTGAGGACATACAGCACAAAGAAGTTTCTGAGAATGCTTCTGTCTAGATTTTATATGAAGATATCCCGTTTCCAACGAAATCCTCAAAGCTATCCAAATATCCACTTGCAGATTCTACAAAAAGATTGTTTCAAAACTGCTGTGTCAAGAGGAAGGTTCAACTCTGTTACTTGAGTACACACATCAAAAAGAAGTTTCTGAGAATGCTTGTTTCTGATTTTTAAGAGAAGATATTTCCTTTTTCACCATAGTCCTCAAAGCGCTGCAAATGTCCACTTCCAAATATTACAAAAAGAGTGTTTCAAACGTGCTCTATGAAAGGAAGTTTTCAACTCTGTGAGTGGAATGCAAACATCACAGAGAAGTTTCTGAGAATGCATCTGTCTTGAGTTTATATGAAGAAATTCCCGTTTCCAAAGAAATCTTAAAATCTATCCAAATATCCACCTGCAGATTCTACAAAAGGAGTGTTGCCTAAATGCTGTATCAAAACAAAGGTTCAACTGTGTTCGTTTAGGACACACATCACAAATAAGTTTCTGACAATCCTTCTGTCTAGTTTTTATTTCAAGATATTTCCTTTCTCCCCATAGGCTTGAAAGCGCTTGAAATGTCCACTTCCAGATACTACAGAGTGTTTCAAACCTGCACTATGAAAAGGAATGTTCAATTCTGTGACTTGAATGCAAACATCAGAAAGAAGTTCCTGAGAATGCTTCTCTCTAGATTTTAAACGTAATCCCGTTTCCAACGAAATCCACAAAGCTATCCAATTATCCACTTTCAGATTCCACCAAAAGACTGTTTTAAAACTGCTCTGTAAAAAGAAATGTTCAACGCTCTTAGTTGAATACACACATCTCAAACAAGTTTCTGAGAAGACTTCCGTCTAGTTTTTATGGGAAGATATTTCCTTTTTCACCATAGGCCTCAAAGCGCTCGAAATCTCCACTTCCAGGGAGTGCAGAAAGACTGTTTCAAACCTGCTCTATAAAAGAATATTTAACTCTGTGACTTGAATGCAAACATCACAGAGCAGTTTCTGACAATGCTTCCGTCTAGATTTTTTATGAAGATATTCCCGTTTCCAACGAAATCTTCAAAGCTATCTAAATATCAACTTGCCCATTCTACTAAAGGAATGTTTCCAAAATGCTGTATCCAAACAAAGGTTCAGCTCTGTGAATTGAGGACATACAGCACAAAGAAGTTTCTGAGAATGCTTCTGTCTAGATTTAATATGAAGATAACCCGTTTCCAACGAAATCCTCAAAGCTATCCAAATATCCACTTGCAGATTCTACAAAAAGAGTGTTTCAAAACTGCTCTGTCAAAAGGATGGTTCAACACTGTTACATGAGTACACACAACACAAAGAAGTTTCTGAGAACGCTTCTTTCTGGTTTTTATGAGAGGATATTTCCTTTTTCACCATAGGCCTCAAAGCGCTCGAAATGTCCACTTCCAGGTAGTGCAGAAAGAGTGTTTCAAACCTGCTCTATGAAAGGAAGTGTTCAACTCCATGAGCTGAATGCAAACATCACAGAGAAGTTTCTGAGAATGCTTCTGTTTGATTTTATATGAAGAAATTCCCGTTTCCAACGAAATCTTCAAAGCTATCCACATATCCACCTGCAGATTCTTCAAAAGGAGTGTTTCCAAAATGCTGTATCAAAACCAAGGTTCAACTCTGTTAGTTGAGGACACACATCACAAATAAGTTTCTGAGAATGCTTCTGTCTAGATTTTATATGAAGATATCCCCTTTCCAACGAATCCCTCTAAGCTATCCAAGTATCCACCTGCAGATTCTACAAAAAGAGTGTTTCCAAAATGCTGTATCAAAACAAAGTTTCAACTCTGTTAGTTGAGGACACACATCACAAATAAGTTTCTGAGGATGCTTCTGTCTAGTTTTAATTTGAAGATATTTCCTTTCTCCCCATAGGCCTGAAAGCGCTTGAAATGTCCACTTCCAGATACTACAGCATGAGTGTTTCAAACCTGCTCTATCAAAGTGAATGTTCAATTCTGTGACTTCAATGCAAACATCACAAAGTAGTTCCTGAGAATGCTTCTCTCTACATTTTATATGTAATCCCGCTTCCAACGAAATCCTCAAAGCCATCCGAATATCCACTTTCTGATTCCACAAAAAGATTGTTTTAAAACTGCTCTGTAAAAACAAAAGTTCAAGTCTGTTAGTTGAATACACACATCACAAACAAGTTTCTGAGAATGCTTCCGTCTAGTTTTTATGGGAAGATATTTCCTTTTTCACCATAGGCCTCAAAGCGCTCGAAATCGCCACTTCCAGGGAGTGCAGAAAGAGTGTTTCAAACCTGCTCTGTAAAAGAATATTTAACTCTGTGACTTGAATGCAAACATCACAGAGCAGTTTCTGACAATGCTTCCGTCTAGATTTTTTATGAAGATATTCCCGTTTCCAACGAAATCTTCAAAGCTATCTAAATATCAACTTGCAGATTCTACTAAAGGAATGTTTCCAAAATGCTGTATCCAAACAAAGGTTCAACTCTGTGAATTGAGGACATACAGCACAAAGAAGTTTCTGAGAATGCTTCTGTCTAGATTTAATATGAAGATAACCCGTTTCCAACGAAATCCTCAAAGCTATCCAAATATCCACTTGCAGATTCTACAAAAAGAGTGTTTCAAAACTGCTCTGTCAAAAGGATGGTTCAACACTGTTACATGAGTACACACAACACAAAGAAGTTTCTGAGAACGCTTCTTTCTGGTTTTTATGAGAAGATATTTCCTTTTTCACCATAGGCCTCAAAGCGCTCGAAATGTCCACTTCCTGGTAGTGAAGAAAGAGTGTTTCAAAGCTGCTCTCTGAAAGGAAGAGTTCAACTCCATGAGCTGAATGGATACATCACAGAGAAGTTTCTGAGAATGCTTCTGTTTGATTTTATATGAAGAAATTCCCGTTTCCAACGAAATCTTCAGAGCTATCCACATATCCACCTGCAGATTCTACAAAAGGAGTGTTTCCAAAATGCTGTATCAAAACCAAGGTTCAACTCTGTTAGTTGAGGACACACATCACAAATAAGTTTCTGAGAATGCTTCTGTCTAGATTTTATATGAAGATATCCCCTTTCCAACGAATCCCTCTAAGCTATCCAAATATCCACCTGCAGATTCTACAAAAAGAGTGTTTCCAAAATGCTGTATCAAAACAAAGTTTCAACTCTGTTAGTTGAGGACACACATCACAAATAAGTTTGAGGATGCTTCTGTCTAGTTTTTATTCGAAGATATTTCCTTTCTCACCATAGGCCTGAAAGCGCTTGAAATGTCCACTTCCAGATACTACAGAATGAGTGTTTCAAACCTGCTCTATCAAAGTGAATGTTCAATTCTGTGACTTCAATGCAAACATCACAAAGAAGTTCCTGAGAATGCTTCTCTCTAGATTTTATACGTAATCCCGCTTCCAACGAAATCCTCAGAGCCATCCGAATATCCACTTTCTGATTCCACAAAAAGAGTGTTTTAAAACGGCTCTGTAAAAACAAAAGTTCAACTCTGTTAGTTGAATACACACATCACAAACAAGTTTCTGAGAATGCTTCTGTCTAGTTTTTATGGGAAGATATTTCCTTTTTCACCATAGGCCTCAAAGCGCTCGAAATGTCCACTTCCAGATAGTGCAGAAAGAGTGTTTCAATCGTGCTCTATAAAAGAGAATATTCAACTCTGTGACTTGAATGGAAACATCACAAAGCAGTTTCTGAGAATGCTTCCGTCTAGATTTTCTATGAATATATTCCCGTTTCCAACGAAATCTTCAAAGCTATCTAAATATCAACTTGCAGATTCTACTCAAGGAATGTTTCCAAAATGCTGTATCCAAGCAATGGTTCAACTCTGTTAATTGAGGACATACAGCACAAAGAAGTTTCTGAGAATGCTCCTGTCTGGATTTTATATGAAGATAACCCGTTTCCAACGAAATCCTCAAAGCTCTCCAGATATCCACTTGCAGATTCTACCAAAAGAGTGTTTCAAAACTGCTCTGTCAAAAGGAAGGTTCAACACTGTTACTTGAGTACACACAACACAAAGAAGTTTCTGAGAATGCTTCTTTCTGGTTTTTATGAGAAGATATTTCCTTTTTCACCATAGGCCTCAAAGCGCTCGAAATGTCCGCTTCCAGGTAGTGCAGAAAGAGTGTTTCAAACCTGCTCTATGAAAGGAAGTGTTCAACTCTACTGAGTTGAATGCAAACATCACAGAGATGTTTCCGAGAATGCTTCTGTCTTGATTTTATATGAAGATATTCCGGTTTCCAACGAAATCTTCAAAGCTATCCAAATATCCACCTGCAGATTCTACAAAAGGAGTGTTTCCAAAATGCTGTATCAAAACAAAGGTTCAACTCTGTTAGTTGAGGACACACATCACAAATAAGTTTCTGAGAATGCTTCTGTCTAGTTTTTATTTGAAGGTATTTCCTTTCTCTCCATAGGCCTGAAAGCGCTTGAAATGCCCACTTCCAGATACTAGAGAAAGAGTGTTTCAAACCTGCTCTATGAAAGGGAATGTTCAATTCTGTGACTTGAATGCAAACATCACAAAGAAGTTACCTGAGAATGCTTCTCTCTAGATATTATATGTCATCCCGTTTCCAACGAAATCCTCAAAGCTATCCAAATATCCACTTGCAGATTCTACAAAAAGAGTGTTTCAAAACTGCTCTGTCAAAAGGATGGTTCAACACTGTTACATGAGTACACACAACACAAAGAAGTTTCTGAGAATGCTTCTTTCTGGTTTCTATGAGAAGATATTTCCTTTTTCACCATAGGACTCAAAGCGCTCGAAATGTCCTCTTCCAGGTAGTGCAGAAAGAGTGTTTCAAACCGGCTCTATGAAAGGAAGTGTTCAACTCCATGAACTGAATGCAAACATCACTGAGAAGTTTCTGAGAATGCTTCTGTTTGATTTTATATGAAGAAATTCCCGTTTCCAACGAAATCTTCAGAGCTATCCACATATCCACCTGCAGATTCTACAAAAGGAGTGTTTCCAAAATGCTGTATCAAAACCAAAGTTCAACTCTGTTAGTTGAGGACACACATCACAAATAAGTTTCTGAGAATGCTTCTGTCTAGATTTTATATGAAGATATCCCCTTTCCAACGAATCCCTCTAAGCTATCAAAATATCCACCTGCAGATTCTACAAAAAGAGTGTTTCCAAAATGCTGTATCAAAACAAAGTTTCAACTCTGTTAGTTGAGGACACACATCACAAATAAGTTTCTGAGGATGCTTCTCTCTAGTTTTTATTTGAAGATATTTCCTTTCTCCCCATAGGCCTGAAAGCGCTTGAATTGTCCGCTTCCAGATACTACAGAATGAGTGTTTCAAACCTGCTCTATCAAAGTGAATGTTCAATTCTGTGACTTCAATGCAAACGTCACAAAGTAGTTCCTGAGAATGCTTCTCTCTAGATTTTATATGTAATCCCGCTTCCAACGAAGTCCTCAAAGCCATCCAAATATCCACTTTCTGATTCCACAAAAAGATTGTCTTAAAACTGCTCTGTAAAAACAAACGTTCAAGTCTGTTAGTTGAATACACACATCATAAACAAGTTTCTGAGAATGCTTCCGTCTAGTTTTTATGGGAAGATATTTCCTTTTTCACCATAGGCCTCAAAGCGCTCGAAATCTCCACTTCCAGGGAGTGCAGAAAGAGTGTTTCAAACCTGCTCTGTAAAAGAATATTTAACTCTGTGACTTGAATGCAAACCTCACAAAGCAGTTTCTGACAATGCTTCCGTCTAGATTTTATAGGAAGATATTCCCGTTTCCAACGAAATCTTCAAATCTATCTAAATATCAACTTGCAGATTCTACTAAAGGAATGTTTCCAAAATGCTGTATCCAAGCAATGGTTCAACTCTGTTAATTGAGGACATACAGCACAAAGAAGTTTCTGAGAATGCTTCTGTCTAGGTTTTATATGAAGATATCCCGTTTCCAACGAAATCCTCAAAGCTATCCAAATATCCACTTGCAGATTCTACAAAAAGATTGTTTCAAAACTGCTGTGTCAAAAGGAAGGTTCAACTCTGTTACTCGAGTACACACATCAAAAAGAAGTTTCTGAGAATGCTTGTTTCTGGTTTTTATGAGAAGATATTTCCTTTTTCACCATAGGCCTCAAAGCGCTGCAAATGTCCACTTCCAAATATTACAAAAAGAGTGTTTCAAACCTGCTCTATGAAAGGAAGTTTTCAACTCTATGAGTGGAATGCAAACATCACAGAGAAGTTTCTGAGAATGCATCTGTCTTGAGTTTATATGCAGAAATTCCCGTTTCCAACGAAATCTTAAAATCTATCCAAATATCCACCTGCAGATCCTACAAAAGGAGTGTTTCCAAAATGCTGTATCAAAACAAAGGTTCAACTGTGTTCGTTTAGGACACACATCACAAATAAGTTTCTGAGAATCCTTCTGTCTAGTTTTTATTTGAAGATATTTCCTTTCTCCCCGTAGGCCTGAAAGCGCTTGAAATGTCCACTTCCAGATACTACAGAAAGAGTGTTTCAAACCTGCACTCTGAAAAGGAATGTTCAATTCTGTGACTTGAATGCAAACATCAGAAAGAAGTTCCTGAGAATGCTTCTCTCTAGATTTTATACGTCATCCCGTTTCCAACGAAATCCACAAAGCTATCCAATTATCCACTTTCAGATTCCACAAAAAGAGTGTTTTAAAATTGCTCTGTAACAGAAATGTTCAACTCTGGTAGTTGAATACACACATCACAAACAAGTTTCTGAGACGGCTTCTGTCTAGTTTTTATGGGAAGATATTTCCTTTTAACCATAGGCCTCAAAGAGCTCGAAATATCCACTTCCAGGTAGTGCCGAAAGAGTGTTTCAAACCTACTCTATAAAAGGGAATATTCAACTCTGTGACTTGAATGCAAACATCACAAAGCAGTTTCTGAGAATGCTTCCGTCTAGATTTTTATGAAGATATTCCCGTTTCCAACGAAATCTTCAAAGCTATCTAAATATCAACTTGCAGATTCTACTAAAGGAATGTTTCCAAAATGCTGTATCCAAACAAAGGTTCAACTCTGTGAATTGAGGACATACAGCACAAAGAAGTTTCTGAGAATGCTTCTGTCTAGATTTAATATGAAGATAACCCGTTTCCAACGAAATCCTCAAAGCTATCCAAATATCCACTTGCAGATTCTACAAAAAGAGTGTTTCAAAACTGCTCTGTCAAAAGGATGGTTCAACACTGTTACATGAGTACACACAACACAAAGAAGTTTCTGAGAACGCTTCTTTCTGGTTTTTATGAGAAGATATTTCCCTTTTCACCATAGGCCTCAAAGCGCTCGAAATGTCCACTTCCAGGTAGTGCAGAAAGAGTGTTTCAAACCTGCTCTATGAAAGGAAGTGTTCAACTCCATGAGCTGAATGCAAACATCACAGAGAAGTTTCTGAGAATGCTTCTGTTTGATTTTATATGAAGAAATTCCCGTTTCCAACGAAATCTTCAAAGGTATCCACATATCCACCTGCAGATCCTTCAAAAGGAGTGTTTCCAAAATGCTGTATCAAAACCAAGGTTCAACTCTGTTAGTTGAGGACACACATCACAAATAAGTTTCTGAGAATGCTTCTGTCTAGATTTTATATGAAGATATCCCCTTTCCAACGAATCCCTCTAAGCTATCCAAATATCCACCTGCAGATTCTACAAAAAGAGTGTTTCCAAAATGCTGTATCAAAACAAAGTTTCCACTCTGTTAGTTGAGGACACACATCACAAATAAGTTTCTGAGGATGCTTCTCTCTAGTTTTTATTTGAAGATATTTCCTTTCTCCCCATAGGCCTGAAAGCGCTTGAATTGTCCGCTTCCAGATACTACAGAATGAGTGTTTCAAACCTGCTCTATCAAAGTGAATGTTCAATTCTGTGACTTCAATGCAAACGTCACAAAGTAGTTCCTGAGAATGCTTCTCTCTAGATTTTATATGTAATCCCGCTTCCAACGAAGTCCTCAAAGCCATCCGAATATCCACTTTCTGATTCCACAAAAAGATTGTCTTAAAACTGCTCTGTAAAAACAAAAGTTCAAGTCTGTTAGTTGAATACACATATCATAAACAAGTTTCTGAGAATGCTTCTGTCTAGTTTTTATGGGAAGATATTTCCTTTTTCACCATAGGCCTCAAAGCGCTCGAAATGTCCACTTCCAGATAGTGCAGAAAGAGTGTTTCAAACGTGCTCTATAAAAGAGAATATTCAACTCTGTGACTTGAATGGAAACATCACAAAGCAGTTTCTGAGAATGCCTCCGTCTAGATTTTATATGAAGATATTCCCGTTTCCAACGAAATCTTCAAATCTATCTAAATATCAACTTGCACATTCCACTAAAGGAATGTTTCCAAAATGCTGTATCCAAGCAATGGTTCAACTCTGTTAATTGAGGACATACAGCACAAAGAAGTTTCTGAGAATGCTTCTGTCTAGATTTTATATGAAGATATCCCGTTTCCAACGAAATCCTCAAAGCTATCCAAATATCCACTTGCAGATTCTACAAAAAGATTGTTTCAAAACTGCTGTGTCAAAAGGAAGGTTCAACTCTGTTACTTGAGTACACACATCAAAAAGAAGTTTCTGAGAATGCTTGTTTCTGGTTTTTATGAGAAGATATTTCCTTTTTCACCATAGGCCTCAAAGCGCTGCAAATGTCCACTTCCAAATATTACAAAAAGAGTGTTTCAAACCTGCTCTATGAAAGGAAGTTTTCAACTCTATGAGTGGAATGCAAACATCACAGAGAAGTTTCTGAGAATGCATCTGTCTTGAGTTTATATGCAGAAATTCCCGTTTCCAACGAAATCTTAAAATCTATCCAAATATCCACCTGCAGATCCTACAAAAGGAGTGTTTCCAAAATGCTGTATCAAAACAAAGGTTCAACTGTGTTCGTTTAGGACACACATCACAAATAAGTTTCTGAGAATCCTTCTGTCTAGTTTTTATTTGAAGATATTTCCTTTCTCCCCGTAGGCCTGAAAGCGCTTGAAATGTCCACTTCCAGATACTACAGAAAGAGTGTTTCAAACCTGCACTCTGAAAAGGAATGTTCAATTCTGTGACTTGAATGCAAACATCAGAAAGAAGTTCCTGAGAATGCTTCTCTCTAGATTTTATACGTCATCCCGTTTCCAACGAAATCCACAAAGCTATCCAATTATCCACTTTCAGATTCCACAAAAAGAGTGTTTTAAAACTGCTCTGTAAAAAGAAATGTTCAACGCTCTTACTTGAATACACACATCTCAAACAAGTTTCTGAGAAGGCTTCCGTCTAGCTTTTATGGGAAGATATTTCCTTTTTCACCATAGGCCTCAAAGCGCTCGAAATCTCCACTTCCAGGGAGTGCAGAAAGAGTGTTTCAAACCTGCTCTGTAAAAGAATATTTAACTCTGTGACTTGAATGCAAACATCACAAAGCAGTTTCTGACAATGCTTCCGTCTAGATTTTTTATGAAGATATTCCCGTTTCCAACGAAATCTTCAAAGCTATCTAAATATCAACTTGCAGATTCTACTAAAGGAATGTTTCCAAAATGCTGTATCCAAACAAAGGTTCAACTCTGTGAATTGAGGACATACAGCACAAAGAAGTTTCTGAGAATGCTTCTGTCTAGATTTAATATGAAGATAACCCGTTTCCAACGAAATCCTCAAAGCTATCCAAATATCCACTTGCAGATTCTACAAAAAGAGTGTTTCAAAACTGCTCTGTCAAAAGGATGGTTCAACACTGTTACATGAGTACACACAACACAAAGAAGTTTCTGAGAACGCTTCTTTCTGGTTTTTATGAGAGGATATTTCCTTTTTCACCATAGGCCTCAAAGCGCTCGAAATGTCCACTTCCTGGTAGTGCAGAAAGAGTGTTTCAAACCTGCTCTATGAAAGGAAGTGTTCAACTCCATGAGCTGAATGCAAACATCACAGAGAAGTTCCTGAGAATGCTTCTGTTTGATTTTATATGAAGAAATTCCCGTTTCCAACGAAATCTTCAAAGCTCTCCACATATCCACCTGCAGATTCTTCAAAAGGAGTGTTTCCAAAATGCTGTATCAAAACCAAGGTTCAACTCTGTTAGTTGAGGACACACATCACAAATAAGTTTCTGAGAATGCTTCTGTCTAGATTTTATATGAATTTATCCCCTTTCCAACGAATCCCTCTAAGCTATCCAAGTATCCACCTGCAGATTCTACAAAAAGAGTGTTTCCAAAATGCTGTATCAAAACAAAGTTTCAACTCTGTTAGTTGAGGACACACATCACAAATAAGTTTCTGAGGATGCTTCTGTCTAGTTTTAATTTGAAGATATTTCCTTTCTCCCCATAGGCCTGAAAGCGCTTGAAATGTCCACTTCCAGATACTACAGAATGAGTGTTTCAAACCTGCTCTATCAAAGTGAATGTTCAATTCTGTGACTTCAATGCAAACATCACAAAGTAGTTCCTGAGAATGCTTCTCTCTAGATTTTATACGTAATCCCGCTTCCAATGAAATCCTCAGAGCCATCCGAATATCCACTTTCTGATTCCACAAAAAGAGTGTTTTAAAACGGCTCTGTAAAAACAAAAGTTCAACTCTGTTAGTTGAATACACACATCACAAACAAGTTTCTGAGACGGCTTCTGTCTAGTTTTTATGGGAAGATATTTCCTTTTAACCATAGGCCTCAAAGAGCTCGAAATATCCACTTCCAGGTAGTGCCGAAAGAGTGTTTCAAACGTGCTCTATAAAAGGGAATATTCAACTCTGTGACTTGAATGGAAACATCACAAAGCAGTTTCTGAGAATGCTTCCCTCTAGATTTTATATGGAGATATTCCCTTTTCCAACGAAATCTTCAAATCTATCTAAATATCAACTTGCAGATTCTACTCAAGGAATGTTTCCAAAATGCTGTATCCAGGCAATGGTTCAACTCTGTTAATTGAGGACATACAGCACAAAGAAGTTTCTGAGAATGCTTCTGTCTAGATTTTATATGAAGATATCCCGTTTCCAACGAAATCCTCAAAGCTATCCAAATATCCACTTGCAGATTCTACAAAAAGATTGTTTCAAAACTGCTGTGTCAAGAGGAAGGTTCAACTCTGTTACTTGAGTACACACATCAAAAAGAAGTTTCTGAGAATGCTTGTTTCTGGTTTTTATGAGAAGATATTTCCTTTTTCACCATAGGCCTCAAAGCGCTGCAAATGTCCACTTCCAAATATTACAAAAAGAGTGTTTCAAACCTGCTCTATGAAAGGAAGTTTTCAACTCTATGAGTGGAATGCAAACATCACAGAGAAGTTTCTGAGAATGCATCTGTCTTGAGCTTCTATGAAGAAATTCCCGTTTCCAACGAAATCTTAAAATCTATCCAAATATCCACCTGCAGATCCTACAAAAGGAGTGTTTCCAAAATGCTGTATCAAAACAAAGGTTCAACTGTGTTCGTTTAGGACACACATCACAAATAAGTTTCTGAGAATCCTTCTGTCTAGTTTTTATTTGAAGATATTTCCTTTCTCCCCGTAGGCCTGAAAGCGCTTGAAATGTCCACTTCCAGATACTACGGAAAGAGTGTTTCAAACCTGCACTATGAAAAGGAATGTTCAATTCTGTGACTTGAATGCAAACATCAGAAAGAAGTTCCTGAGAATGCTTCTCTCTAGATTTTATACGTAATCCCGTTTCCAACGAAATCCACAAAGCTATCCAATTATCCACTTTCAGATTCCCCAAAAAGAATGTTTTAAAATTGCTCTGTAACAGAAATGTTCAACTCTGTTAGATGAATACACACATCACAAACAATTTTCTGAGACGGCTTCTGTCTAGTTTTTATGGGAAGATATTTCCTTTTAACCATAGGCCTCATAAGAGCTCGAAATATCCACTTCCAGGTAGTGCCGAAAGAGTGTTTCAAACCTACTCTATAAAAGGGAATATTCAACTCTGTGACTTGAATGCAAACATCACAAAGCAGTTTCTGAGAATGCTTCCGTCTAGATTTTTTATGAAGATATTCCCGTTTCCAACGAAATCTTCAAAGCTATCTAAATATCAACTTGCAGATTCTACTAAAGGAATGTTTCCAAAATGCTGTATCCAAACAAAGGTTCAACTCTGTGAATTGAGGACATACAGCACAAAGAAGTTTCTGAAAATGCTTCTGTCTAGATTTAATATGAAGATAACCCGTTTCCAACGAAATCCTCAAAGCTATCCAAATATCCACTTGCAGATTCTACAAAAAGAGTGTTTCAAAACTGCTCTGTCAAAAGGATGCTTCAACACTGTTACATGAGTACACACAACACAAAGAAGTTTCTGAGAACGCTTCTTTCTGGTTTTTATGAGAAGATATTTCCTTTTTCACCATAGGCCTCAAAGCGCTCGAAATGTCCACTTCCTGGTAGTGCAGAAAGAGTGTTTCAAACCTGCTCTATGAAAGGAAGTGTTCAACTCCATGAGCTGAATGCAAACATCACAGAGAAGTTTCTGAGAATGCTTCTGTTTGATTTTATATGAAGAAATTCCCGTTTCCAACGAAATCTTCAAAGCTATCCACATATCCACCTGCAGATTCTACAAAAGGAGTGTTTCCAAAATGCTGTATCAAAACCAAGGTTCAACTCTGTTAGTTGAGGACACACATCACAAATAAGTTTCTGAGAATGCTTCTGTCTAGATTTTATATGAAGATATCCCCTTTCCAACGAATCCCTCTAAGCTATCCAAATATCCACCTGCAGATTCTACAAAAAGAGTGTTTCCAAAATGCTGTATCAAAACAAAGTTTCAACTCTGTTAGTTGAGGACACACATCACAAATAAGTTTCTGAGAATGCTTCTGTCTAGTTTTTATTCGAAGATATTTCCTTTCTCACCATAGGCCTGAAAGCGCTTGAAATGTCCACTTCCAGATACTACAGAATGAGTGTTTCAAACCTGCTCTATCAAAGTGAATGTTCAATTCTGTGACTTCAATGCAAACATCACAAAGAAGTTCCTGAGAATGCTTCTCTCTACATTTTATATGTAATCCCGCTTCCAACGAAATCCTCAAAGCCATCCGAATATCCACTTTCTGATTCCACAAAAAGATTGTTTTAAAACTGCTCTGTAAAAACAAAAGTTCAAGTCTGTTAGTTGAATACACACATCACAAACAAGTTTCTGACAATGCTTCTGTCTAGTTTTTATGGGAAGATATTTCCTTTTTCACCATAGGCCTCAAAGCGCTCGACATGTCCACTTCCAGATAGTGCAGAAAGAGTGTTTCAAACGTGCTCTATAAAAGAGAATATTCAACTCTGTGACTTGAATGGAAACATCACAAAGCAGTTTCTGAGAATGCCTCCGTCTAGATTTTATATGAAGATATTCCCGTTTCCAACGAAATCTTCAAATCTATCTAAATATCAACTTGCAGATTCTACTAAAGGAATGTTTCCAAAATGCTGTATCCAAGCAATGGTTCAACTCTGTTAATTGAGGACATACAGCACAAAGAAGTTTCTGAGAATGCTTCTGTCTAGATTTTATATGAAGATATCCCGTTTCCAACGAAATCCTCAAAGCTATCCAAATATCCACTTGCAGATTCTACAAAAAGATTGTTTCAAAACTGCTGTGTCAAAAGGAAGGTTCAACTCTGTTACTTGAGTACACACATCAAAAAGCAGTTTCTGAGAATGCTTGTTTCTGGTTTTTATGAGAAGATATTTCCTTTTTCACCATAGGCCTCAAAGCGCTGCAAATGTCCACTTCCAAATATTACAAAAAGAGTGTTTCAAACCTGCTCTATGAAAGGAAGTTTTCAACTCTATGAGTGGAATGCAAACATCACAGAGAAGTTTCTGAGAATGCATCTGTCTTGAGTTTATATGAAGAAATTCCCGTTTCCAATGAAATCTTAAAATCTATCCAAATATCCACCTGCAGATTCTACAAAAGGAGTGTTTCCAAAATGCTGTATCAAAACAAAGGTTCAACTGTGTTCGTTTAGGACACACATCACAAATAAGTTTCTGAGAATCCTTCTGTCTAGTTTTTATTTGAAGATATTTCCTTTCTCCCCGTAGGCCTGAAAGCGCTTGAAATGTCCACTTCCAGATACTACAGAAAGAGTGTTTCAAACCTGCACTCTGAAAAGGAATGTTCAATTCTGTGACTTGAATGCAAACATCAGAAAGAAGTTCCTGAGAATGCTTCTCTCTAGATTTTATACGTCATCCCGTTTCCAACGAAATCCACAAAGCTATCCAATTATCCACTTTCAGATTCCACAAAGAGTGTTTTAAAATTGCTCTGTAACAGAAATGTTCAACTCTGTTAGTTGAATACACACATCACAAACAAGTTTCTGAGACGGCTTCTGTCTAGTTTTTATGGGAAGATATTTCCTTTTAAGCATAAGCCTCAAAAAGCTCGAAATATCCACTTCCAGGTAGTGCCGAAAGAGTGTTTCAAACCTACTCTATAAAAGGGAATATTCAACTCTGTGACTTGAATGCAAACATCACAAAGCAGTTTATGAGAATGCTTCCGTCTAGATTTTATATGAAGATATTCCCGTTTCCAACGAAATCTTCAATGCTATCTAAATATCAACTTGCAGATTCTACTAAAGGAATGTTTCCAAAATGCTGTATCCAAGCAATGGTTCAACTCTGTTAATTGAGGACATACAGCACAAAGAAGTTTCTGAGAATGCTTCTGTCTAGATTTTATATGAAGATATCCCGTTTCCAACGAAATCCTCAAAGCTATCCAAATATCCACTTGCAGATTCTACAAAAAGATTGTTTCAAAACTGCTGTGTCAAAAGGAAGGTTCAACTCTGTTACTTGAGTACACACATCAAAAAGCAGTTTCTGAGAATGCTTGTTTCTGGTTTTTATGAGAAGAATATTTCCTTTTTCACCATAGGCCTCAAAGCGCTGCAAATGTCCACTTCCAAATATTACAAAAAGAGTGTTTCAAACGTGCTCTATGAAAGGAAGTTTTCAACTCTATGAGTGGAATGCAAACATCACAGAGAAGTTTCGGAGAATGCATCTGTCTTGAGTTTATATGCAGAAATTCCCGTTTCCAACGAAATCTTAAAATCTATCCAAATATCCACCTGCAGATCCTACAAAAGGAGTGTTTCCAAAATGCTGTATCAAAACAAAGGTTCAACTGTGTTCGTTTAGGACACACATCACAAATAAGTTTCTGAGAATCCTTCTGTCTAGTTTTTATTTGAAGATATTTCCTTTCTCCCCATAGGCCTGAAAGCGCTTGAATTGTCCACTTCCAGATACTACAGAATGAGTGTTTCAAACCTGCTCTATCAAAGTGAATGTTCAATTGCTGTGACTTCAATGCAAACATCACAAAGTAGTTCCTGAGAATGCTTCCTGTCTAGATTTTATATGAAGATATCCCGTTTCCAACGAAATCCTCAAAGCTATCCAAATATCCACTTGCAGATTCTACAAAAAGATTGTTTCAAAACTGCTGTGTCAAAAGGAAGGTTCAACTCTGTTACTTGAGTACACACATCAAAAAGCAGTTTCTGAGAATGCTTGTTTCTGGTTTTTATGAGAAGATATTTCCTTTTACACCATAGGCCTCAAAGCGCTGCAAATGTCCACTTCCAAATATTACAAAAAGAGTGTTTCAAACCTGCTCTATGAAAGGAAGTTTTCAACTTCTGTGAGTGGAATGCAAACATCACAGAGAAGTTTCGGAGAATGCATCTGTCTTGAGTTTATATGAAGAAATTCCCGTTTCCAATGAAATCTTAAAATCTATCCAAATATCCACCTGCAGATTCTACAAAAGGAGTGTTTCCAAAATGCTGTATCAAAACAAAGGTTCAACTGTGTTCGTTTAGGACACACATCACAAATAAGTTTCTGAGAATCCTTCTGTCTAGTTTTTATTTCAAGATATTTCCTTTCTCCCCATAGGCCTGAAAGCGCTTGAAATGTCCACTTCCAGATACTACAGAGTGTTTCAAACCTGCACTATGAAAAGGAATGTTCAATTCTGTGACTTGAATGCAAACATCAGAAAGAAGTTCCTGAGAATGCTTCTCTCTAGATTTTAAACGTAATCCCGTTTCCAACGAAATCCACAAAGCTATCCAATTATCCACTTTCAGATTGCACCAAAAGAGTGTTTTAAAACTGCTCTGTAAAAAGAAATGTTCAACGCTCTTAGTTGAATACACACATCTCAAACAAGTTTCTGAGAAGGCTTCCGTCTAGTTTTTATGGGAAGATATTTCCTTTTTCACCATAGGCCTCAAAGCGCTCGAAATCTCCACTTCCAGGGAGTGCAGAAAGAGTGTTTCAAACCTGCTCTATAAAAGAATATTTAACTCTGTGACTTGAATGCAAACATCACAGAGCAGTTTCTGACAATGTTTCCGTCTAGATTTTTTATGAAGATATTCCCGTTTCCAACGAAATCTTCAAAGCTATCTAAATATCAACTTGCAGATTCTACTAAAGGAATGTTTCCAAAATGCTGTATCCAAACAAAGGTTCAACTCTGTGAATTGAGGACATACAGCACAAAGAAGTTTCTGAGAATGCTTCTGTCTAGATTTAATATGAAGATAACCCGTTTCCAACGAAATCCTCAAAGCTATCCAAATATCCACTGGCAGATTCTACAAAAAGAGTGTTTCAAAACTGCTCTGTCAAAAGGATGGTTCAACACTGTTACATGAGTACACACAACACAAAGAAGTTTCTGAGAACGCTTCTTTCTGGTTTTTATGAGAAGATATTTCCTTTTTCACCATAGGCCTCAAAGCGCTCGAAATGTCCACTTCCTGGTAGTGCAGAAAGAGTGTTTCAAACCTGCTCTATGAAAGGAAGTGTTCAACTCCATGAGCTGAATGCAAACATCACAGAGAAGTTTCTGAGAATGCTTCTGTTTGATTTTATATGAAGAAATTCCCGTTTCCAACGAAATCTTCAAAGCTATCCACATATCCACCTGCAGATTCTTCAAAAGGAGTGTTTCCAAAATGCTGTATCAAAACCAAGGTTCAACTCTGTTAGTTGAGGACACACATCACAAATAAGTTTCTGAGAATGCTCTGTCTAGATTTTATATGAAGATATCCCCTTTCCAACGAATCCCTCTAAGCTATCCAAATATCCACCTGCAGATTCTACAAAAAGAGTGTTTCCAAAATGCTGTATCAAAACAAAGTTTCAACTCTGTTAGTTGAGGACACACATCACAAATAAGTTTCTGAGGATGCTTTCTCTCTAGTTTTTATTTGAAGATATTTCCTTTCTCCCCATAGGCCTGAAAGCGCTTGAATTGTCCGCTTCCAGATACTACAGAATGAGTGTTTCAAACCTGCTCTATCAAAGTGAATGTTCAATTCTGTGACTTCAATGCAAACGTCACAAAGTAGTATCCTGAGAATGCTTCTCTCTAGCATTTTATATGTAATCCCGCTTCCAACGAAATCCTCAATGCCATCCGAATATCCACTTTCTGATTCCACAAAAACAGTGTTTTAAAACGGCTCTGTAAAAACAAAAGTTCAACTCTGTTAGTTGAATACACACATCACAAACAAGTTTCTGAGAATGCTTCTGTCTAGTTTTTATGGGAAGATATTTCCTTTTTCACCGTAGGCCTCACTGCGCTCGAAATGTCCACTAACAGATAGTACAGAAAGAGTGTTTCAAACGTGCTCTACAAAAGAGAATATTCAACTCTGTGCCTTGAATGGAAACATCACAAAGCAGTTTCTGAGAATGCCTCCGTCTAGATTTTATATGAAGATATTCCCGTTTCCAACGAAATCTTCAAATCTATCTAAATATCAACTTGCAGGTTCTACTAAAGGAATGTTTCCAAAATGCTGTATCCAAGCAATGGTTCAACTCTGTTAATTGAGGACATACAGCACAAAGAAGTTTCTGAGAATGCTTCTGTCTAGATTTTATATGAAGATATCCCGTTTCCAACGAAATCCTCAAAGCTATCCAAATATCCACTTGCAGATTCTACAAAAAGATTGTTTCAAAACTGCTGTGTCAAAAGGAAGGTTCAACTCTGTTACTTGAGTACACACATCAAAAAGAAGTTTCTGAGAATGCTTGTTTCTGGTTTTTATGAGAAGATATTTCCTTTTTCACCATAGGCCTCAAAGCGCTGCAAATGTCCACTTCCAAATATTACAAAAAGAGTGTTTCAAACCTGCTCTATGAAAGGAAGTTTTCAACTCTATGAGTGGAATGCAAACATCACAGAGAAGTTTCTGAGAATGCATCTGTCTTGAGTTTATATGCAGAAATTCCCGTTTCCAACGAAATCTTAAAATCTATCCAAATATCCACCTGCAGATCCTACAAAAGGAGTGTTTCCAAAATGCTGTATCAAAACAAAGGTTCAACTGTGTTCGTTTAGGACACACATCACAAATAAGTTTCTGAGAATCCTTCTGTCTAGTTTTTATTTGAAGATATTTCCTTTCTCCCCGTAGGCCTGAAAGCGCTTGAAATGTCCACTTCCAGATACTACAGAGTGTTTCAAACCTGCACTCTGAAAAGGAATGTTCAATTCTGTGACTTGAATGCAAACATCAGAAAGAAGTTCCTGAGAATGCTTCTCTCTAGATTTTAAACGTCATCCCGTTTCCAACGAAATCCACAAAGCTATCCAATTATCCACTTTCAGATTCCACCAAAAGAGTGTTTTAAAACTGCTCTGTAAAAAGAAATATTCAACGCTTCTTAGTTGAATACACACATCTCAAACAAGTTTCTAAGAAGGCTTCTGTCTAGTTTTTATGGGAAGATATTTCCTTTTAACCATAGGCCTCAAAGAGCTCGAAATATCCACTTCCAGGTAGTGCCGAAAGAGTGTTTCAAACCTACTCTATAAAAGGGAATATTCAACTCTGTGACTTGAATGCAAACATCACAAAGCAGTTTCTGAGAATGCTTCCGTCTAGATTTTCTATGAAGATATTCCCGTTTCCAACGAAATCTTCAAAGCTATCTAAATATCAACTTGCAGATTCTACTAAAGGAATGTCTCCAAAATGCTGTATCCAAACAAAGGTTCAGCTCTGTGAATTGAGGACATACAGCACAAAGAAGTTTCTGAGAATGCTCCTGTCTGGATTTTATATGAAGATAACCCGTTTCCAACGAAATCCTCAAAGCTCTCCAAATATCCACTTGCAGATTCTACCAAAAGAGTGTTTCAAAACTGCTCTGTCAAAAGGAAGGTTCAACACTGTTACTTGAGTACACACAACACAAAGAAGTTTCTGAGAATGCTTCTTTCTGGTTTTTATGAGAAGATGTTTCCTTTTTCACCATAGGCCTCAAAGCGCTCGAAATGTCCGCTTCCAGGTAGTGCAGAAAGAGTGTTTCAAACCTGCTCTATGAAAGGAAGTGTTCAACTCTACTGAGTTGAATGCAAACATCACAGAGATGTTTCCGTGAATGCTTCTGTCTTGATTTTATATGAAGATATTCCGGTTTCCAACGAAATCTTCAAAGCTATCCAAATATCCACCTGCAGATTCTACAAAAGGAGTGTTTCCAAAATGCTGTATCAAAACAAAGGTTCAACTCTGTTAGTTGAGGACACACATCACAAATAAGTTTCTGAGAATGCTTCTGTCTAGTTTTTATTTGAAGGTATTTCCTTTCTCTCCATAGGCCTGAAAGCGCTTGAAATGCCCACTTCCAGATACTAGAGAAAGAGTGTTTCAAACCTGCTCTATGAAAGGGAATGTTCAATTCTGTGACTTGAATGCAAACATCACAAAGAAGTTCCTGAGAATGCTTCTCTCTAGATATTATATGTCATCCCGTTTCCAACGAAATCCTCAAAGCTATCCAAATATCCACTTGCAGATTCTACAAAAAGAGTGTTTCAAAACTCCTCTGTCAAAAGGATGGTTCAACACTGTTACATGAGTACACACAACACAAAGAAGTTTCTGAGAATGCTTCTTTCTGGTTTCTATGAGAAGATATTTCCTTTTTCACCATAGGACCCAAAGCGCTCGAAATGTCCTCTTCCAGGTAGTGCAGAAAGAGTGTTTCAAACCTGCTCTATGAAAGGAAGTGTTCAACTCCATGAGCTGAATGCAAACATCACTGAGAAGTTTCTGAGAATGCTTCTGTTTGATTTTATATGAAGAAATTCCCGTTTCCAACGAAATCTTCAGAGCTATCCACATATCCACCTGCAGATTCTACAAAAGGAGTGTTTCCAAAATGCTGTATCAAAACCAAGGTTCAACTCTGTTAGTTGAGGACACACATCACAAATAAGTTTCTGAGAATGCTTCTGTCTAGATTTTATATGAAGATATCCCCTTTCCAACGAATCCCTCTAAGCTATCCAAATATCCACCTGCAGATTCTACAAAAAGAGTGTTTCCAAAATGCTGTATCAAAACAAAGTTTCAACTCTGTTAGTTGAGGACACACATCACAAATAAGTTTCTGAGAATGCTTCTGTCTAGTTTTTATTCGAAGATATTTCCTTTCTCACCATAGGCCTGAAAGCGCTTGAAATGTCCACTTCCAGATACTACAGAATGAGTGTTTCAAACCTGCTCTATAAAAGTGAATGTTCAATTCCGTGACTTCAATGCAAACATCAGAAAGAAGTTCCTGAGAATGCTTCTCTCTAGATTTTATATGTAATCCCGCTTCCAACGAAATCCTCAGAGCCATCCGAATATCCACTTTCTGATTCCACAAAAAGAGTGTTTTAAAACGGCTCTGTAAAAACAAAAGTTCAACTCTGTTAGTTGAATACACACATCACAAACAAGTTTCTGAGAATGCTTCTGTCTAGTTTTTATGGGAAGATATTTCCTTTTTCACCATAGGCCTCAAAGCGCTCGAAATGTCCGCTTCCAGATAGTGCAGAAAGAGTGTTTCAAACGTGCTCTATAAAAGGGAATATTCAACTCTGTGACTTGAATGGAAACATCACAAAGCAGTTTCTGAGAATGCTTCCCTCTAGATTTTATATGGAGATATTCCCTTTTCCAACGAAATCTTCAAATCTATCTAAATATCAACTTGCAGATTCTACTCATGGAATGTTTCCAAAATGCTGTATCCAGGCAATGGTTCAACTCTGTTAATTGAGGACATACAGCACAAAGAAGTTTCTGAGAATGCTTCTGTCTAGATTTTATATGAAGATATCCCGTTTCCAACGAAATCCTCAAAGCTATCCAAATATCCACTTGCAGATTCTACAAAAAGATTGTTTCAAAACTGCTGTGTCAAGAGGAAGGTTCAACTCTGTTACTTGAGTACACACATCAAAAAGAAGTTTCTGAGAATGCTTGTTTCTGGTTTTTATGAGAAGATATTTCCTTTTTCACCATAGGTCTCAAAGCGCTGCAAATGTCCACTTCCAAATATTACAAAAAGAGTGTTTCAAACCTGCTCTATGAAGGGAAGTTTTCAAATCTGTGAGTGGAATGCAAACATCACAGAGAAGTTTCTGAGAATGCATCTGTCTTGAGTTTATATGAAGAAATTCCCGTTTCCAATGAAATCTTAAAATCTATCCAAATATCCACCTGCAGATTCTACAAAAGGAGTGCTTCCAAAATGCAATATCAAAACAAAGGTTCAAATGTGTTCGTTGAGAACACACATCACAAATAAGTTTCTGAGAATCCTTCTGTCTAGTTTTTATTTCAAGATATTTCCTTTCTCCCCATAGGCCTGAAAGCCCTTGAAATGTCCACTTCCAGATACTACAGAGTGTTTCAAACCTGCACTATGAAAAGGAATGTTCAATTCTGTGACTTGAATGCAAACATCAGAAAGAAGTTCCTGAGAATGCTTCTCTCTAGATTTTAAACGTAATCCCGTTTCCAACGAAATCCACAAAGCTATCCAATTATCCACTTTCAGATTGCACCAAAAGAGTGTTTTAAAACTGCTCTGTAAAAAGAAATGTTCAACGCTCTTAGTTGAATACACACATCTCAAACAAGTTTCTGAGAAGGCTTCCGTCTAGTTTTTACGGGAAGATATTTCCTTTTTCACCATAGGCCTCAAAGCGCTCGAAATCTCCACTTCCAGGGAGTGCAGAAAGAGTGTTTCAAACCTGCTCTATAAAAGAATATTTAACTCTGTGACTTGAATGCAAACATCACAGAGCAGTTTCTGACAATGCTTCCGTCTAGATTTTTTATGAAGATATTCCCGTTTCCAACGAAATCTTCAAAGCTATCTAAATATCAACTTGCAGATTCTACTAAAGGAATGTTTCCAAAATGCTGTATCCAAACAAAGGTTCAACTCTGTGAATTGAGGACATACAGCACAAAGAAGTTTCTGAGAATGCTCCTGTCTGGATTTTATAGGAAGATAACCCGTTTCCAACGAAATCCTCAAAGCTATCCAAATATCCACTTGCAGATTCTACCAAAAGAGTGTTTCAAAACTGCTCTGTCAAAAGGAAGGTTCAACACTGTTACTTGAGTACACACAACACAAAGAAGTTTCTGAGAATGCTTCTTTCTGGTTTTTATGAGAAGATATTTCCTTTTTCACCATAGGCCTCAAAGAGCTCGAAATGTCCGCTTCCAGGTAGGGCAGAAAGAGTGTTTCAAACCTGCTCTATGAAAGGACGTGTTCAACTCTACTGAGTTGAATGCAAACATCACAGAGATGTTTCCGAGAATGCTTCTGTCTTGATTTTATATGAAGCATATTCCGGTTTCCAACGAAATCTTCAAAGCTATCCAAATATCCACCTGCAGATTCTACAAAAGGAGTGTTTCCAAAATGCTGTATCAAAACAAAGGTTCAACTCTGTTAGTTGAGGACACACATCACAAATAAGTTTCTGAGAATGCTTCTGTCTACTTTTTATTTGAAGGTATTTCCTTTCTCTCCATAGGCCTGAAAGCGCTTGAAATGCCCACTTCCAGATACTAGAGAAAGAGTGTTTCAAACCTGCTCTATGAAAGGGAATGTTCAATTCTGTGACTTGAATGCAAACATCACAAAGAAGTTCCTGAGAATGCTTCTCTCTAGATATTATATGTCATCCCGTTTCCAACGAAATCCTCAAAGCTATCCAAATATCCACTTGCAGATTCTACAAAAAGAGTGTTTCAAAACTGCTCTGTCAAAAGGATGGTTCAACACTGTTACATGAGTACACACAACACAAAGAAGTTTCTGAGAATGCTTCTTTCTGGTTTATATGAGAAGATATTTCCTTTTTCACCATAGGACTCAAAGCGCTCGAAATGTCCTCTTCCAGGTAGTGCAGAAAGAGTGTTTCAAACCGGCTCTATGAAGGGAAGTGTTCAACTCCATGAACTGAATGCAAACATCACTGAGAAGTTTCTGAGAATGCTTCTGTTTGATTTTATATGAAGAAATTCCTGTTTCCAACGAAATCTTCAGAGCTATCCACATATCCACCTGCAGATTCTACAAAAGGAGTGTTTCCAAAATGCTGTATCAAAACCAAGGTTCAACTCTGTTAGTTGAGGACACACATCACAAATAAGTTTCTGAGAATGCTTCTGTCTAGATTTTATATGAAGATATCCCCTTTCCAACGAATCCCTCTAAGCTATCCAAATATCCACCTGCAGATTCTACAAAAAGAGTGTTTCCAAAATGCTGTATCAAAACAAAGTTTCAACTCTGTTAGTTGAGGACACACATCACAAATAAGTTTCTGAGGATGCTTCTGTCTAGTTTTTATTCGAAGATATTTCCTTTCTCACCATAGGCCTGAAAGCGCTTGAAATGTCCACTTCCAGATACTACAGAATGAGTGTTTCAAACCTGCTCTATAAAAGTGAATGTTCAATTCCGTGACTTCAATGCAAACATCAGAAAGAAGTTCCTGAGAATGCTTCTCTCTAGATTTTATACGTAATCCCGCTTCCAACGAAATCCTCAGAGCCATCCGAATATCCACTTTCTGATTCCACAAAAAGAGTGTTTTAAAACGGCTCTGTAAAAACAAAAGTTCAACTCTGTTAGTTGAATACACACATCACAAACAAGTTTCTGAGAATGCTTCTGTCTAGTTTTTATGGGAAGATATTTCCTTTTTCACCATAGGCCTCAAAGCGCTCGAAATGTCCGCTTCCAGATAGTGCAGAAAGAGTGTTTCAAACGTGCTCTATAAAAGGGAATATTCAACTCTGTGACTTGAATGGAAACATCACAAAGCAGTTTCTGAGAATGCTTCCCTCTAGATTTTATATGGAGATATTCCCTTTTCCAACGAAATCTTCAAATCTATCTAAATATCAACTTGCAGATTCTACTCAAGGAATGTTTCCAAAATGCTGTATCTAGGCAATGGTTCAACTCTGTTAATTGAGGACATACAGCACAAAGAAGTTTCTGAGAATGCTTCTGTCTAGATTTTATATGAAGATATCCCGTTTCCAACGAAATCCTCAAAGCTATCCAAATATCCACTTGCAGATTCTACAAAAAGATTGTTTCAAAACTGCTGTGTCAAGAGGAAGGTTCAACTCTGTTACTTGAGTACACACATCAAAAAGAAGTTTCTGAGAATGCTTGTTTCTGGTTTTTATGAGAAGATATTTCCTTTTTCACCATAGGCCTCAAAGCGCTGCAAATGTCCACTTCCAAATATTACAAAAAGAGTGTTTCAAACCTGCTCTATGAAAGGAAGTTTTCAACTCTATGAGTGGAATGCAAACATCACAGAGAAGTTTCTGAGAATGCATCTGTCTTGAGTTTCTATGCAGAAATTCCCGTTTCCAATGAAATCTTAAAATCTATCCAAATATCCACCTGCAGATTCTACAAAAGGAGTGTTTCCAAAATGCTGTATCAAAACAAAGGTTCAACTGTGTTCGCTTAGGACACACATCACAAATAAGTTTCTGAGAATCCTTCTGTCTAGTTTTTATTTGAAGATATTTCCTTTCTCCCCATAGGCCTGAAAGCGCTTGAAATGTCCACTTCCAGATACTACAGAAAGAGTGTTTCAAACCTGCACTCTGAAAAGGAATGTCAATTCTGTGACTTGAATGCAAACATCAGAAAGAAGTTCCTGAGAATGCTTCCCTCTAGATTTTATACGTCATCCCGTTTCCAACGAAATCCACAAAGCTATCCAATTATCCACTTTCAGATTCCACAAAAGAGTGTTTTAAAACTGCTCTGTAAAAAGAAATGTTCAACGCTCTTAGTTGAATACACACATCTCAAACAAGTTTCTGAGAAGGCTTCTGTCTAGTTTTTATGGGAAGATATTTCCTTTTAACCATAGGCCTCAAAGAGCTCGAAATATCCACTTCCAGGTAGTGCCGAAAGAGTGTTTCAAACCTACTCTATAAAAGGGAATATTCAACTCTGTGACTTGAATGCAAACATCACAAAGCAGTTTCTGAGAATGCTTCCGTCTAGATTTTCTATGAAGATATTCCCGTTTCCAACGAAATCTTCAAAGCTATCTAAATATCAACTTGCAGATTCTACTAAAGGAATGTCTCCAAAATGCTGTATCCAAACAAAGGTTCAGCTCTGTGAATTGAGGACATACAGCACAAAGAAGTTTCTGAGAATGCTCCTGTCTGGATTTTATAGGAAGATAACCCGTTTCCAACGAAATCCTCAAAGCTATCCAAATATCCACTTGCAGATTCTACCAAAAGAGTGTTTCAAAACTGCTCTGTCAAAAGGAAGGTTCAACACTGTTACTTGAGTACACACAACACAAAGAAGTTTCTGAGAATGCTTCTTTCTGGTTTCTATGAGAAGATATTTCCTTTTTCACCATAGGACTCAAAGCGCTCGAAATGTCCTCTTCCAGGTAGTGCAGAAAGAGTGTTTCAAACCTGCTCTATGAAAGGAAGTGTACAACTCCATGAGCTGAATGCAAACATCACTGAGAAGTTTCTGAGAATGCTTCTGTTTGATTTTATATGAAGAAATTCCCGTTTCCATCGAAATCTTCAGAGCTATCCACATATCCACCTGCAGATTCTACAAAAGGAGTGTTTCCAAAATGCTGTATCAAAACCAAGGTTCAACTCTGTTAGTTGAGGACACACATCACAAATAAGTTTCTGAGAATGCTTCTGTCTAGATTTTATATGAAGATATCCCCTTTCCAACGAATCCCTCTAAGCTATCCAAATATCCACCTGCAGATTCTACAAAAAGAGTGTTTCCAAAATGCTGTATCAAAACAAAGTTTCAACTCTGTTAGTTGAGGACACACATCACAAATAAGTTTGAGGATGCTTCTGTCTAGTTTTTATTCGAAGATATTTCCTTTCTCACCATAGGCCTGAAAGTGCTTGAAATGTCCACTTCCAGATACTACAGAATGAGTGTTTCAAACCTGCTCTATCAAAGTGAATGTTCAATTCTGTGACTTCAATGCAAACATCACAAAGAAGTTCCTGAGAATGCTTCTCTCTAGATTTTATACGTAATCCCGCTTCCAACGAAATCCTCAGAGCCATCCGAATATCCACTTTCTGATTCCACAAAAAGAGTGTTTTAAAACGGCTCTGTAAAAACAAAAGTTCAACTCTGTTAGTTGAATACACACATCACAAACAAGTTTCTGAGAATGCTTCTGTCTAGTTTTTATGGGAAGATATTTCCTTTTTCACCATAGGCCTCAAAGCGCTCGAAATGTCCACTTCCAGATAGCGCAGAAAGAGTGTTTCAAACGTGCTCTATAAAAGGGAATATTCAACTCTGTGACTTGAAAGGAAACATCACAAAGCAGTTTCTGAGAATGCTTCCCTCTAGATTTTATATGGAGATATTCCGTTTTCGAACGAAATCTTCAAATCTATCTAAATATCAACTTGCAGATTCTACTCAAGGAATGTTTCCAAAATGCTGTATGCAAGCAATGGTTCAACTCTGTTAATTGAGGTCATACAGCACAAAGAAGTTTCTGAGAATGCTTCTGTCTAGATTTTATATGAAGATATCCCGTTTCCAACGAAATCCTCAAAGCTATCCAAATATCCACTTGCAGATTCTACAAAAAGATTGTTTCAAAACTGCTGTGTCAAAAGGAAGGTTCAACTCTGTTACTTGAGTACACACATCAAAAAGAAGTTTCTGAGAATGCTTGTTTCTGGTTTTTATGAGAAGATATTTCCTTTTTCACCATAGGCCTCAAAGCGCTGCAAATGTCCACTTCCACATATTACAAAAAGAGTGTTTCAAACCTGCTCTATGAAAGGAAGTTTTCAACTCTATGAGTGGAATGCAAACATCACAGAGAAGTTTCTGAGAATGCATCTGTCTTGAGTTTATATGCAGAAATTCCCGTTTCCAACGAAATCTTAAAATCTATCCAAATATCCACCTGCAGATCCTACAAAAGGAGTGTTTCCAAAATGCTGTATCAAAACAAAGGTTCAACTGTGTTCGTTTAGGACACACATCACAAATAAGTTTCTGAGAATCCTTCTGTCTAGTTTTTATTTGAAGATATTTCCTTTCTCCCCGTAGGCCTGAAAGCGCTTGAAATGTCCACTTCCAGATACTACAGAAAGAGTGTGTTTCAAACCTGCACTCTGAAAAGGAATGTTCAATTCTGTGACTTGAATGCAAACATCAGAAAGAAGTTCCTGAGAATGCTTCTCTCTAGATTTTATACGTCATCCCGTTTCCAACGAAATCCACAAAGCTATCCAATTATCCACTTTCAGATTCCACAAAAAGAGTGTTTTAAAATTGCTCTGTAACAGAAATGTTCAACTCTGGTAGTTGAATACACACATCACAAACAAGTTTCTGAGACGGCTTCCGTCTAGTTTTTACGGGAAGATATTTCCTTTTTCAAAATAAGCCTCAAAGCGCTCGAAATCTCCACTTCCAGGGAGTGCAGAAAGAGTGTTTCAAACCTGCTCTATAAAAGAATATTTAACTCTGTGACTTGAATGCAAACATCACAGAGCAGTTTCTGACAATGCTTCCGTCTAGATTTTTTATGAAGATATTCCCGTTTCCAACGAAATCTTCAAATCTATCTAAATATCAACTTGCAGATTCTACTAAAGGAATGTTTCCAAAATGCTGTATCCAAGCAATGGTTCAACTCTGTTAATTGAGGACATACAGCACAAAGAAGTTTCTGAGAATGCTTCTGTCTAGATTTTATATGAAGATATCCCGTTTCCAACGAAATCCTCAAAGCTATCCAAATATCCACTTGCAGATTCTACAAAAAGATTGTTTCAAAACTGCTGTGTCAAAAGGAAGGTTCAACTCTGTTACTTGAGTACACACATCAAAAAGCAGTTTCTGAGAATGCTTGTTTCTGGTTTTTATGAGAAGATATTTCCTTTTTCACCATAGGCCTCAAAGCGCTGCAAATGTCCACATCCAAATATTACAAAAAGAGTGTTTCAAACCTGCTCTATGAAAGGAAGTTTTCAACTCTGTGAGTGGAATGCAAACATCACAGAGAAGTTTCTGAGAATGCATCTGTCTTGAGTTTATATGAAGAAATTCCCGTTTCCAATGAAATCTTAAAATCTATCCAAATATCCACCTGCAGATTCTACAAAAGAGTGCTTCCAAAATGCTATATCAAAACAAAGGTTCAACTGTGTTCGTTGAGAACACACATCACAAATAAGTTTCTGAGAATCCTTCTCTCTAGTTTTTATTTGAAGATATTTCCTTTCTCCCTGTAGGCCTGAAAGCGCTTGAAATGTCCACTTCCAGATACTACAGAAAGAGTGTTTCAAACCTGCACTCTGAAAAGGAATGTTCAATTCTGTGACTTGAATGCAAACATCAGAAAGAAGTTCCTGAGAATGCTTCTCTCTAGATTTTATACGTCATCCCGTTTCCAACGAAATCCACAAAGCTATCCAATTATCCACTTTCAGATTCCACAAAAAGAGTGTTTTGAATTGCTCTGTAACAGAAATGTTCAACTCTGTTAGTTGAATACACACATCACAAACAAGTTTCTGAGACGGCTTCTGTCTAGTTTTTATGGGAAGATATTTCCTTTTAACCATAGGCCTCAAAGAGCTCGAAATATCCACTTCCAGGTAGTGCCGAAAGAGTGTTTCAAACCTACTCTATAAAAGGGAATATTCAACTCTGTGACTTGAATGCAAACATCACAAAGCAGTTTCTGAGAATGCTTCCGTCTACATTTTCTATGAAGCTATTCCCGTTTCCAACGAAATCTTCAAAGCTATCTAAATATGAACTTGCAGATTTTACTAAAGGAATGTTTCCAAAATGCTGTATCCAAACAAAGGTTCAGCTCTGTGAATTGAGGACATATAGCACAAAGAAGTTTCTGAGAATGCTCCTGTCTGGATTTTACATGAAGATAACCTGTTTCCAACGAAATCCTCAAAGCTATCCAAATATCCACTTGCAGATTCTACCAAAAGAGTGTTTCAAAACTGCTCTGTCAAAAGGAAGGTTCAACACTGTTACTTGAGTACACACAACACAAAGAAGTTTCTGAGAATGCTTCTTTCTGGTTTTTATGAGAAGATATTTCCTTTTTCACCATAGGCCTCAAAGCGCTCGAAATGTCCGCTTCCAGGTAGTGCAGAAAGAGTGTTTCAAACCTGCTCTATGAAAGGAAGTGTTCAACTCTACTGAGTTGAATGCAAACATCACAGAGATGTTTCCGAGAATGCTTCTGTCTTGATTTTATATGAAGATATTCCGGTTTCCAACGAAATCTTCAAAGCTATCCAAATATCCACCTGCAGATTCTACAAAAGGAGTGTTTCCAAAATGCTGTATCAAAACAAAGGTTCAACTCTGTTAGTTGAGGACACACATCACAAATAAGTTTACTGAGAATGCTTTCTGTCTAGTTTTTATTTGAAGGTATTTCCTTTCTCTCCATAGGCCTGAAAGCGCTTGAAATGCCCACTTCCAGATACTAGAGAAAGAGTGTTTCAAACCTGCTCTATGAAAGGGAATGTTCAATTCTGTGACTTGAATGCAAACATCACAAAGAAGTTCCTGAGAATGCTTCTCTCTAGATTTTATACGTAATCCCGCTTCCAACGAAATCCTCAGAGCCATCCGAATATCCACTTTCTGATTCCACAAAAAGAGTGTTTTAAAACGGCTCTGTAAAAACAAAAGTTCAACTCTGTTAGTTGAATACACACATCACAAACAAGTTTCTGAGAATGCTTCTGTCTAGTTTTTATGGGAAGATATTTCCTTTTTCACCATAGGCCTCAAAGCGCTCGAAATGTCCGCTTCCAGATAGTGCAGAAAGAGTGTTTCAAACGTGCTCTATAAAAGGGAATATTCAACTCTGTGACTTGAATGGAAACATCACAAAGCAGTTTCTGAGAATGCTTCCCTCTAGATTTTATATGGAGATATTCCCGTTTCCAACGAAATCTTCAAATCTATCTAAATATCAACTTGCAGATTCTACTCAAGGAATGTTTCCAAAATGCTGTATCCAGGCAATGGTTCAACTCTGTTAATTGAGGACATACAGCACAAAGAAGTTTCTGAGAATGCTTCTGTCTAGATTTTATATGAAGATATCCCGTTTCCAACGAAATCCTCAAAGCTATCCAAATATCCACTTGCAGATTCTACAAAAAGATTGTTTCAAAACTGCTGTGTCAAAAGGAAGGTTCAACTCTGTTACTTGAGTACACACATCAAAAAGAAGTTTCTGAGAATGCTTGTTTCTGGTTTTTATGAGAAGATATTTCCTTTTTCACCATAGGCCTCACAGCGCTGCAAATGTCCACTTCCAAATATTACAAAAAGAGTGTTTCAAACCTGCTCTATGAAAGGAAGTTTTCAACTCTATGAGTGGAATGCAAACATCACAGAGAAGTTTCTGAGAATGCATCTGTCTTGAGTTTATATGCAGAAATTCCCGTTTCCAACGAAATCTTAAAATCTATCCAAATATCCACCTGCAGATCCTACAAAAGGAGTGTTTCCAAAATGCTGTATCAAAACAAAGGTTCAACTGTGTTCGTTTAGGACACACATCACAAATAAGTTTCTGAGAATCCTTCTGTCTAGTTTTTATTTGAAGATATTTCCTTTCTCCCCGTAGGCCTGAAAGCGCTTGAAATGTCCACTTCCAGATACTACAGAAAGAGTGTTTCAAACCTGCACTCTGAAAAGGAATGTTCAATTCTGTGACTTGAATGCAAACATCAGAAAGAAGTTCCTGAGAATGCTTCTCTCTAGATTTTATACGTCATCCCGTTTCCAACGAAATCCACAAAGCTATCCAATTATCCACTTTCAGATTCCACAAAAAGAGTGTTTTAAATTGCTCTGTAACAGAAATGTTCAACTCTGTTAGTTGAATACACACATCACAAACAAGTTTCTGAGACGGCTTCTGTCTAGTTTTTATGGGAAGATATTTCCTTTTAACCATAGGCCTCAAAGAGCTCGAAATATCCACTTCCAGGTAGTGCCGAAAGAGTGTTTCAAACCTACTCTATAAAAGGGAATATTCAACTCTGTGACTTGAATGCAAACATCACAAAGCAGTTTCTGAGAATGCTTCCGTCTAGATTTTCTATGAAGATATTCCCGTTTCCAACGAAATCTTCAAAGCTATCTAAATATCAACTTGCAGATTCTACTAAAGGAATGTCTCCAAAATGCTGTATCCAAACAAAGGTTCAGCTCTGTGAATTGAGGACATACAGCACAAAGAAGTTTCTGAGAATGCTCCTGTCTGGATTTTATAGGAAGATAACCCGTTTCCAACGAAATCCTCAAAGCTATCCAAATATCCACTTGCAGATTCTACCAAAAGAGTGTTTCAAAACTACTCTGTCAAAAGGAAGGTTCAACACTGTTACTTGAGTACACACAACACAAAGAAGTTTCTGAGAATGCTTCTTTCTGGTTTTTATGAGAAGATATTTCCTTTTTCACCATAGGCCTCAAAGCGCTCGAAATGTCCGCTTCCAGGTAGTGCAGAAAGAGTGTTTCAAACCTGCTCTATGAAAGGAAGTGTTCAACTCTACTGAGTTGAATGCAAACATCACAGAGATGTTTCCGAGAATGCTTCTGTCTTGATTTTATATGAAGATATTCCGGTTTCCAACGAAATCTTCAAAGCTATCCAAATATCCACCTGCAGATTCTACAAAAGGAGTGTTTCCAAAATGCTGTATCAAAACAAAGGTTCAACTCTGTTAGTTGAGGACACACATCACAAATAAGTTTCTGAGAATGCTTCTGTCTAGTTTTCATTTGAAGGTATTTCCTTTCTCTCCATAGGCCTGAAAGCGCTTGAAATGCCCACTTCCAGATACTAGAGAAAGAGTGTTTCAAACCTGCTCTATGAAAGGGAATGTTCAATTCTGTGACTTGAATGCAAACATCACAAAGAAGTTCCTGAGAATGCTTCTCTCTAGATATTATATGTCATCCCGTTTCCAACGAAATCCTCAAAGCTATCCAAATATCCACTTGCAGATTCTACAAAAAGAGTGTTTCAAAACTGCTCTGTCAAAAGGATGGTTCAACACTGTTACATGAGTACACACAACACAAAGAAGTTTCTGAGAATGCTTCTTTCTGGTTTCTATGAGAAGATATTTCCTTATTCACCATAGGACTCAAAGCGCTCGAAATGTCCTCTTCCAGGTAGTGCAGAAAGAGTGTTTCAAACCTGCTCTATGAAAGGAAGTGTTCAACTCCATGAACTGAATGCAAACATCACTGAGAAGTTTCTGAGAATGCTTCTGTTTGATTTTATATGAAGAAATTCCCGTTTCCAACGAAATCTTTAGAGCTATCCACATATCCACCTGCAGATTCTACAAAAGGAGTGTTTCCAAAATGCTGTATCAAAACCAAGGTTCAACTCTGTTAGTTGAGGACACACATCACAAATAAGTTTCTGAGAATGCTTCTGTCTAGATTTTATATGAAGATATCCCCTTTCCAAAGAATCCCTCTAAGCTATCCAAATATCCACCTGCAGATTCTACAAAAAGAGTGTTTCCAAAATGCTGTATCAAAACAAAGTTTCAACTCTGTTAGTTGAGGACACACATCACAAATAAGTTTCTGAGGATGCTTCTGTCTAGTTTTTATTCGAAGATATTTCCTTTCTCACCATAGGCCTGAAAGCGCTTGAAATGTCCACTTCCAGATACTACAGAATGAGTGTTTCAAACCTGCTCTATCAAAGTGAATGTTCAATTCTGTGACTTCAATGCAAACATCACAAAGAAGTTCCTGAGAATGCTTCTCTCTAGATTTTATATGTAATCCCGCTTCCAACGAGGTCCTCAAAGCCATCCGAATATCCACTTTCTGATTCCACAAAAAGATTGTCTTAAAACTGCTCCGTAAAAACAAAAGTTCAAGTCTGTTAGTTGAATACACACATCACAAACAAGATTCTGAGAATGCTTCTGTCTAGTTTTTATGGGAAGATATTTCCTTTTTCACCATAGGCCTCATAGCGCTCGAAATGTCCACTTCCAGATAGTGCAGAAAGAGTGTTTCAAACGTGCTCTATAAAAGAGAATATTCAACTCTCTGACTTGAATGGAAACATCACAAAGCAGTTTCTGAGAATGCCTCCGTCTAGATTTTATATGAAGATATTCCCGTTTCCAACGAAATCTTCAAATCTATCTAAATATCAACTTGCAGATTCTACTAAAGGAATGTTTCCAAAATGCTGTATCCAAGCAATGGTTCAACTCTGTTAATTGAGGACATACAGCACAAAGAAGTTTCTGAGAATGCTTCTGTCTAGATTTTATATGAAGATATCCCGTTTCCAACGAAATCCTCAAAGCTATCCAAATATCCACTTGCAGATTCTACAAAAAGATTGTTTCAAAACTGCTGTGTCAAAAGGAAGGTTCAACTCTGTTACTTGAGTACACACATCAAAAAGCAGTTTCTGAGAATGCTTGTTTCTGGTTTTTATGAGAAGATATTTCCTTTTTCACCATAGGTCTCAAAGCGCTGCAAATGTCCACTTCCAAATATTACAAAAAGAGTGTTTCAAACCTGCTCTATGAAGGGAAGTTTTCAAATCTGTGAGTGGAATGCAAACATCACAGAGAAGTTTCTGAGAATGCATCTGTCTTGAGTTTATATGAAGAAATTCCCGTTTCCAATGAAATCTTAAAATCTATCCAAATATCCACCTGCAGATTCTACAAAAGGAGTGTTTCCAAAATGCTGTATCAAAACAAAGGTTCAACTGTGTTCGTTTAGGACACACATCACAAATAAGTTTCTGAGAATCCTTCTGTCTAGTTTTTATTTGAAGATATTTCCTTTCTCCCCACAGGCCTGAAAGCGCTTGAAATGTCCACTTCCAGATACTACAGAAAGAGTGTTTCAAACCTGCACTATGAAAAGGAATGTTCAATTCTGTGACTTGAATGCAAACATCAGAAAGAAGTTCCTGAGAATGCTTCTCTCTAGATTTTATACGTCATCCCGTTTCCAACGAAATCCACAAAGCTATCCAATTATCCACTTTCAGATTCCACAAAAAGAGTGTTTTAAAACTGCTCTGTAAAAAGAAATGTTCAACGCTCTTAGTTGAATACACACATCTCAAACAAGTTTCTGAGAAGGCTTCCGTCTAGTTTTTATGGGAAGATATTTCCTTTTTCACCTTAGGCCTCAAAGCGCTCGAAATCTCCACTTCCAGGGAGTGCAGAAAGAGTGTTTCAAACCTGCTCTGTAAAAGAATATTTAACTCTGTGACTTGAATGCAAACATCACAAAGCAGTTTCTGACAATGCTTCCGTCTAGATTTTTTATGAAGATATTCCCGTTTCCAACGAAATCTTCAAAGCTATCTAAATATCAACTTGCAGATTCTACTAAAGGAATGTTTCCAAAATGCTGTATCCAAACAAAGGTTCAACTCTGTGAATTGAGGACATACAGCACAAAGAAGTTTCTGAGAATGCTTCTGTCTAGATTTAATATGAAGATAACCCGTTTCCAACGAAATCCTCAAAGCTATCCAAATATCCACTGGCAGATTCTACAAAAAGAGTGTTTCAAAACTGCTCTGTCAAAAGGATGGTTCAACACTGTTACATGAGTACACGCAACACAAAGAAGTTTCTGAGAACGCTTCTTTCTGGTTTTTATGAGAAGATATTTCCTTTTTCACCATAGGACTCAAAGCGCTTGATATGTCCACTTCCTGGTAGTGCAGAAAGAGTGTTTCAAACCTAATCTATGAAAGGAAGTGTTCAACTCCATGAGCTGAATGCAAACATCACAGAGAAGTTTCTGAGAACGCTTCTGTTTGATTTTATATGAAGAAATTCCCGTTTCCAACGAAATCTTCAGAGCTCTCCTCATATCCACCTGCAGATTCTACAAAAGGAGTGTTTCCAAAATGCTGTATCAAAACCAAGGTTCAACTCTGTTAGTTGAGGACACACATCACAAATAAGTTTCTGAGAATGCTTCTGTCTAGATTTTATATGAAGATATCCCCTTTCCAACGAATCCCTCTAAGCTATCCAAATATCCACCTGCAGATTCTACAAAAAGAGTGTTTCCAAAATGCTGTATCAAAACAAAGTTTCAACTCTGTTAGTTGAGGACACACATCACAAATAAGTTTGAGGATGCTTCTGTCTAGTTTTTATTCGAAGATATTTCCTTTCTCACCATAGGCCTGAAAGCGCTTGAAATGTCCACTTCCAGATACTACAGAATGAGTGTTTCAAACCTGCTCTATCAAAGTGAATGTTCAATTCTGTGACTTCAATGCAAACATCACAAAGAAGTTCCTGAGAATGCTTCTCTCTAGATTTTATATGTAATCCCGCTTCCAACGAAATCCTCAAAGCCATCCGAATATCCACTTTCTGATTCCACAAAAAGATTGTGTTAAAACTGCTCTGTAAAAACAAAAGTTCAAGTCTGTTAGTTGAATACACACATCATAAACAAGTTTCTGAGAATGCTTCCGTCTAGTTTTTATGGGAAGATATTTCCTTTTTCACCACAGGCCTCAAAGCGCTCGAAATCTCCACTTCCAGGGAGTGCAGAAAGAGTGTTTCAAACCTGCTCTGTAAAAGAATATTTAACTCTGTGACTTGAATGCAAACATCACAAAGCAGTTTCTGACAATGCTTCCGTCTAGATTTTTTATGAAGATATTCCCGTTTCCAACGAAATCTTCAAAGCTATCTAAATATCAACTTGCAGATTCTACTAAAGGAATGTTTCCAAAATGCTGTATCCAAACAAAGGTTCAACTCTGTGAATTGAGGACATACAGCACAAAGAAGTTTCTGAGAATGCTTCTGTCTAGATTTAATATGAAGATAACCCGTTTCCAACGAAATCCTCAAAGCTATCCAAATATCCACTGGCAGATTCTACAAAAAGAGTGTTTCAAAACTGCTCTGTCAAAAGGATGGTTCAACACTGTTACATGAGTACACACAACACAAAGAAGTTTCTGAGAACGCTTCTTTCTGGTTTTTATGAGAGGATATTTCCTTTTTCACCATAGGCCTCAAAGCGCTCGAAATGTCCACTTCCAGGTAGTGCAGAAAGAGTGTTTCAAACCTGCTCTATGTAAGGAAGTGTTCAACTCCATGAGCTGAATGCAAACATCACTGAGAAGTTCCTGAGAATGCTTCTGTTTGATTTTATATGAAGAAATTCCCGTTTCCAACGAAATCTTCAAAGCTATCCACATATCCACCTGCAGATTCTTCAAAAGGAGTGTTTCCAAAATGCTGTATCAAAACCAAGGTTCAACTCTGTTAGTTGAGGACACACATCACAAATAAGTTTCTGAGAATGCTTCTGTCTAGATTTTATATGAAGATATCCCCTTTCCAACGAATCCCTCTAAGCTATCCAAATATCCACCTGCAGATTCTACAAAAAGAGTGTTTCCAAAATGCTGTATCAAAACAAAGTTTCAACTCTGTTAGTTGAGGACACACATCACCAATTAGTTTGAGGATGCTTCTGTCTAGTTTTTATTCGAAGATATTTCCTTTCTCACCATAGGCCTGAAAGCGCTTGAAATGTCCACTTCCAGATACTACAGAATGAGTGTTTCAAACCTGCTCTATCAAAGTGAATGTTCAATTCTGTGACTTCAATGCAAACATCACAAAGAAGTTCCTGAGAATGCTTCTCTCTAGATTTTATACGTAATCCCGCTTCCAACGAAATCCTCAGAGCCATCCGAATATCCACTTTCTGATTCCACAAAAAGAGTGTTTTAAAACGGCTCTGTAAAAACAAAAGTTCAACTCTGTTAGTTGAATACACACATCACAAACAAGTTTCTGAGAATGCTTCTGTCTAGTTTTTATGGGAAGATATTTCCTTTTTCACCATAGGCCTCAAAGCGCTCGAAATGTCCGCTTCCAGATAGTGCAGAAAGAGTGTTTCAAACGTGCTCTATAAAAGGGAATATTCAACTCTGTGACTTGAATGGAAACATCACAAAGCAGTTTCTGAGAATGCTTCCCTCTAGATTTTATATGGAGATATTCCCTTTTCCAACGAAATCTTCAAATCTATCTAAATATCAACTTGCAGATTCTACTCAAGGAATGTTTCCAAAATGCTGTATCCAAGCAATGGTTCAACTCTGTTAATTGAGGACATACAGCACAAAGAAGTTTCTGAGAATGCTTCTGTCTAGATTTTATACGAAGATATCCCGTTTCCAACGAAATCCTCAAAGCTATCCAAATATCCACTTGCAGATTCTACAAAAAGATTGTTTCAAAACTGCTGTGTCAAAAGGAAGGTTCAACTCTGTTACTTGAGTACACACATCAAAAAGCAGTTTCTGAGAATGCTTGTTTCTGGTTTTTATGAGAAGATATTTCCTTTTTCACCATAGGCCTCAAAGCGCTGCAAATGTCCACTTCCAAATATTACAAAAAGAGTGTTTCAAACCTGCTCTATGAAAGGAAGTTTTCAACTCTGTGAGTGGAATGCAAACATCACAGAGAAGTTTCTGAGAATGCATCTGTCTTGAGTTTATATGAAGAAATTCCCGTTTCCAATGAAATCTTAAAATCTATCCAAATATCCACCTGCAGATTCTACAAAAGGAGTGCTTCCTAAATGCTGTATCAAAACAAAGGTTCAACTGTAATCGTTTAGGACACACATCACAAATAAGTTTCTGAGAATCCTTCTGTCTAGTTTTTATTTGAAGATATTTCCTTCCTCCCCCAGAGGCCTGAAAGCGCTTCAAATGTCCCCTTCCAGATACTACAGAAAGAGTGTTTCAAACCTGCACTATGAAAAGGAATGTTCAATTCTGTGACTTGAATGCAAACATCAGAAAGAAGTTCCTGAGAATGCTTCTCTCTAGATTTTATACGTCATCCCGTTTCCAACGAAATCCACAAAGCTATCCAATTATCCACTTTCAGATTCCACAAAAAGAGTGTTTTAAAATTGCTCTGTAACAGAAATGTTCAACTCTGGTAGTTGAATACACACATCACAAACAAGTTTCTGAGACGGCTTCTGTCTAGTTTTTATGGGAAGATATTTCCTTTTAACCATAGGCCTCAAAGAGCTCGAAATATCCACTTCCAGGTAGTGCCGAAAGAGTGTTTCAAACCTACTCTATAAAAGGGAATATTCAACTCTGTGACTTGAATGCAAACATCACAAAGCAGTTTCTGAGAATGCTTCCGTCTAGATTTTCTATGAAGATATTCCCGTTTCCAACGAAATCTTCAAAGCTATCTAAATATCAACTTGCAGATTCTACTAAAGGAATGTCTCCAAAATGCTGTATCCAAACAAAGGTTCAGCTCTGTGAATTGAGGACATACAGCACAAAGAAGTTTCTGAGAATGCTCCTGTCTGGATTTTATAGGAAGATAACCCGTTTCCAACGAAATCCTCAAAGCTATCCAAATATCCACTTGCAGATTCTACCAAAAGAGTGTTTCAAAACTACTCTGTCAAAAGGAAGGTTCAACACTGTTACTTGAGTACACACAACACAAAGAAGTTTCTGAGAATGCTTCTTTCTGGTTTTTATGAGAAGATATTTCCTTTTTCACCATAGGCCTCAAAGCGCTCGAAATGTCCACTTCCAGGTAGTGCAGAAAGAGTGTTTCAAACCTGCTCTATGAAAGGAAGTGTTCAACTCTACTGAGTTGAATGCAAACATCACAGAGATGTTTCCGAGAATGCTTCTGTCTTGATTTTATATGAAGATATTCCGGTTTCCAACGAAATCTTCAAAGCTATCCAAATATCCACCTGCAGATTCTACAAAAGGAGTGTTTCCAAAATGCTGTATCAAAACAAAGGTTCAACTCTGTTAGTTGAGGACACACATCACAAATAAGTTTCTGAGAATGCTTCTGTCTAGTTTTTATTTGAAGGTATTTCCTTTCTCTCCATAGGCCTGAAAGCGCTTGAAATGCCCACTTCCAGATACTAGAGAAAGAGTGTTTCAAACCTGCTCTATGAAAGGGAATGTTCAATTCTGTGACTTGAATGCAAACATCACAAAGAAGTTCCTGAGAATGCTTCTCTCTAGATATTATATGTCATCCCGTTTCCAACGAAATCCTCAAAGCTATCCAAATATCCACTTGCAGATTCTACAAAAAGAGTGTTTCAAAACTCCTCTGTCAAAAGGATGGTTCAACACTGTTACATGAGTACACACAACACAAAGAAGTTTCTGAGAATGCTTCTTTCTGGTTTCTATGAGAAGATATTTCCTTTTTCACCATAGGACTCAAAGCGCTTGAAATGTCCTCTTCCAGGTAGTGCAGAAAGAGTGTTTCAAACCTGCTCTATGAAAGGAAGTGTACAACTCCATGAGCTGAATGCAAACATCACTGAGAAGTTTCTGAGAATGCTTCTGTTTGATTTTATATGAAGAAATTCCCGTTTCCAACGAAATCTTCAGAGCTATCCACATATCCACCTGCAGATTCTACAAAAGGAGTGTTTCCAAAATGCTGTATCAAAACCAAGGTTCAACTCTGTTAGTTGAGGACACACATCACAAATAAGTTTCTGAGAATGCTTCTGTCTAGATTCTATATGAAGATATCCCCTTTCCAACGAATCCCTCTAAGCTATCCAAATATCCACCTGCAGATTCTACAAAAAGAGTGTTTCCAAAATGCTGTATCAAAACAAAGTTTCAACTCTGTTAGTTGAGGACACACATCACAAATAAGTTTGAGGATGCTTCTGTCTAGTTTTTATTCGAAGATATTTCCTTTCTCACCATAGGCCTGAAAGCGCTTGAAATGTCCACTTCCAGATACTACAGAATGAGTGTTTCAAACCTGCTCTATCAAAGTGAATGTTCAATTCTGTGACTTCAATGCAAACATCACAAAGAAGTTCCTGAGAATGCTTCTCTCTAGATTTTATATGTAATCCCGCTTCCAACGAAATCCTCAGAGCCATCCGAATATCCACTTTCTGATTCCACAAAAAGAGTGTTTTAAAACGGCTCTGTAAAAACAAAAGTTCAACTCTGTTAGTTGAATACACACATCACAAACAAGTTTCTGAGAATGCTTCTGTCTAGTTTTTATGGGAAGATATTTCCTTTTTCACCATAGGCCTCAAAGCGCTCGAAATGTCCACTTCCAGATAGTGCAGAAAGATTGTTTCAAACGTGCTCTATAAAAGGGAATATTCAACTCTGTGACTTGAATGGAAACATCATAAAGCAGTTTCTGAGAATGCTTCCCTCTAGATTTTATATGGAGATATTCCCTTTTCCAACGAAATCTTCAAATCTATCTAAATATCAACTTGCAGATTCTACTCAAGGAATGTTTCCAAAATGCTGTATCCAAGCAATGGTTCAACTCTGTTAATTGAGGACATACAGCACAAAGAAGTTTCTGAGAATGCTTCTGTCTAGATTTTATATGAAGATATCCCGTTTCCAACGAAATCCTCAAAGCTATCCAAATATCCACTTGCAGATTCTACAAAAAGATTGTTTCAAAACTGCTGTGTCAAAAGGAAGGTTCAACTCTGTTACTTGAGTACACACATCAAAAAGAAGTTTCTGAGAATGCTTGTTTCTGGTTTTTATGAGAAGATATTTCCTTTTTCACCATAGGCCTCAAAGCGCTGCAAATGTCCACTTCCAAATATTACAAAAAGAGTGTTTCAAACCTGCTCTATGAAAGGAAGTTTTCAACTCTATGAGTGGAATGCAAACATCACAGAGAAGTTTCTGAGAATGCATCTGTCTTGAGTTTATATGCAGAAATTCCCGTTTCCAACGAAATCTTAAAATCTATCCAAATATCCACCTGCAGATCCTACAAAAGGAGTGTTTCCAAAATGCTGTATCAAAACAAAGGTTCAACTGTGTTCGTTTAGGACACACATCACAAATAAGTTTCTGAGAATCCTTCTGTCTAGTTTTTATTTGAAGATATTTCCTTTCTCCCCGTAGGCCTGAAAGCGCTTGAAATGTCCACTTCCAGATACTACAGAAAGAGTGTGTTTCAAACCTGCACTCTGAAAAGGAATGTTCAATTCTGTGACTTGAATGCAAACATCAGAAAGAAGTTCCTGAGAATGCTTCTCTCTAGATTTTATACGTCATCCCGTTTCTAACGAAATCCACAAAGCTACCCAAATATCCACTTTCAGATTCCACAAAAAGAGTGTTTTAAAATTGCTCTGTAACAGAAATGTTCAACTCTGTTAGTTGAATACACACATCACAAACAAGTTTCTGAGACGGCTTCTGTCTAGTTTTTATGGGAAGATATTTCCTTTTAACCATAGGCCTCAAAGAGCTCGAAATATCCACTTCCAGGTAGTGCCGAAAGAGTGTTTCAAACCTACTCTATAAAAGGGAATATTCAACTCTGTGATTTGAATGCAAACATCACAAAGCAGTTTCTGAGAAAGCTTCCGTCTAGATTTTCTATGAAGATATTCCCGTTTCCAACGAAATCTTCAAAGCTATCTAAATATCAACTTGCAGATTCTACTAAAGGAATGTCTCCAAAATGCTGTATCCAAACAAAGGTTCAGCTCTGTGAATTGAGGACATACAGCACAAAGAAGTTTCTGAGAATGCTCCTGTCTGGATTTTATATGAAGATAACCCGTTTCCAACGAAATCCTCAAAGCTATCCAAATATCCACTTGCAGATTCTACCAAAAGAGTGTTTCAAAACTGCTCTGTCAAAAGGAAGGTTCAACACTGTTACTTGAGTACACACAACACAAAGAAGTTTCTGAGAATGCTTCTTTCTGGTTTTTATGAGAAGATATTTCCTTTTTCACCATAGGCCTCAAAGCGCTCGAAATGTCCGCTTCCAGGTAGTGCAGAAAGAGTGTTTCAAACCTGCTCTATGAAAGGAAGTGTTCAACTCTACTGAGTTGAATGCAAACATCACAGAGATGTTTCCGAGAATGCTTCTGTCTTGATTTTATATGAAGATATTCCGGTTTCCAACGAAATCTTCAAAGCTATCCAAATATCCACCTGCAGATTCTACAAAAGGAGTGTTTCCAAAATGCTGTATCAAAACAAAGGTTCAACTCTGTTAGTTGAGGACACACATCACAAATAAGTTTACTGAGAATGCTTTCTGTCTAGTTTTTATTTGAAGGTATTTCCTTTCTCTCCATAGGCCTGAAAGCACTTGAAATGCCCACTTCCAGATACTAGAGAAAGAGTGTTTCAAACCTGCTCTATGAAAGGGAATGTTCAATTCTGTGACTTGAATGCAAACATCACAAAGAAGTTCCTGAGAATGCTTCTCTCTAGATATTATATGTCATCCCGTTTCCAACGAAATCCTCAAAGCTATCCAAATATCCACTTGCAGATTCTACAAAAAGAGTGTTTCAAAACTGCTCTGTCAAAAGGATGGTTCAACACTGTTACATGAGTACACACAACACAAAGAAGTTTCTGAGAATGCTTCTTTCTGGTTTCTATGAGAAGATATTTCCTTTTTCACCATAGGACTCAAAGCGCTCGAAATGTCCTCTTCCAGGTAGTGCAGAAAGAGTGTTTCAAACCTGCTCTATGAAAGGAAGTGTACAACTCCATGAGCTGAATGCAAACATCACTGAGAAGTTTCTGAGAATGCTTCTGTTTGATTTTATATGAAGAAATTCCCGTTTCCAACGAAATCTTCAGAGCTATCCACATATCCACCTGCAGATTCTACAAAAGGAGTGTTTCCAAAATGCTGTATCAAAACCAAGGTTCAACTCTGTTAGTTGAGGACACACATCACAAATAAGTTTCTGAGAATGCTTCTGTCTAGATTTTATATGAAGATATCCCCTTTCCAACGAATCCCTCTAAGCTATCCAAATAGCCACCTGCAGATTCTACAAAAGGAGTGTTTCCAAAAGCCTGTATCAAAACAAAGTTTCAACTCTGTTAGTTGAGGACACACATCACAAATAAGTTTCTGAGGATGCTTCTGTCTAGTTTTTATTTGAAGATATTTCCTTTCTCCCCATAGGCCTGAAAGCGCTAGAATTGTCCGCTTCCAGATACTACAGAATGAGTGTTTCAAACCTGCTCTATCAAAGTGAATGTTCAATTCTGTGACATCAATGCAAACATCACAAAGTAGTTCCTGAGAATGCTTCTCTCTAGATTTTATATGTAATCCCGCTTCCAACGAAGTCCTCAAAGCCATCCGAATATCCACTTTCTGATTCCACAAAAGGATTGTTTTAAAACTGCTCTGTAAAAACAAAAGTTCAAGTCTGTTAGTTGAATACACACATCACAAACAAGTTTCTGAGAATGCTTCTGTCTAGTTTTTATGGGAAGATATTTCCTTTTTCACCATAGGCCTCAAAGCGCTCGAAATGTCCACTTCCAGATAGTGCAGAAAGAGTGTTTCAAACGTGCTCTTTAAAAGAGAATATTCAACTCTGTGACTTGAATGGAAACATCACAAAGCAGTTTCTGAGAATGCCTCCATCTAGATTTTATATGAAGATATTCCCGTTTCCAACGAAATCTTCAAATCTATCTAAATATCAACTTGCAGATTCTACTAAAGGAATGTTTCCAAAATACTGTATCCAAGCAATGGTTCAACTCTGTTAATTGAGGACATACAGCACAAAGAAGTTTCTGAGAATGCTTCTGTCTAGATTTTATATGAAGATATCCCGTTTCCAACGAAATCCTCAAAGCTATCCAAATATCCACTTGCAGATTCTACAAAAAGATTGTTTCAAAACTGCTGTGTCAAAAGGAAGGTTCAACTCTGTTACTTGAGTACACACATCAAAAAGAAGTTTCTGAGAATGCTTGTTTCTGGTTTTTATGAGAAGATATTTCCTTTTTCACCATAGGCCTCAAAGCGCTGCAAATGTCCACTTCCAAATATTACAAAAAGAGTGTTTCAAACCTGCTCTATGAAAGGAAGTTTTCAACTCTATGAGTGGAATGCAAACATCACAGAGAAGTTTCTGAGAATGCATCTGTCTTGAGTTTATATGCAGAAATTCCCGTTTCCAACGAAATCTTAAAATCTATCCAAATATCCACCTGCAGATCCTACAAAAGGAGTGTTTCCAAAATGCTGTATCAAAACAAAGGTTCAACTGTGTTCGTTTAGGACACACATCACAAATAAGTTTCTGAGAATCCTTCTGTCTAGTTTTTATTTCAAGATATTTCCTTTCTCCCCATAGGCTTGAAAGCGCTTGAAATGTCCACTTCCAGATACTACAGAGTGTTTCAAACCTGCACTATGAAAAGGAATGTTCAATTCTGTGACTTGAATGCAAACATCAGAAAGAAGTTCCTGAGAATGCTTCTCTCTAGATTTTATACGTCATCCCGTTTCCAACGAAATCCACAAAGCTATCCAATTATCCACTTTCAGATTCCACAAAGAGTGTTTTAAAATTGCTCTGTAACAGAAATGTTCAACTCTGGTAGTTGAATACACACATCACAAACAAGTTTCTGAGACGGCTTCTGTCTAGTTTTTATGGGAAGATATTTCCTTTTAACCATAGGCCTCAAAGAGCTCGAAATATCCACTTCCAGGTAGTGCCGAAAGAGTGTTTCAAACCTACTCTATAAAAGGGAATATTCAACTCTGTGACTTGAATGCAAACATCACAAAGCAGTTTCTGAGAATGCTTCCGTCTAGCATTTTCTATGAAGATATTCCCGTTTCCAACGAAATCTTCAAAGCTATCTAAATATCAACTTGCAGATTCTACTAAAGGAATGTCTCCAAAATGCTGTATCCAAACAAAGGTTCAGCTCTGTGAATTGAGGACATACAGCACAAAGAAGTTTCTGAGAATGCTCCTGTCTGGATTTTATATGAAGATAACCCGTTTCCAATGAAATCCTCAAAGCTATCCAAATATCCACTTGCAGATTCTACCAAAAGAGTGTTTCAAAACTGCTCTGTCAAAAGGAAGGTTCAACACTGTTACTTGAGTACACACAACACAAAGAAGTTTCTGAGAATGCTTCTTTCTGGTTTTTATGAGAAGATATTTCCTTTTTCACCATAGGCCTCAAAGCGCTCGAAATGTCCGCTTCCAGGTAGTGCAGAAAGAGTGTTTCAAACCTGCTCTATGAAAGGAAGTGTTCAACTCTACTGAGTTGAATGCAAACATCACAGACATGTTTCCGAGAATGCTTCTGTCTTGATTTTATATGAAGATATTCCGGTTTCCAACGAAATCTTCAAAGCTATCCAAATATCCACCTGCAGATTCTACAAAAGGAGTGTTTCCAAAATGCTGTATCAAAACAAAGGTTCAACTCTGTTAGTTGAGGACACACATCACAAATAAGTTTCTGAGAATGCTTCTGTCTAGTTTTTATTTGAAGGTATTTCCTTTCTCTCCATAGGCCTGAAAGCGCATGAAATGCCCACTTCCAGATACTAGAGAAAGAGTGTTTCAAACCTGCTCTATGAAAGGGAATGTTCAATTCTGTGACTTGAATGCAAACATCACAAAGAAGTTCCTGAGAATGCTTCTCTCTAGATATTATATGTCATCCCGTTTCCAACGAAATCCTCAAAGCTATCCAAATATCCACTTGCAGATTCTACAAAAAGAGTGTTTCAAAACTGCTCTGTCAAAAGGATGGTTCAACACTGTTACATGAGTACACACAACACAAAGAAGTTTCTGAGAATGCTTCTTTCTGGTTTCTATGAGAAGATATTTCCTTTTTCACCATAGGACTCAAAGCGCTCGAAATGTCCTCTTCCAGGTAGTGCAGAAAGAGTGTTTCAAACCTGCTCTATGAAAGGAAGTGTTCAACTCCATGAGCTGAATGCAAACATCACTGAGAAGTTTCTGAGAATGCTTCTGTTTGATTTTATATGAAGAAATTCCCGTTTCCAACGAAATCTTCAAAGCTATCCACATATCCACCTGCAGATTCTACAAAAGGAGTGTTTCCAAAATGCTGTATCAAAACCAAGGTTCCACTCTGTTAGTTGAGGACACACATCACAAATAAGTTTCTGAGAATGCTTCTGTCTAGATTTTATATGAAGATATCCCCTTTCCAACGAATCCCTCTAAGCTATCCAAATATCCACCTGCAGATTCTACAGAAAGAGTGTTTCCAAAATGCTGTATCAAAACAAAGTTTCAACTCTGTTAGTTGAGGACACACATCACAAATAAGTTTCTGAGGATGCTTCTGTCTAGTTTTTATTTGAAGATATTTCCTTTCTCCCCATAGGCCTGAAAGCGCTTGAATTGTCCGCTTCCAGATACTACAGAATGAGTGTTTCAAACCTGCTCTATCAAAGTGAATGTTCAATTCTGTGACTTCAATGCAAACATCACAAAGAAGTTGCTGAGAATGCTTCTCTCTAGATTTTATATGTAATCCCGCTTCCAACGAAGTCCTCAAAGCCATCCGAATATCCACTTTCTGATTCCACAAAAAGATTGTCTTAAAACTGCTCTGTAAAAACAAAAGTTCAAGTCTGTTAGTTGAATACACACATCACAAACAAGTTTCTGAGAATGCTTCTGTCTAGTTTTTATGGGAAGATATTTCCTTTTTCACCATAGGCCTCACAGCGCTCGAAATGTCCACTTCCAGATGGTGCAGAAAGAGTGTTTCAAACGTGCTCTATAAAAGAGAATATTCAACTCTGTGATTTGAATGGAAACATCACAAAGCAGTTTCTGAGAATGCCTCCGTCTAGATTTTATATGAAGATATTCCCGTTTCCAACGAAATCTTCAAATCTATCTAAATATCAACTTGCAGATTCTACTAAAGGAATGTTTCCAAAATGCTGTATCCAAGCAATGGTTCAACTCTGTTAATTGAGGACATACAGCACAAAGAAGTTTCTGAGAATGCTTCTGTCTAGATTTTATATGAAGATATCCCGTTTCCAACGAAATCCTCAAAGCTATCCAAATATCCACTTGCAGATTCTACAAAAAGATTGTTTCAAAACTGCTGTGTCAAAAGGAAGGTTCAACTCTGTTACTTGAGTACACACATCAAAAAGAAGTTTCTGAGAATGCTTGTTTCTGGTTTTTATGAGAAGATATTTCCTTTTTCACCATAGGCCTCAAAGCGCTGCAAATGTCCACTTCCAAATATTACAAAAAGAGTGTTTCAAACCTGCTCTATGAAAGGAAGTGTTCAACTCTACTGAGTTGAATGCAAACATCACAGAGATGTTTCCGAGAATGCTTCTGTCTTGATTTTATATGAAGATATTCCGGTTTCCAACGAAATCTTCAAAGCTATCCAAATATCCACCTGCAGATTCTACAAAAGGAGTGTTTCCAAAATGCTGTATCAAAACAAAGGTTCAACTCTGTTAGTTGAGGACACACATCACAAATAAGTTTCTGAGAATGCTTCTGTCTAGTTTTTATTTGAAGGTATTTCCTTTCTCTCCATAGGCCTGAAAGCGCTTGAAATGCCCACTTCCAGATACTAGAGAAAGAGTGTTTCAAACCTGATCTATGAAAGGGAATGTTCAATTCTGTGACTTGAATGCAAACATCACAAAGAAGTTCCTGAGAATGCTTCTCTCTAGATATTATATGTCATCCCGTTTCCAACGAAATCCTCAAAGCTATCCAAATATCCACTTGCAGATTCTACAAAAAGAGTGTTTCAAAACTGCTCTGTCAAAAGGATGGTTCAACACTGTTACATGAGTACACACAACACAAAGAAGTTTCTGAGAATGCTTCTTTCTGGTTTCTATGAGAAGATATTTCCTTTTTCACCATAGGACTCAAAGCGCTCGAAATGTCCTCTTCCAGGTAGTGCAGAAAGAGTGTTTCAAACCTGCTCTATGAAAGGAAGTGTACAACTCCATGAGCTGAATGCAAACATCACTGAGAAGTTTCTGAGAATGCTTCTGTTTGATTTTATATGAAGAAATTCCCGTTTCCAACGAAATCTTCAGAGCTATCCACATATCCACCTGCAGATTTTACAAAAAGAGTGTTTCCAAAATGCTGTATCAAAACAAAGTTTCAACTCTGTTAGTTGAGGACACACATCACAAATAAGTTTCTGAGGATGCTTCTGTCTAGTTTTTATTCGAAGATATTTCCTTTCTCACCATAGGCCTGAAAGCGCTTGAAATGTCCACTTCCAGATACTACAGAATGAGTGTTTCAAACCTGCTCTATAAAAGTGAATGTTCAATTCCGTGACTTCAATGCAAACATCAGAAAGAAGTTCCTGAGAATGCTTCTCTCTAGATTTTATATGGTAATCCCGCTTCCAACGAAATCCTCAGAGCCATCCGAATATCCACTTTCTGATTCCACAAAAAGAGTGTTTTAAAACGGCTCTGTAAAAACAAAAGTTCAACTCTGTTAGTTGAATACACACATCACAAACAAGTTTCTGAGAATGCTTCTGTCTAGTTTTTATGGGAAGATATTTCCTTTTTCACCATAGGCCTCAAAGCGCTCGAAATGTCCGCTTCCAGATAGTGCAGAAAGAGTGTTTCAAACGTGCTCTATAAAAGGGAATATTCAACTCTGTGACTTGAATGGAAACATCACAAAGCAGTTTCTGAGAATGCTTCCCTCTAGATTTTATATGGAGATATTCCCTTTTCCAACGAAATCTTCAAATCTATCTAAATATCAACTTGCAGATTCTACTCAAGGAATGTTTCCAAAATGCTGTATCCAGGCAATGGTTCAACTCTGTTAATTGAGGACATACAGCACAAAGAAGTTTCTGAGAATGCTTCTGTCTAGATTTTATATGAAGATATCCCGTTTCCAACGAAATCCTCAAAGCTATCCAAATATCCACTTGCAGATTCTACAAAAAGATTGTTTCAAAACTGCTGTGTCAAGAGGAAGGTTCAACTCTGTTACTTGAGTACACACATCAAAAAGAAGTTTCTGAGAATGCTTGTTTCTGGTTTTTATGAGAAGATATTTCCTTTTTCACCATAGACCTCAAAGCGCTGCAAATGTCCACTTCCAAATATTACAAAAAGAGTGTTTCAAACCTGCTCTATGAAAGGAAGTTTTCAACTCTATGAGTGGAATGCAAACATCACAGAGAAGTTTCGGAGAATGCATTCTGTCTTGAGCTTCTATGAAGAAATTCCCGTTTCCAACGAAATCTTAAAATCTATCCAAATATCCACCTGCAGATCCTACAAAAGGAGTGTTTCCAAAATGCTGTATCAAAACAAAGGTTCAACTGTGTTCGTTTAGGACACACATCACAAATAAGTTTCTGAGAATCCTTCTGTCTAGTTTTTATTTGAAGATATTTCCTTTCTCCTGTAGGCCTGAAAGCGCTTGAAATGTCCACTTCCAGATACTACAGAAAGAGTGTTTCAAACTTGCACTATGAAAAGGAATGTTCAATTCTGTGACTTGAATGCAAACATCAGAAAGAAGTTCCTGAGAATGCTTCTCTCTAGATTTTATACGTCATCCCGTTTCCAACGAAATCCACAAAGCTATCCAATTATCCACTTTCAGATTCCACAAAAAGAGTGTTTTAAAATTGCTCTGTAACAGAAATGTTCAACTCTGTTAGTTGAATACACACATCACAAACAAGTTTCTGAGACGGCTTCTGTCTAGTTTTTATGGGAAGATATTTCCTTTTAACCATAGGCCTCAAAGAGCTCGAAATATCCACTTCCAGGTAGTGCCGAAAGAGTGTTTCAAACCTACTCTATAAAAGGGAATATTCAACTCTGTGACTTGAATGCAAACATCACAAAGCAGTTTCTGAGAATGCTTCCGTCTAGATTTTCTATGAAGATATTCCCGTTTCCAACGAAATCTTCAAAGCTATCTAAATATCAACTTGCAGATTCTACTAAAGGAATGTCTCCAAAATGCTGTATCCAAACAAAGGTTCAGCTCTGTGAATTGAGGACATACAGCACAAAGAAGTTTCTGAGAATGCTCCTGTCTGGATTTTATAGGAAGATAACCCGTTTCCAACGAAATCCTCAAAGCTATCCAAATATCCACTTGCAGATTCTACCAAAAGAGTGTTTCAAAACTGCTCTGTCAAAAGGAAGGTTCAACACTGTTACTTGAGTACACACAACACAAAGAAGTTTCTGAGAATGCTTCTTTCTGGTTTTTATGAGAAGATATTTCCTTTTTCACCATAGGCCTCAAAGCGCTCGAAATGTCCGCTTCCAGGTAGTGCAGAAAGAGTGTTTCAAACCTGCTCTATGAAAGGAAGTGTTCAACTCTACTGAGTTGAATGCAAACATCACAGAGATGTTTCCGAGAATGCTTCTGTCTTGATTTTATATGAAGATATTCCGGTTTCCAACGAAATCTTCAAAGCTATCCAAATATCCACCTGCAGATTCTACAAAAGGAGTGTTTCCAAAATGCTGTATCAAAACAAAGGTTCAACTCTGTTAGTTGAGGACACACATCACAAATAAGTTTCTGAGAATGCTTCTGTCTAGTTTTTATTCGAAGGTATTTCCTTTCTCTCCATAGGCCTGAAAGCGCTTGAAATGCCCACTTCCAGATACTAGAGAAAGAGTGTTTCAAACCTGCTCTATGATAGGGAATGTTCAATTCTGTGACTTGAATGCAAACATCACAAAGAAGTTCCTGAGAATGCTTCTCTCTAGATATTATATGTCATCCCGTTTCCAACGAAATCCTCAAAGCTATCCAAATATCCACTTGCAGATTCTACAAAAAGAGTGTTTCAAAACTGCTCTGTCAAAAGGATGGTTCAACACTGTTACATGAGTACACACAACACAAAGAAGTTTCTGAGAATGCTTCTTTCTGGTTTCTATGAGAAGATATTTCCTTTTTCACCATAGGACTCAAAGCGCTCGAAATGTCCTCTTCCAGGTAGTGCAGAAAGAGTGTTTCAAACCGGCTCTATGAAGGGAAGTGTTCAACTCCATGAACTGAATGCAAACATCACTGAGAAGTTTCTGAGAATGCTTCTGTTTGATTTTATATGAAGAAATTCCCGTTTCCAACGAAATCTTCAGAGCTATCCACATATCCACCTGCAGATTCTACAAAAGGAGTGTTTCCAAAATGCTGTATCAAAACCAAAGTTCAACTCTGTTAGTTGAGGACACACATCACAAATAAGTTTCTGAGAATGCTCTGTCTAGATTTTATATGAAGATATCCCCTTTCCAACGAATCCCTCTAAGCTATCCAAATATCCACCTGCAGATTCTACAAAAAGAGTGTTTCCAAAATGCTGTATCAAAACAAAGTTTCAACTCTGTTAGTTGAGGACACACATCACAAATAAGTTTCTGAGGATGCTTTCTGTCTAGTTTTTATTCGAAGATATTTCCTTTCTCACCATAGGCCTGAAAGCGCTTGAAATGTCCACTTCCAGGTACTACAGAATGAGTGTTTCAAACCTGCTCTATCAAAGTGAATGTTCAATTCTGTGACTTCAATGCAAACATCACAAAGAAGTTCCTGAGAATGCTTCTCTCTAGATTTTATACGTAATCCCGCTTCCAACGAAATCCTCAGAGCCATCCGAATATCCACTTTCTGATTCCACAAAAAGAGTGTTTTAAAACGGCTCTGTAAAAACAAAAGTTCAACTCTGTTAGTTGAATACACACATCACAAACAAGTTTCTGAGAATGCTTCTGTCTAGTTTTTATGGGAAGATATTTACTTTTTCACCATAGGCCTCAAAGCGCTCGAAATGTCCGCTTCCAGATAGTGCAGAAAGAGTGTTTCAAACGTGCTCTATAAAAGGGAATATTCAACTCTGTGACTTGAATGGAAACATCACAAAGCAGTTTCTGAGAATGCTTCCCTCTAGATTTTATATGGAGATATTCCCTTTTCCAACGAAATCTTCAAATCTATCTAAATATCAACTTGCAGATTCTACTCAAGGAATGTTTCCAAAATGCTGTATCCAGGCAATGGTTCAACTCTGTTAATTGAGGACATACAGCACAAAGAAGTTTCTGAGAATGCTTCTGTCTAGATTTTATATGAAGATATCCCGTTTCCAACGAAATCCTCAAAGCTATCCAAATATCCACTTGCAGATTCTACAAAAAGATTGTTTCAAAACTGCTGTGTCAAGAGGAAGGTTCAACTCTGTTACTTGAGTACACACATCAAAAAGAAGTTTCTGAGAATGCTTGTTTCTGGTTTTTATGAGAAGATATTTCCTTTTTCACCATAGGCCTCAAAGCGCTGCAAATGTCCACTTCCAAATATTACAAAAAGAGTGTTTCAAACCTGCTCTATGAAAGGAAGTTTTCAACTCTATGAGTGGAATGCAAACATCACAGAGAAGTTTCTGAGAATGCATCTGTCTTGAGCTTCTATGAAGAAATTCCCGTTTCCAACGAAATCTTAAAATCTATCCAAATATCCACCTGCAGATCCTACAAAAGGAGTGTTTCCAAAATGCTGTATCAAAACAAAGGTTCAACTGTGTTCGTTTAGGACACACATCACAAATAAGTTTCTGAGAATCCTTCTGTCTAGTTTTTATTTGAAGATATTTCCTTTCTCCCCACAGGCCTGAAAGCGCTTGAAATGTCCACTTCCAGATACTACAGAAAGAGTGTTTCAAACCTGCACTATGAAAAGGAATGTTCAATTCTGTGACTTGAATGCAAACATCAGAAAGAAGTTCCTGAGAATGCTTCTCTCTAGATTTTATACGTCATCCCGTTTCCAACGAAATCCACAAAGCTATCCAATTATCCACTTTCAGATTCCACAAAAAGAGTGTTTTAAAATTGCTCTGTAACAGAAATGTTCAACTCTGTTAGTTGAATACACACATCACAAACAAGTTTCTGAGACGGCTTCTGTCTAGTTTTTATGGGAAGATATTTCCTTTTAACCATAGGCCTCAAAGAGCTCGAAATATCCACTTCCAGGTAGTGCCGAAAGAGTGTTTCAAACCTACTCTATAAAAGGGAATATTCAACTCTGTGACTTGAATGCAAACATCACAAAGCAGTTTCTGAGAATGCTTCCGTCTAGATTTTCTATGAAGATATTCCCGTTTCCATCGAAATCTTCAAAGCTATCTAAATATCAACTTGCAGATTCTACTAAAGGAATGTCTCCAAAATGCTGTATCCAAACAAAGGTTCAGCTCTGTGAATTGAGGACATACAGCACAAAGAAGTTTCTGAGAATGCTCCTGTCTGGATTTTATATGAAGATAACCCGTTTCCAACGAAATCCTCAAAGCTCTCCAAATATCCACTTGCAGATTCTACCAAAAGAGTGTTTCAAAACTGCTCTGTCAAAAGGAAGGTTCAACACTGTTACTTGAGTACACACAACACAAAGAAGTTTCTGAGAATGCTTCTTTCTGGTTTTTATGAGAAGATATTTCCTTTTTCACCATAGGCCTCAAAGCGCTCGAAATGTCCGCTTCCAGGTAGTGCAGAAAGAGTGTTTCAAACCTGCTCTATGAAAGGAAGTGTTCAACTCTACTGAGTTGAATGCAAACATCACAGACATGTTTCCGAGAATGCTTCTGTCTTGATTTTATATGAAGATATTCCGGTTTCCAACGAAATCTTCAAAGCTATCCAAATATCCACCTGCAGATTCTACAAAAGGAGTGTTTCCAAAATGCTGTATCAAAACAAAGGTTCAACTCTGTTAGTTGAGGACACACATCACAAATAAGTTTCTGAGAATGCTTCTGTCTAGTTTTTATTTGAAGGTATTTCCTTTCTCTCCATAGGCCTGAAAGCGCTTGAAATGCCCACTTCCAGATACTAGAGAAAGAGTGTTTCAAAGCTGCTCTATGAAAGGGAATGTTCAATTCTGTGACTTGAATGCAAACATCACAAAGAAGTTCCTGAGAATGCTTCTCTCTAGATATTATATGTCATCCCGTTTCCAACGAAATCCTCAAAGCTATCCAAATATCCACTTGCAGATTCTACAAAAAGAGTGTTTCAAAACTGCTCTGTCAAAAGGATGGTTCAACACTGTTACATGAGTACACACAACACAAAGAAGTTTCTGAGAATGCTTCTTTCTGGTTTCTATGAGAAGATATTTCCTTTTTCACCATAAGACTCAAAGCGCTCGAAATGTCCTCTTCCAGGCAGTGCAGAAAGAGTGTTTCAAACCGGCTCTATGAAAGGAAGTGTTCAACTCCATGAACTGAATGCAAACATCACTGAGAAGTTTCTGAGAATGCTTCTGTTTGATTTTATATGAAGAAATTCCCGTTTCCAACGAAATCTTCAGAGCTATCCACATATCCACCTGCAGATTCTACAAAAGGAGTGTTTCCAAAATGCTGTATCAAAACCAAAGTTCAACTCTGTTAGTTGAGGACACACATCACAAATAAGTTTCTGAGAATGCTTCTGTCTAGATTCTATATGAAGATATCCCCTTTCCAACGAATCCCTCTAAGCTATCCAAATATCCACCTGCAGATTCTACAAAAAGAGTGTTTCCAAAATGCTGTATCAAAACAAAGTTTCAACTCTGTTAGTTGAGGACACACATCACAAATAAGTTTGAGGATGCTTCTGTCTAGTTTTTATTCGAAGATATTTCCTTTCTCACCATAGGCCTGAAAGCGCTTGAAATGTCCACTTCCAGATACTACAGAATGAGTGTTTCAAACCTGCTCTATCAAAGTGAATGTTCAATTCTGTGACTTCAATGCAAACATCACAAAGAAGTTCCTGAGAATGCTTCTCTCTAGATTTTATATGTAATCCCGCTTCCAACGAAATCCTCAGAGCCATCCGAATATCCACTTTCTGATTCCACAAAAAGAGTGTTTTAAAACGGCTCTGTAAAAACAAAAGTTCAACTCTGTTAGTTGAATACACACATCACAAACAAGTTTCTGAGAATGCTTCTGTCTAGTTTATATGGGAAGATATTTCCTTTTTCACCATAGGCCTCAAAGCGCTCGAAATGTCCGCTTCCAGATAGTGCAGAAAGAGTGTTTCAAACGTGCTCTATAAAAGGGAATATTCAACTCTGTGACTTGAATGGAAACATCACAAAGCAGTTTCTGAGAATGCTTCCCTCTAGATTTTATATGGAGATATTCCCTTTTCCAACGAAATCTTCAAATCTATCTAAATATCAACTTGCAGATTCTACTCAAGGAATGTTTCCAAAATGCTGTATCCAGGCAATGGTTCAACTCTGTTAATTGAGGACATACAGCACAAAGAAGTTTCTGAGAATGCTTCTGTCTAGATTTTATATGAAGATATCCCGTTTCCAACGAAATCCTCAAAGCTATCCAAATATCCACTTGCAGATTCTACAAAAAGATTGTTTCAAAACTGCTGTGTCAAGAGGAAGGTTCAACTCTGTTACTTGAGTACACACATCAAAAAGAAGTTTCTGAGAATGCTTGTTTCTGGTTTTTATGAGAAGATATTTCCTTTTTCACCATAGGCCTCAAAGCGCTGCAAATGTCCACTTCCAAATATTACAAAAAGAGTGTTTCAAACCTGCTCTATGAAAGGAAGTTTTCAACTCTATGAGTGGAATGCAAACATCACAGAGAAGTTTCTGAGAATGCATCTGTCTTGAGTTTATGTGAAGAAATTCCCGTTTCAACGAAATCTTAAAATCTATCCAAATATCCACCTGCAGATCCTACAAAAGGAGTGTTTCCAAAATGCTGTATCAAAACAAAGGTTCAACTGTGTTCGTTTAGGACACACATCACAAATAAGTTTCTGAGAACCCTCTGTCTAGTTTTTATTTGAAGATATTTCCTTTCTCCCCGTAGGCCTGAAAGCGCTTGAAATGTCCACTTCCAGATACTACAGAAAGAGTGTTTCAAACCTGCACTCTGAAAAGGAATGTTCAATTCTATGACTTGAATGCAAACATCAGAAAGAAGTTCCTGAGAATGCTTTCTCTCTAGATTTTAAACGTAATCCCGTTTCCAACGAAATCCACAAAGCTATCCAATTATCCACTTTCAGATTCCACCAAAAGACTGTTTGAAAACTGCTCTGTAAAAAGAAATGTTCAACGCTCTTAGTTGAATACACACATCTCAAACAAGTTTCTGAGAAGGCTTCCGTCTAGTTTTTATGGGAAGATATTTCCTTTTTCACCATAGGCCTCAAAGCGCTCGAAATCTCCACTTCCAGGGAGTGCAGAAAGAGTGTTTCAAACCTGCTCTGTAAAAGAATATTTAACTCTGTGACTTGAATGGAAACATCACAGAGCAGTTTCTGACAATGCTTCCGTCTAGATTTTTTATGAAGATATTCCCGTTTCCAACGAAATCTTCAAAGCTATCTAAATATCAACTTGCAGATTCTACTAAAGGAATGTTTCCATAATGCTGTATCCAAACAAAGGTTCAACTCTGTGAATTGAGGACATACAGCACAAAGAAGTTTCTGAGAATGCTTCTGTCTAGATTTAATATGAAGATAACCCGTTTCCAATGAAATCCTCAAAGCTATCCAAATATCCACTTGCAGATTCTACAAAGAGAGTGTTTCAAAACTGCTCTGTCAAAAGGATGGTTCAACACTGTTACATGAGTACACACAACACAAAGAAGTTTCTGAGAACGCTTCTTTCTGGTTTTTATGAGAAGATATTTCCTTTTTCACCATAGGCCTCAAAGCGTTCGAAATGTCCACTTCCTGGTAGTGCAGAAAGAGTGTTTCAAAGCTGCTCTCTGAAAGGAAGTGTTCAACTCCATGAGCTGAATGGAAACATCACTGAGAAGTTTCTGAGAATGCTTCTGTTTGATTTTATATGAAGAAATTCCCGTTTCCAACGAAATCTTCAGAGCTCTCCACATATCCACCTGCAGATTCTACAAAAGGAGTGTTTCCAAAATGCTGTATCAAAACCAAGGTTCAACTCTGTTAGTTGAGGACACACATCACAAATAAGTTTCTGAGAATGCTTCTGTCTAGATTTTATATGAAGATATCCCCTTTCCAACGAATCCCTCTAAGCTATCCAAATATCCACCTGCAGATTCTACAAAAAGAGTGTTTCCAAAATGCTGTATCAAAACAAAGTTTCAACTCTGTTAGTTGAGGACACACATCACAAATAAGTTTGAGGATGCTTCTCTCTAGTTTTAATTTGAAGATATTTCCTTTCTCCCCATAGGCCTGAAAGCGCTTGAAATGTCCACTTCCAGATACTACAGAATGAGTGTTTCAAACCTGCTCTATCAAAGTGAATGTTCAATTCTGTGACTTCAATGCAAACATCACAAAGTAGTTCCTGAGAATGCTTCTCTCTACATTTTATATGTAATCCCGCTTCCAACGAAATCCTCAAAGCCATCCGAATATCCACTTTCTGATTCCACAAAAAGATTGTTTTAAAACTGCTCTGTAAAAACAAAAGTTCAAGTCTGTTAGTTGAATACACACATCACAAACAAGTTTCTGAGAATGCTTCTGTCTAGTTTTTATGGGAAGATATTTCCTTTTTCACCATAGGCCTCAAAGCGCTCGAAATGTCCACTTCCAGATAGTGCCGAAAGAGTGTTTCAAACGTGCTCTATAAAAGGGAATATTCAACTCTGTGACTTGAATGGAAACATCACAAAGCAGTTTCTGAGAATGCCTCCGTCTAGATTTTATATGAAGATATTCCCGTTTCCAACGAAATCTTCAAAGCTATCTAAATATCAACTTGCAGATTCTACTAAAGGAATGTTTCCAAAATGCTGTATCCAAGCAATGGTTCAACTCTGTTAATTGAGGACATACAGCACAAAGAAGTTTCTGAGAATGCTTCTGTCTAGATTTTATATGAAGATATCCCGTTTCCAACGAAATCCTCAAAGCTATCCAAATATCCACTTGCAGATTCTACAAAAAGATTGTTTCAAAACTGCTGTGTCAAAAGGAAGGTTCAACTCTGTTACTTGAGTACACACATCAAAAAGAAGTTTCTGAGAATGCTTGTTTCTGGTTTTTATGAGAAGATATTTCCTTTTTCACCATAGGCCTCAAAGCGCTGCAAATGTCCACTTCCAAATATTACAAAAAGAGTGTTTCAAACCTGCTCTATGAAAGGAAGTTTTCAACTCTATGAGTGGAATGCAAACATCACAGAGAAGTTTCTGAGAATGCATCTGTCTTGAGTTTATATGCAGAAATTCCCGTTTCCAACGAAATCTTAAAATCTATCCAAATATCCACCTGCAGATCCTACAAAAGGAGTGTTTCCAAAATGCTGTATCAAAACAAAGGTTCAACTGTGTTCGTTTAGGACACACATCACAAATAAGTTTCTGAGAATCCTTCTGTCTAGTTTTTATTTGAAGATATTTCCTTTCTCCCCGTAGGCCTGAAAGCGCTTGAAATGTCCACTTCCAGATACTACAGAAAGAGTGTGTTTCAAACCTGCACTCTGAAAAGGAATGTTCAATTCTGTGACTTGAATGCAAACATCAGAAAGAAGTTCCTGAGAATGCTTCTCTCTAGATTTTATACGTCATCCCGTTTCCAACGAAATCCACAAAGCTATCCAATTATCCACTTTCAGATTCCACAAAAAGAGTGTTTTAAAATTGCTCTGTAACAGAAATGTTCAACTCTGTTAGTTGAATACACACATCACAAACAAGTTTCTGAGACGGCTTCTGTCTAGTTTTTATGGGAAGATATTTCCTTTTAACCATAGGCCTCAAAGAGCTCGAAATATCCACTTCCAGGTAGTGCCGAAAGAGTGTTTCAAACCTACTCTATAAAAGGGAATATTCAACTCTGTGACTTGAATGCAAACATCACAAAGCAGTTTCTGAGAATGCTTCCGTCTAGATTTTCTATGAAGATATTCCCGTTTCCAACGAAATCTTCAAAGCTATCTAAATATCAACTTGCAGATTCTACTAAAGGAATGTCTCCAAAATGCTGTATCCAAACAAAGGTTCAGCTCTGTGAATTGAGGACATACAGCACAAAGAAGTTTCTGAGAATGCTCCTGTCTGGATTTTATAGGAAGATAACCCGTTTCCAACGAAATCCTCAAAGCTATCCAAATATCCACTTGCAGATTCTACCAAAAGAGTGTTTCAAAACTGCTCTGTCAAAAGGAAGGTTCAACACTGTTACTTGAGTACACACAACACAAAGAAGTTTCTGAGAATGCTTCTTTCTGGTTTTTATGAGAAGATATTTCCTTTTTCACCATAGGCCTCAAAGCGCTCGAAATGTCCGCTTCCAGGTAGAGCAGAAAGAGTGTTTCAAACCTGCTCTATGAAAGGACGTGTTCAACTCTACTGAGTTGAATGCAAACATCACAGAGATGTTTCCGAGAATGCTTCTGTCTTGATTTTATAGGAAGATATTCCGGTTTCCAACGAAATCTTCAAAGCTATCCACATATCCACCTGCAGATTCTACAAAAGGAGTGTTTCCAAAATGCTGTATCAAAACAAAGGTTCAACTCTGTTAGTTGAGGACACACATCACAAATAAGTTTCTGAGAATGCTTCTGTCTAGTTTTTATTTGAAGGTATTTCCTTTCTCTCCATAGGCCTGAAAGCGCTTGAAATGCCCACTTCCAGATACTAGAGAAAGAGTGTTTCAAACCTGCTCTATGAAAGGGAATGTTCAATTCTGTGACTTGAATGCAAACATCACAAAGAAGTTCCTGAGAATGCTTCTCTCTAGATATTATATGTCATCCCGTTTCCAACGAAATCCTCAAAGCTATCCAAATATCCACTTGCAGATTCTACAAAAAGAGTGTTTCAAAACTGCTCTGTCAAAAGGATGGTTCAACACTGTTACATGAGTACACACAACACAAAGAAGTTTCTGAGAATGCTTCTTTCTGGTTTCTATGAGAAGATATATCCTTTTTCACCATAGGACTCAAAGCGCTCGAAATGTCCTCTTCCAGGTAGTGCAGAAAGAGTGTTTCAAACCTGCTCTATGAAAGGAAGTGTACAACTCCATGAGCTGAATGCAAACATCACTGAGAAGTTTCTGAGAATGCTTCTGTTTGATTTTATATGAAGAAATTCCCGTTTCCAACGAAATCTTCAGAGCTATCCACATATCCACCTGCAGATTCTACAAAAGGAGTGTTTCCAAAATGCTGTATCAAAACCAAGGTTCAACTCTGTTAGTTGAGGACACACATCACAAATAAGTTTCTGAGAATGCTTCTGTCTAGATTTTATATGAATTTATCCCCTTTCCAACGAATTCCTCTAAGCTATCCAAGTATCCACCTGCAGATTCTACAAAAAGAGTGTTTCCAAAATGCTGTATCAAAACAAAGTTTCAACTCTGTTAGTTGAGGACACACATCACAAATAAGTTTCTGAGGATGCTTCTGTCTAGTTTTAATTTGAAGATATTTCCTTTCTCCCCATAGGCCTGAAAGCGCTTGAAATGTCCACTTCCAGATACTACAGAATGAGTGTTTCAAACCTGCTCTATCAAAGTGAATGTTCAATTCTGTGACTTCAATGCAAACATCACAAAGTAGTTCCTGAGAATGCTTCTCTCTACATTTTATATGTAACCCCGCTTCCAACGAAATCCTCAAAGCCATCCGAATATCCACTTTCTGATTCCACAAAAAGATTGTTTTAAAACTGCTCTGTAAAAACAAAAGTTCAAGTCTGTTAGTTGAATACACACATCACAAACAAGTTTCTGAGAATGCTTCTGTCTAGTTTTTATGGGAAGATATTTCCTTTTTCACCATAGGCCTCAAAGCGCTCGAAATGTCCACTTCCAGATAGTGCAGAAAGAGTGTTTCAAACGTGCTCTATAAAAGGGAATATTCAACTCTGTGACTTGAATGGAAACATCACAAAGCAGTTTCTGAGAATGCTTCCCTCTAGATTTTATATGGAGATATTCCGTTTTCGAACGAAATCTTCAAATCTATCTAAATATCAACTTGCAGATTCTACTCAAGGAATGTTTCCAAAATGCTGTATGCAAGCAATGGTTCAACTCTGTTAATTGAGGTCATACAGCACAAAGAAGTTTCTGAGAATGCTTCTGTCTAGATTTTATATGAAGATATCCCGTTTCCAACGAAATCCTCAAAGCTATCCAAATATCCACTTGCAGATTCTACAAAAAGATTGTTTCAAAACTGCTGTGTCAAAAGGAAGGTTCAACTCTGTTACTTGAGTACACACATCAAAAAGAAGTTTCTGAGAATGCTTGTTTCTGGTTTTTATGAGAAGATATTTCCTTTTTCACCATAGGCCTCAAAGCGCTGCAAATGTCCACTTCCAAATATTACAAAAAGAGTGTTTCAAACCTGCTCTATGAAAGGAAGTTTTCAACTCTATGAGTGGAATGCAAACATCACAGAGAAGTTTCTGAGAATGCATCTGTCTTGAGTTTATATGCAGAAATTCCCGTTTCCAACGAAATCTTAAAATCTATCCAAATATCCACCTGCAGATCCTACAAAAGGAGTGTTTCCAAAATGCTGTATCAAAACAAAGGTTCAACTGTGTTCGTTTAGGACACACATCACAAATAAGTTTCTGAGAATCCTTCTGTCTAGTTTTTATTTGAAGATATTTCCTTTCTCCCCGTAGGCCTGAAAGCGCTTGAAATGTCCACTTCCAGATACTACAGAAAGAGTGTGTTTCAAACCTGCACTCTGAAAAGGAATGTTCAATTCTGTGACTTGAATGCAAACATCAGAAAGAAGTTCCTGAGAATGCTTCTCTCTAGATTTTATACGTCATCCCGTTTCCAACGAAATCCACAAAGCTATCCAATTATCCACTTTCAGATTCCACAAAAAGAGTGTTTTAAAATTGCTCTGTAACAGAAATGTTCAACTCTGGTAGTTGAATACACACATCACAAACAAGTTTCTGAGACGGCTTCTGTCTAGTGTTTATGGGAAGATATTTCCTTTTAACCATAGGCCTCAAAGAGCTCGAAATATCCACTTCCAGGTAGTGCCGAAAGAGTGTTTCAAACCTACTCTATAAAAGGGAATATTCAACTCTGTGACTTGAATGCAAACATCACAAAGCAGTTTCTGAGAATGCTTCCGTCTAGATTTTCTATGAAGATATTCCCGTTTCCAACGAAATCTTCAAAGCTATCTCAATATCAACTTGCAGATTCTACTAAAGGAATGCCTCCAAAATGCTGTATCCAAACAAAGGTTCAGCTCTGTGAATTGAGGATATACAGCACAAAGAAGTTTCTGAGAATGCTCCTGTCTGGATTTTATATGAAGATAACCCGTTTCCAACGAAATCCTCAAAGCTCTCCAAATATCCACTTGCAGATTCTACCAAAAGAGTGTTTCAAAACTGCTCTGTCAAAAGGAAGGTTCAACACTGTTACTTGAGTACACACAACACAAAGAAGTTTCTGAGAATGCTTCTTTCTGGTTTTTATGAGAAGATATTTCCTTTTTCACCATAGGCCTCAAAGCGCTCGAAAGGTCCGCTTCCAGGTAGTGCAGAAAGAGTGTTTCAAACCTCCTCTATGAAAGGAAGTGTTCAACTCTACTGAGTTGAATGCAAACATCACAGAGATGTTTCCGAGAATGCTTCTGTCTTGATTTTATATGAAGATATTCCGGTTTCCAACGAAATCTTCAAAGCTATCCAAATATCCACCTGCAGATTCTACAAAAGGAGTGTTTCCAAAATGCTGTATCAAAACCAAGGTTCAACTCTGTTAGTTGAGGACACACATCACAAATAAGTTTCTGAGAATGCTTCTGTCTAGATTTTATATGAAGATATCCCCTTTCCAACGAATCCCTCTAAGCTATCCAAATATCCACCTGCAGATTCTACAAAAAGAGTGTTTCCAAAATGCTGTATCAAAACAAAGTTTCAACTCTGTTAGTTGAGGACACACATCACAAATAAGTTTGAGGATGCTTCTGTCTAGTTTTTATTTGAAAATATTTCCTTTCTCACCATAGGCCTGAAAGCGCTTGAAATGTCCACTTCCAGATACTACAGAATGAGTGTTTCAAACCTGCTCTATCAAAGTGAATGTTCAATTCTGTGACTTCAATGCAAACATCACAAAGAAGTTCCTGAGAATGCTTCTCTCTAGATTTTATATGTAATCCCGCTTCCAACGAAATCCTCAGAGCCATCCGAATATCCACTTTCTGATTCCACAAAAAGAGTGTTTTAAAACTGCTCTGTAGAAACAAAAGTTCAACTCAGTTGAATACACACATCACAAACAAGTTTCTGAGAATGCTTCTGTCTAGTTTTTATGGGAAGATATTTCCTTTTTCACCATAGGCCTCAAAGCGCTCGAAATGTCCACTTCCAGATAGTGCAGAAAGAGTGTTTCAAACGTGCTCTATAAAAGAGAATATTCAACTCTGTGACTTGAATGGAAACATCACAAAGCAGTTTCTGAGAATGCTTCCGTCTAGATTTTATATGAAGATATTCCTGTTTCCAACGAAATCTTCAAATCTATCTAAATATCAACTTGCAGATTCTACTAAAGGAATGTTTCCAAAATGCTGTATCCAAGCAATGGTTCAACTCTGTTAATTGAGGACATACAGCACAAAGAAGTTTCTGAGAATGCTTCTGTCTAGATTTTATATGAAGATATCCCGTTTCCAACGAAATCCTCAAAGCTATCCAAATATCCACTTGCAGATTCTACAAAAAGATTGTTTCAAAACTGCTGTGTCAAAAGGAAGGTTCAACTCTGTTACTTGAGTACACACATCAAAAAGAAGTTTCTGAGAATGCTTGTTTCTGGTTTTTATGAGAAGATATTTCCTTTTTCACCATAGGCCTCAAAGCGCTGCAAATGTCCACTTCCAAATATTACAAAAAGAGTGTTTCAAACCTGCTCTATGAAAGGAAGTTTTCAACTCTATGAGTGGAATGCAAACATCACAGAGAAGTTTCTGAGAATGCATCTGTCTTGAGTTTATATGCAGAAATTCCCGTTTCCAACGAAATCTTAAAATCTATCCAAATATCCACCTGCAGATCCTACAAAAGGAGTGTTTCCAAAATGCTGTATCAAAACAAAGGTTCAACTGTGTTCGTTTAGGACACACATCACAAATAAGTTTCTGAGAATCCTTCTGTCTAGTTTTTATTTGAAGATATTTCCTTTCTCCCCGTAGGCCTGAAAGCGCTTGAAATGTCCACTTCCAGATACTACAGAAAGAGTGTTTCAAACCTGCACTCTGAAAAGGAATGTCAATTCTGTGACCTGAATGCAAACATCAGAAAGAAGTTCCTGAGAATGCTTCTCTCTAGATTTTATACGTCATCCCGTTTCCAACGAAATCCACAAAGCTATCCAATTATCCACTTTCAGATTCCACAAAAAGAGTGTTTTAAAATTGCTCTGTAACAGAAATGTTCAACTCTGTTAGTTGAATACACACATCACAAACAAGTTTCTGAGACGGCTTCTGTCTAGTTTTTATGGGAAGATATTTCCTTTTAACCATAGGCCTCAAAGAGCTCGAAATATCCACTTCCAGGTAGTGCCGAAAGAGTGTTTCAAACCTACTCTATAAAAGGGAATATTCAACTCTGTGACTTGAATGCAAACATCACAAAGCAGTTTCTGAGAATGCTTCCGTCTAGATTTTTTATGAAGATATTCCCGTTTCCAACGAAATCTTCAAAGCTATCTCAATATCAACTTGCAGATTCTACTAAAGGAATGTTTCCAAAATGCTGTATCCAAACAAAGGTTCAACTCTGTGAATTGAGGACATACAGCACAAAGAAGTTTCTGAGAATGCTTCTGTCTAGATTTAATATGAAGATAACCCGTTTCCAACGAAATCCTCAAAGCTATCCAAATATCCACTGGCAGATTCTACAAAAAGAGTGTTTCAAAACTGCTCTGTCAAAAGGATGGTTCAACACTGTTACATGAGTACACACAACACAAAGAAGTTTCTGAGAACGCTTCTTTCTGGTTTTTATGAGAGGATATTTCCTTTTTCACCATAAGCCTCAAAGCGCTCGAAATGTCCACTTCCAGGTAGTGCAGAAAGAGTGTTTCAAACCTGCTCTATGAAAGGAAGTGTTCAACTCCATGAGCTGAATGCAAACATCACAGAGAAGTTCCTGAGAATGCTTCTGTTTGATTTTATATGAAGAAATTCCCGTTTCCAACGAAATCTTCAAAGCTATCCACATATCCACCTGCAGATTCTTCAAAAGGAGTGTTTCCAAAATGCTGTATCAAAACCAAGGTTCAACTCTGTTAGTTGAGGACACACATCACAAATAAGTTTCTGAGAATGCTTCTGTCTAGATTTTATATGAAGATATCCCCTTTCCAACGAATCCCTCTAAGCTATCCAAATATCCACCTGCAGATTCTACAAAAAGAGTGTTTCCAAAATGCTGTATCAAAACAAAGTTTCAACTCTGTTAGTTGAGGACACACATCACCAATTAGTTTGAGGATGCTTCTGTCTAGTTTTTATTCGAAGATATTTCCTTTCTCACCATAGGCCTGAAAGCGCTTGAAATGTCCACTTCCAGATACTACAGAATGAGTGTTTCAAACCTGCTCTATCAAAGTGAATGTTCAATTCTGTGACTTCAATGCAAACATCAGAAAGAAGTTCCTGAGAATGCTTCTCTCTAGATTTTATACGTAATCCCGCTTCCAACGAAATCCTCAGAGCCATCCGAATATCCACTTTCTGATTCCACAAAAAGAGTGTTTTAAAACGGCTCTGTAAAAACAAAAGTTCAACTCTGTTAGTTGAATACACACATCACAAACAAGTTTCTGAGAATGCTTCTGTCTAGTTTTTATGGGAAGATATTTCCTTTTTCACCATAGGCCTCAAAGCGCTCGAAATGTCCGCTTCCAGATAGTGCAGAAAGAGTGTTTCAAACGTGCTCTATAAAAGGGAATATTCAACTCTGTGACTTGAATGGAAACATCACAAAGCAGTTTCTGAGAATGCTTCCCTCTAGATTTTATATGGAGATATTCCCTTTTCCAACGAAATCTTCAAATCTATCTAAATATCAACTTGCAGATTCTACTCAAGGAATGTTTCCAAAATGCTGTATCCAGGCAATGCTTCAACTCTGTTAATTGAGGACATACAGCACAAAGAAGTTTCTGAGAATGCTTCTGTCTAGATTTTATATGAAGATATCCCGTTTCCAACGAAATCCTCAAAGCTATCCAAATATCCACTTGCAGATTCTACAAAAAGATTGTTTCAAAACTGCTGTGTCAAAAGGAAGGTTCAACTCTGTTACTTGAGTACACACATCAAAAAGAAGTTTCTGAGAATGCTTGTTTCTGGGTTTTATGAGAAGATATTTCCTTTTTCAACATAGGCCTCAAAGCGCTGCAAATGTCCACTTCCAAATATTACAAAAAGAGTGTTTCAAACCTGCTCTATGAAAGGAAGTTTTCAACTCTATGAGTGGAATGCAAACATCACAGAGAAGTTTCTGAGAATGCATCTGTCTTGAGCTTCTATGAAGAAATTCCCGTTTCCAACGAAATCTTAAAATCTATCCAAATATCCACCTGCAGATCCTACAAAAGGAGTGTTTCCAAAATGCTGTATCAAAACAAAGGTTCAACTGTGTTCGTTTAGGACACACATCACAAATAAGTTTCTGAGAATCCTTCTGTCTAGTTTTTAATTTGAAGATATTTCCTTTCTCCCCATAGGCCTGAAAGCGCTTGAAATGTCCACTTCCAGATAGTACAGAAAGAGTGTTTCAAACCTGCACTATGAAAAGGAATGTTCAATTCTGTGACTTGAATGCAAACATCAGAAAGAAGTTTCTGAGAATGCTTCTCTCTAGATTTTATACGTAATCCCGTTTCCAACGAAATCCACAAAGCTATCCAATTATCCACTTTCAGATTCCACAAAAAGAGTGTTTTAAAACTGCTGTGTAGAAGGAAATGTTCAAAGCTCTTAGTTGAATACACACATCTCAAACAAGTTTCTGAGAAGGCTTCCGTCTAGTTTTTATGGGAAGATATTTCCTTTTTCACCAAAGGCCTCAAAGCGCTCGAAATCTCCACTTCCAGGGAGTGCAGAAAGAGTGTTTCAAACCTGCTCTGTAAAAGAATATTTAACTCTGTGACTTGAATGCAAACATCACAAAGCAGTTTCTGACAATGCTTCCCTCTAGATTTTATATGGAGATATTCCGTTTTCGAACGAAATCTTCAAATCTATCTAAATATCAACTTGCAGATTCTACTACAGGAATGTTTCCAAAATGCTGTATGCAAGCAATGGTTCAACTCTGTTAATTGAGGTCATACAGCACAAAGAAGTTTCTGAGAATGCTTCTGTCTAGATTTTATATGAAGATATCCCGTTTCCAACGAAATCCTCAAAGCTATCCAAATATCCACTTGCAGATTCTACAAAAAGATTGTTTCAAAACTGCTGTGTCAAAAGGAAGGTTCAACTCTGTTACTTGAGTACACACATCAAAAAGAAGTTTCTGAGAATGCTTGTTTCTGGTTTTTATGAGAAGATATTTCCTTTTTCACCATAGGCCTCACAGCGCTGCAAATGTCCACTTCCAAATATTACAAAAAGAGTGTTTCAAACCTGCTCTATGAAAGGAAGTTTTCAACTCTATGAGTGGAATGCAAACATCACAGAGAAGTTTCTGAGAATGCATCTGTCTTGAGTTTATATGCAGAAATTCCCGTTTCCAACGAAATCTTAAAATCTATCCAAATATCCACCTGCAGATCCTACAAAAGGAGTGTTTCCAAAATGCTGTATCAAAACAAAGGTTCAACTGTGTTCGTTTAGGACACACATCACAAATAAGTTTCTGAGAATCCTTCTGTCTAGTTTTTATTTGAAGATATTTCCTTTCTCCCCGTAGGCCTGAAAGCGCTTGAAATGTCCACTTCCAGATACTACAGAAAGAGTGTTTCAAACCTGCACTATGAAAAGGAATGTTCAATTCTGTGACTTGAATGCAAACATCAGAAAGAAGTTCCTGAGAATGCTTCTCTCTAGATTTTATACGTCATCCCGTTTCTAACGAAATCCACAAAGCTACCCAAATATCCACTTTCAGATTCCACAAAAAGAGTGTTTTAAAATTGCTCTGTAACAGAAATGTTCAACTCTGTTAGTTGAATACACACATCACAAACAAGTTTCTGAGACGGCTTCTGTCTAGTTTTTATGGGAAGATATTTCCTTTTAACCATAGGCCTCAAAGAGCTCGAAATATCCACTTCCAGGTAGTGCCGAAAGAGTGTTTCAAACCTACTCTATAAAAGGGAATATTCAACTCTGTGACTTGAATGCAAACATCACAAAGCAGTTTCTGAGAATGCTTCCGTCTAGATTTTCTATGAAGATATTCCCGTTTCCAACGAAATCTTCAAAGCTATCTAAATATCAACTTGCAGATTCTACTAAAGGAATGTCTCCAAAATGCTGTATCCAAACAAAGGTTCAGCTCTGTGAATTGAGGACATACAGCACAAAGAAGTTTCTGAGAATGCTCCTGTCTGGATTTTATAGGAAGATAACCCGTTTCCAACGAAATCCTCAAAGCTATCCAAATATCCACTTGCAGATTCTACCAAAAGAGTGTTTCAAAACTACTCTGTCAAAAGGAAGGTTCAACACTGTTACTTGAGTACACACAACACAAAGAAGTTTCTGAGAATGCTTCTTTCTGGTTTTTATGAGAAGATATTTCCTTTTTCACCATAGGCCTCAAAGCGCTCGAAATGTCCGCTTCCAGGTAGTGCAGAAAGAGTGTTTCAAACCTGCTCTATGAAAGGAAGTGTTCAACTCTACTGAGTTGAATGCAAACATCACAGAGATGTTTCCGAGAATGCTTCTGTCTTGATTTTATATGAAGATATTCCGGTTTCCAACGAAATCTTCAAAGCTATCCAAATATCCACCTGCAGATTCTACAAAAGGAGTGTTTCCAAAATGCTGTATCAAAACAAAGGTTCAACTCTGTTAGTTGAGGACACACATCACAAATAAGTTTCTGAGAATGCTTCTGTCTAGTTTTTATTTGAAGGTATTTCCTTTCTCTCCATAGGCCTGAAAGCGCTTGAAATGCCCACTTCCAGATACTAGAGAAAGAGTGTTTCAAACCTGCTCTATGAAAGGCAATGTTCAATTCTGTGACTTGAATGCAAACATCACAAAGAAGTTCCTGAGAATGCTTCTCTCTAGATATTATATGTCATCCCGTTTCCAACGAAATCCTCAAAGCTATCCAAATATCCACTTGCAGATTCTACAAAAAGAGTGTTTCAAAACTCCTCTGTCAAAAGGATGGTTCAACACTGTTACATGAGTACACACAACACAAAGAAGTTTCTGAGAATGCTTCTTTCTGGTTTCTATGAGAAGATATTTCCTTTTTCACCATAGGACTCAAAGCGCTCGAAATGTCCTCTTCCAAGTAGTGCAGAAAGAGTGTTTCAAACCTGCTCTATGAAAGGAAGTGTACAACTCCATGAGCTGAATGCAAACATCACTGAGAAGTTTCTGAGAATGCTTCTGTTTGATTTTATATGAAGAAATTCCCATTTCCAACGAAATCTTCAAAGCTATCCACATATCCACCTGCAGATTCTACAAAAGGAGTGTTTCCAAAATGCTGTATCTAAACCAAGGATCAACTCTGTTAGTTGAGGACACACATCACAAATAAGTTTCTGAGAATGCTTCTGTCTAGATTTTATATGAAGATATCCCCTTTCCAACGAATCCCTCTAAGCTATCCAAATATCCACCTGCAGATTCTACAAAAAGAGTGTTTCCAAAATGCTGTATCAAAACAAAGTTTCAACTCTGTTAGTTGAGGACACACATCACAAATAAGTTTCTGAGGATGCTTCTGTCTAGTTTTTATTCGAAGATATTTCCTTTCTCACCATAGGCCTGAAAGCGCTTGAAATGTCCACTTCCAGATACTACAGAATGAGTGTTTCAAACCTGCTCTATCAAAGTGAATGTTCAATTCTGTGACTTCAATGCAAACATCAGAAAGAAGTTCCTGAGAATGCTTCTCTCTAGATTTTATACGTAATCCCGCTTCCAACGAAATCCTCAGAGCCATCCGAATATCCACTTTCTGATTCCACAAAAAGAGTGTTTTAAAACGGCTCTGTAAAAACAAAAGTTCAACTCTGTTAGTTGAATACACACATCACAAACAAGTTTCTGAGAATGCTTCTGTCTAGTTTTTATGGGAAGATATTTCCTTTTTCACCATAGGCCTCACAGCGCTCGAAATGTCCACTTCCAGATAGTGCAGAAAGAGTGTTTCAAACGTGCTCTATAAAAGAGAATATTCAACTCTCTGACTTGAATGGAAACATCGCAAAGCAGTTTCTGAGAATGCCTCCGTCTAGATTTTCTATGAAGATATTCCCGTTTCCAACGAAATCTTCAAAGCTATCTAAATATCAACTTGCAGATTCTACTCAAGGAATGTTTCCAAAATGCTGTATCCAAGCAATGGTTCAACTCTGTGAATTGAGGACATACAGCACAAAGAAGTTTCTGAGAATGCTTCTGTCTAGATTTTATATGAAGATATCCCGTTTCCAACGAAATCCTCAAAGCTATCCAAATATCCACTTGCAGATTCTACAAAAAGATTGTTTCAAAACTGCTGTGTCAAAAGGAAGGTTCAACTCTGTTACTTGAATACACACATCAAAAAGAAGTTTCTGAGAATGCTTGTTTCTGGTTTTTATGAGAAGATATTTCCTTTTTCACCATAGGCCTCAAAGCGCTGCAAATGTCCACTTCCAAATATTACAAAAAGAGTGTTTCAAACCTGCTCTATGAAAGGAAGTGTTCAACTCTACTGAGTTGAATGCAAACATCACAGAGATGTTTCCGAGAATGCTTCTGTCTTGATTTTATATGAAGATATTCCGGTTTCCAACGAAATCTTCAAAGCTATCCAAATATCCACCTGCAGATTCTACAAAAGGAGTGTTTCCAAAATGCTGTATCAAAACAAAGGTTCAACTCTGTTAGTTGAGGACACACATCACAAATAAGTTTCTGAGAATGCTTCTGTCTAGTTTTTATTTGAAGGTATTTCCTTTCTCTCCATAGGCCTGAAAGCGCTTGAAATGTCCACTTCCAGATACTAGAGAAAGAGTGTTTCAAACCTGCTCTATGAAAGGGAACGTTCAATTCTGTGACTTGAATGCAAACATCACAAAGAAGTTCCTGAGAATGCTTCTCTCTAGATATTATATGTCATCCCGTTTCCAACGAAATCCTCAAAGCTATCCAAATATCCACTTGCAGATTCTACAAAAAGAGTGTTTCAAAACTGCTCTGTCAAAAGGATGGTTCAACACTGTTACATGAGTACACACAACACAAAGAAGTTTCTGAGAATGCTTCTTTCTGGTTTTTATGAGAGGATATTTCCTTTTTCACCGTAGGCCTCAAAGCGGCTCGAAATGTCCACTTCCAGGTAGTGCAGAAAGAGTGTTTCAAACCTGCTCTATGAAAGGAAGTGTTCAACTCCATGAGCTGAATGCAAACATCACAGAGAAGTTCCTGAGAATGCTTCTGTTTGATTTTATATGAAGAAATTCCCGTTTCCAACGAAATCTTCAAAGCTATCCACATATCCACCTGCAGATTCTTCAAAAGGAGTGTTTCCAAAATGCTGTATCAAAACCAAGGTTCAACTCTGTTAGTTGAGGACACACATCAGAAATAAGTTTCTGAGAATGCTTCTGTCTAGATTTTATATGAAGATATCCCCTTTCCAACGAATCCCTCTAAGCTATCAAAATATCCACCTGCAGATTCTACAAAAAGAGTGTTTCCAAAATGCTGTATCAAAACAAAGTTTCAACTCTGTTAGTTGAGGACACACATCACAAATAAGTTTCTGAGGATGCTTCTGTCTAGTTTTTATTCGAAGATATTTCCTTTCTCACCATAGGCCTGAAAGCGCTTGAAATGTCCACTTCCAGATACTACAGAATGAGTGTTTCAAACCTGCTCTATAAAAGTGAATGTTCAATCCCGTGACTTCAATGCAAACATCAGAAAGAAGTTCCTGAGAATACTTCTCTCTAGATTTTATACGTAATCCCGCTTCCAACGAAATCCTCAGAGCCATCCGAATATCCACTTTCTGATTCCACAAAAAGAGTGTTTTAAAACGGCTCTGTAAAAACAAAAGTTCAACTCTGTTAGTTGAATACACACATCACAAACAAGTTTCTGAGAATGCTTCTGTCTAGTTTTTATGGGAAGATATTTCCTTTTTCACCATAGGCCTCAAAGCGCTCGAAATGTCCACTTCCAGATAGCACAGAAAGAGTGTTTCAAACGTGCTCTATAAAAGGGAATATTCAACTCTGTGACTTGAATGGAAACATCACAAAGCAGTTTCTGAGAATGCTTCCCTCTAGATTTTATATGGAGATATTCCGTTTTCGAACGAAATCTTCAAATCTATCTAAATATCAACTTGCAGATTCTACTCAAGGAATGTTTCCAAAATGCTGTATGCAAGCAATGGTTCAACTCTGTTAATTGAGGTCATACAGCACAAAGAAGTTTCTGAGAATGCTTCTGTCTAGATTTTATATGAAGATATCCCGTTTCCAACGAAATCCTCAAAGCTATCCAAATATCCACTTGCAGATTCTACAAAAAGATTGTTTCAAAACTGCTGTGTCAAAAGGAAGGTTCAACTCTGTTACTTGAGTACACACATCAAAAAGAAGTTTCTGAGAATGCTTGTCTCTGGTTTTTATCAGAAGATATTTCGTTTTTCACCATAGGCCTCAAAGCGCTGCAAATGTCCACTTCCAAATATTACAAAAAGAGTGTTTCAAACCTGCTCTATGAAAGGAAGTTTTCAACTCTATGAGTGGAATGCAAACATCACAGAGAAGTTTCGGAGAATGCATCTGTCTTGAGTTTCTATGCAGAAATTCCCGTTTCCAACGAAATCTTAAAATCTATCCAAATATCCACCTGCAGATCCTACAAAAGGAGTGTTTCCAAAATGCTGTATCAAAACAAAGGTTCAACTGTGTTCGTTTAGGACACACATCACAAATAAGTTTCTGAGAATCCTTCTGTCTAGTTTTTATTTGAAGATATTTCCTTTCTCCCCGTAGGCCTGAAAGCGCTTGAAATGTCCACTTCCAGATACTACAGAAAGAGTGTTTCAAACCTGCACTCTGAAAAGGAATGTTCAATTCTGTGACTTGAATGCAAACATCAGAAAGAAGTTCCTGAGAATGCTTCTCTCTAGATTTTATACGTCATCCCGTTTCCAACGAAATCCACAAAGCTATCCAATTATCCACTTTCAGATTCCACAGAAAGAGTGTTTTAAAATTGCTCTGTAACAGAAATGTTCAACTCTGGTAGTTGAATACACACATCACAAACAAGTTTCTGAGACGGCTTCTGTCTAGTTTTTATGGGAAGATATTTCCTTTTAACCATAGGCCTCAAAGAGCTCGAAATATCCACTTCCAGGTAGTGCCGAAAGAGTGTTTCAAACCTACTCTATAAAAGGGAATATTCAACTCTGTGACTTGAATGCAAACATCACAAAGCAGTTTCTGAGAATGCTTCCGTCTAGATTTTCTATGAAGATATTCCCGTTTCCAACGAAATCTTCAAAGCTATCTAAATATCAACTTGCAGATTCTACTAAAGGAATGTCTCCAAAATGCTGTATCCAAACAAAGGTTCAGCTCTGTGAATTGAGGACATACAGCACAAAGAAGTTTCTGAGAATGCTCCTGTCTGGATTTTATAGGAAGATAACCCGTTTCCAACGAAATCCTCAAAGCTATCCAAATATCCACTTGCAGATTCTACCAAAAGAGTGTTTCAAAACTACTCTGTCAAAAGGAAGGTTCAACACTGTTACTTGAGTACACACAACACAAAGAAGTTTCTGAGAATGCTTCTTTCTGGTTTTTATGAGAAGATATTTCCTTTTTCACCATAGGCCTCAAATCGCTCGAAATGTCCGCTTCCAGGTAGTGCAGAAAGAGTGTTTCAAACCTGCTCTATGAAAGGAAGTGTTCAACTCTACTGAGTTGAATGCAAACATCACAGAGATGTTTCCGAGAATGCTTCTGTCTTGATTTTATATGAAGATATTCCGGTTTCCAACGAAATCTTCAAAGCTATCCAAATATCCACCTGCAGATTCTACAAAAGGAGTGTTTCCAAAATGCTGTATCAAAACAAAGGTTCAACTCTGTTAGTTGAGGACACACATCACAAATAAGTTTCTGAGAATGCTTCTGTCTAGTTTTTATTTGAAGGTATTTCCTTTCTCTCCATAGGCCTGAAAGCGCTTGAAATGCCCACTTCCAGATACTAGAGAAAGAGTGTTTCAAACCTGCTCTATGAAAGGGAATGTTCAATTCTGTGACTTGAATGCAAACATCACAAAGAAGTTCCTGAGAATGCTTCTCTCTAGATATTATATGTCATCCCGTTTCCAACGAAATCCTCAAAGCTATCCAAATATCCACTTGCAGATTCTACAAAAAGAGTGTTTCAAAACTGTTCTGTCAAAAGGATGGTTCAACACTGTTACATGAGTACACACAACACAAAGAAGTTTCTGAGAATGCTTCTTTCTGGTTTCTATGAGAAGATATTTCCTTTTTCACCATAGGACTCAAAGCGCTCGAAATGTCCTCTTCCAGGTAGTGCAGAAAGAGTGTTTCAAACCTGCTCTATGAAAGGAAGTGTACAACTCCATGAGCTGAATGCAAACATCACTGAGAAGTTTCTGAGAATGCTTCTGTTTGATTTTATATGAAGAAATTCCCGTTTCCAACGAAATCTTCAGAGCTATCCACATATCCACCTGCAGATTCTACAAAAGGAGTGTTTCCAAAATGCTGTACCAAAACCAAGGTTCAACTCTGTTAGTTGAGGACACACATCACAAATAAGTTTCTGAGAATGCTTCTGTCTAGATTTTATATGAAGATATCCCCTTTCCAACGAATCCCTCTAAGCTATCCAAATATCCACCTGCAGATTCTACAAAAAGAGTGTTTCCAAAATGCTGTATCAAAACAAAGTTTCAACTCTGTTAGTTGAGGACACACATCACAAATAAGTTTGAGGATGCTTCTGTCTAGTTTTTATTCGAAGATATTTCCTTTCTCACCATAGGCCTGAAAGCGCTTGAAATGTCCACTTCCAGATACTAGAGAATGAGTGTTTCAAACCTGCTCTATCAAAGTGAATGTTCAATTCTGTGACTTCAATGCAAACATCACAAAGAAGTTCCTGAGAATGCTTCTCTCTAGATTTTATACGTAATCCCGCTTCCAACGAAATCCTCAGAGCCATCCGAATATCCACTTTCTGATTCCACAAAAAGAGTGTTTTAAAACGGCTCTGTAAAAACAAAAGTTCAACTCTGTTAGTTGAATACACACATCACAAACAAGTTTCTGAGAATGCTTCTGTCTAGTTTTTATGGGAAGATATTTCCTTTTTCACCATAGGCCTCAAAGCGCTCGAAGTGTCCGCTTCCAGATAGTGCAGAAAGAGTGTTTCAAACGTGCTCTATAAAAGGGAATATTCAACTCTGTGACTTGAATGGAAACATCACAAAGCAGTTTCTGAGAATGCTTCCCTCTAGATTTTATATGGAGATATTCCCTTTTCCAACGAAATCTTCAAATCTATCTAAATATCAACTTGCAGATTCTACTCAAGGAATGTTTCCAAAATGCTGTATCCAGGCAATGGTTCAACTCTGTTAATTGAGGACATACAGCACAAAGAAGTTTCTGAGAATGCTTCTGTCTAGATTTTATATGAAGATATCCCGTTTCCAACGAAATCCTCAAAGCTATCCAAATATCCACTTGCAGATTCTACAAAAAGATTGTTTCAAAACTGCTGTGTCAAGAGGAAGGTTCAACTCTGTTACTTGAGTACACACATCAAAAAGAAGTTTCTGAGAATGCTTGTTTCTGGTTTTTATGAGAAGATATTTCCTTTTTCACCATAGGCCTCAAAGCGCTGCAAATGTCCACTTCCAAATATTACAAAAAGAGTGTTTCAAACCTGCTCTATGAAAGGAAGTTTTGAACTCTATGAGTGGAATGCAAACATCACAGAGAAGTTTCTGAGAATGCATCTGTCTTGAGCTTCTATGAAGAAATTCCCGTTTCCAACGAAATCTTAAAATCTATCCAAATATCCACCTGCAGATCCTACAAAAGGAGTGTTTCCAAAATGCTGTATCAAAACAAAGGTTCAACTGTGTTCGTTTAGGACACACATCACAAATAAGTTTCTGAGAATCCTTCTGTCTAGTTTTTATTTGAAGATATTTCCTTTCTCCCCGTAGGCCTGAAAGCACTTGAAATGTCCACTTCCAGATACTACAGAAAGAGTGTTTCAAACCTGCACTCTGAAAAGGAATGTTCAATTCTGTGACTTGAATGCAAACATCAGAAAGAAGTTCCTGAGAATGCTTCTCTCTAGATTTTATACGTCATCCCGTTTCCAACGAAATCCACAAAGCTATCCAATTATCCACTTTCAGATTCCACAAAGAGTGTTTTAAAATTGCTCTGTAACAGAAATGTTCAACTCTGTTAGTTGAATACACACATCACAAACAAGTTTCTGAGACGGCTTCTGTCTAGTTTTTATGGGAAGATATTTCCTTTTAACCATAGGCCTCAAAGAGCTCGAAATATCCACTTCCAGGTAGTGCCGAAAGAGTGTTTCAAACCTACTGTATAAAAGGGAATATTCAACTCTGTGACTTGAATGCAAACATCACAAAGCAGTTTCTGAGAATGCTTCCGTCTAGATTTTCTATGAAGATATTCCCGTTTCCAACGAAATCTTCAAAGCTATCTAAATATCAACTTGCAGATTCTACTAAAGGAATGTCTCCAAAATGCTGTATCCAAACAAAGGTTCAGCTCTGTGAATTGAGGACATACAGCACAAAGAAGTTTCTGAGAATGCTCCTGTCTGGATTTTATAGGAAGATAACCCGTTTCCAACGAAATCCTCAAAGCTATCCAAATATCCACTTGCAGATTCTACCAAAAGAGTGTTTCAAAACTACTCTGTCAAAAGGAAGGTTCAACACTGTTACTTGAGTACACACAACACAAAGAAGTTTCTGAGAATGCTTCTTTCTGGTTTTTATGAGAAGATATTTCCTTTTTCACCATAGGCCTCAAAGCGCTCGAAATGTCCACTTCCAGGTAGTGCAGAAAGAGTGTTTCAAACCTGCTCTATGAAAGGAAGTGTTCAACTCTACTGAGTTGAATGCAAACATCACAGAGATGTTTCCGAGAATGCTTCTGTCTTGATTTTATATGAAGATATTCCGGTTTCCAACGAAATCTTCAAAGCTATCCAAATATCCACCTGCAGATTCTACAAAAGGAGTGTTTCCAAAATGCTGTATCAAAACAAAGGTTCAACTCTGTTAGTTGAGGACACACATCACAAATAAGTTTCTGAGAATGCTTCTGTCTAGTTTTTATTTGAAGGTATTTCCTTTCTCTCCATAGGCCTGAAAGCGCTTGAAATGCCCACTTCCAGATACTAGAGAAAGAGTGTTTCAAACCTGCTCTATGAAAGGGAATGTTCAATTCTGTGACTTGAATGCAAACATCACAAAGAAGTTCCTGAGAATGCTTCTCTCTAGATATTATATGTCATCCCGTTTCCAACGAAATCCTCAAAGCTATCCAAATATCCACTTGCAGATTCTACAAAAAGAGTGTTTCAAAACTCCTCTGTCAAAAGGATGGTTCAACACTGTTACTTGAGTACACACAACACAAAGAAGTTTCTGAGAATGCTTCTTTCTGGTTTCTATGAGAAGATATTTCCTTTTTCACCATAGGACTCAAAGCGCTCGAAATGTCCTCTTCCAGGTAGTGCAGAAAGAGTGTTTCAAACCTGCTCTATGAAAGGAAGTGTACAACTCCATGAGCTGAATGCAAACATCACTGAGAAGTTTCTGAGAATGCTTCTGTTTGATTTTATATGAAGAAATTCCCGTTTCCAACGAAATCTTCAGAGCTATCCACCTATCCACCTGCAGATTCTACAAAAGGAGTGTTTCCAAAATGCTGTATCAAAACCAAGGTTCAACTCTGTTAGTTGAGGACACACATCACAAATAAGTTTCTGAGAATGCTTCTGTCTAGATTTTATATGAAGATATCCCCTTTCCAACGAATCCCTCTAAGCTATCCAAATATCCACCTGCAGATTCTACAAAAAGAGTGTTTCCAAAATGCTGTATCAAAACAAAGTTTCAAGTCTGTTAGTTGAGGACACACATCACAAATAAGTTTGAGGATGCTTCTGTCTAGTTTTTATTCGAAGATATTTCCTTTCTCACCATAGGCCTGAAAGCGCTTGAAATGTCCACTTCCAGATACTACAGAATGAGTGTTTCAAACCTGCTCTATCAAAGTGAATGTTCAATTCTGTGACTTCAATGCAAACATCACAAAGAAGTTCCTGAGAATGCTTCTCTCTAGATTTTATATGTAATCCCGCTTCCAACGAAATCCTCAAAGCCAACCGAATATCCACTTTCTGATTCCACAAAAAGATTGTTTTAAAACTGCTCTGAAAAAAAAAAAAGTCAAGTCTGTTAGTTGAATACACACATCACAAACAAGTTTCTGAGAATGCTTCTGTCTAGTTTTTATGGGAAGATATTTCCTTTTTCACCATAGGCCTCAAAGCGCTCGAAATGTCCACTTCCAGATAGTGCAGAAAGAGTGTTTCAAACGTGCTCCATAAAAGAGAATATTCAACTCTGTGACTTGAATGGAAACATCACAAAGCAGTTTCTGAGAATGCCTCCGTCTAGATTTTATATGAAGATATTCCCGTTTCCAACGAAATCTTCAAATCTATCTAAATATCAACTTGCAGATTCTACTAAAGGAATGTTTCCAAAATGCTGTATCCAAGCAATGGTTCAACTCTGTTAATTGAGGACATACAGCACAAAGAAGTTTCTGAGAATGCTTCTGTCTAGATTTTATATGAAGATATCCCGTTTCCAACGAAATCCTCAAAGCTATCCAAATATCCACTTGCAGATTCTACAAAAAGATTGTTTCAAAACTGCTGTGTCAAAAGGAAGGTTCAACCCTGTTACTTGAGTACACACATCAAAAAGAAGTTTCTGAGAATGCTTGTTTCTGGTTTTTATGAGAAGATATTTCCTTTTTCACCATAGGCCTCAAAGCGCTGCAAATGTCCACTTCCAAATATTACAAAAAGTGTGTTTCAAACCTGCTCTATGAAAGGAAGTTTTCAACTCTATGAGTGGAATGCAAACATCACAGAGAAGTTTCTGAGAATACATCTGTCTTGAGTTTATATGAAGAAATTCCCGTTTCCAACGAAATCTTAAAATCTATCCAAATATCCACCTGCAGATTCTACAAAAGGCGTGTTTCCAAAATGCTGTATCAAAACAAAGGTTCAACTGTGTTCGTTTAGGACACACATCACCAATAAGTTTCTGAGAATCCTTCTGTCTAGTTTTTATTTGAAGATATTTCCTTTCTCCCCATAGGCCTGAAAGCGCTTGAAATGTCCACTTCCAGATACTACAGAAAGAGTGTTTCAAACCTGCACTATGAAAAGGAATGTTCAATTCTGTGACTTGAATGCAAACATCAGAAAGAAGTTCCTGAGAATGCTTCTCTCTAGATTTTATACGTCATCCCGTTTCCAACGAAATCCACAAAGCTATCCAATTATCCACTTTCAGATTCCACAAAAAGAGTGTTTTAAAACTGCTCTCTAAAAAGAAATGTTCAACGCTCTTAGTTGAATACACACATCTCAAACAAGTTTCTGAGAAGGCTTCTGTCTAGTTTTTATGGGAAGATATTTCCTTTTAACCATAGGCCTCAAAGAGCTCGAAATATCCACTTCCAGGTAGTGCCGAAAGAGTGTTTCAAACCTACTCTATAAAAGGGAATATTCAACTCCGTGACTTGAATGCAAACATCACAAAGCAGTTTCTGAGAATGCTTCCGTCTAGATTTTCTATGAAGATATTCCCGTTTCCAACGAAATCTTCAAAGCTATCTAAATATCAACTTGCAGATTCTACTAAAGGAATGTCTCCAAAATGCTGTATCCAAACAAAGGTTCAGCTCTGTGAATTGAGGACATACAGCACAAAGAAGTTTCTGAGAATGTTCCTGTCTGGATTTTATATGAAGATAACCCGTTTCCAACGAATTCCTCAAAGCTATCCAAATATCCACTTGCAGATTCTACCAAAAGAGTGTTTCAAAACTGCTCTGTCAAAAGGAAGGTTCAACACTGTTACTTGAGTACACACAACACAAAGAAGTTTCTGAGAATGCTTGTTTCTGGTTTTTATGAGAAGATATTTCCTTTTTCACCATAGGCCTCAAAGCGCTCGAAATGTCCACTTCCAGGTAGTGCAGAAAGAGTGTTTCAAACCTGCTCTATGAAAGGAAGTGTTCAACTCTACTGAGTTGAATGCAAACATCACAGAGATGTTTCCGAGAATGCTTCTGTCTTGATTTTATATGAAGATATTCCGGTTTCCAACGAAATCTTCAAAGCTATCCAAATATCCACCTGCAGATTCTACAAAAGGAGTGTTTCCAAAATGCTGTATCAAAACAAAGGTTCAACTCTGTTAGTTGAGGACACACATCACAAATAAGTTTCTGAGAATGCTTCTGTCTAGTTTTTATTTGAAGGTATTTCCTTTCTCTCCATAGGCCTGAAAGCGCTTGAAATGCCCACTTCCAGATACTAGAGAAAGAGTGTTTCAAACCTGCTCTATGAAAGGGAATGTTCAATTCTGTGACTTGAATGCAAACATCACAAAGAAGTTCCTGAGAATGCTTCTCTCTAGATATTATATGTCATCCCGTTTCCAACGAAATCCTCAAAGCTATCCAAATATCCACTTGCAGATTCTACAAAAAGAGTGTTTCAAAACTGCTCTGTCAAAAGGATGGTTCAACACTGTTACATGAGTACACACAACACAAAGAAGTTTCTGAGAATGCTTCTTTCTGGTTTCTATGAGAAGATATTTCCTTTTTCACCATAGGACTCAAAGCGCTCGAAATGTCCTCTTCCAGGTAGTGCAGAAAGAGTGTTTCAAACCGGCTCTATGAAAGGAAGTGTTCAACTCCATGAACTGAATGCAAACATCACTGAGAAGTTTCTGAGAATGCTTCTGTTTGATTTTATATGAAGAAATTCCCGTTTCCAACGAAATCTTCAGAGCTATCCACATATCCACCTGCAGATTCTACAAAAGGAGTGTTTCCAAAATGCTGTATCAAAACCAAAGTTCAACTCTGTTAGTTGAGGACACACATCACAAATAAGATTCTGAGAATGCTTCTGTCTAGATTCTATATGAAGATATCCCCTTTCCAACGAATCCCTCTAAGCTATCCAAATATCCACCTGCAGATTCTACAAAAAGAGTGTTTCCAAAATGCTGTATCAAAACAAAGTTTCAACTCTGTTAGTTGAGGACACACATCACAAATAAGTTTGAGGATGCTTCTGTCTAGTTTTTATTCGAAGATATTTCCTTTCTCACCATAGGCCTGAAAGCGCTTGAAATGTCCACTTCCAGATACTACAGAATGAGTGTTTCAAACCTGCTCTATCAAAGTGAATGTTCAATTCTGTGACTTCAATGCAAACATCACAAAGAAGTTCCTGAGAATGCTTCTCTCTAGATTTTATATGTAATCCCGCTTCCAACGAAATCCTCAGAGCCATCCGAATATCCACTTTCTGATTCCACAAAAAGAGTGTTTTAAAACGGCTCTGTAAAAACAAAAGTTCAACTCTGTTAGTTGAATACACACATCACAAACAAGTTTCTGAGAATGCTTCTGTCTAGTTTTTATGGGAAGATATTTCCTTTTTCACCATAGGCCTCAAAGCGCTCGAAATGTCCACTTCCAGATAGTGCAGAAAGAGTGTTTCAAACGTGCTCTATAAAAGGGAATATTCAACTCTGTGACTTGAATGGAAACATCACAAAGCAGTTTCTGAGAATGCTTCCCTCTAGATTTTATATGGAGATATTCCCTTTTCCAAAGAAATCTTCAAATCTATCTAAATATCAACTTGCAGATTCTACTCAAGGAATGTTTCCAAAATGCTGTATCCAAGCAATGGTTCAACTCTGTTAATTGAGGACATACAGCACAAAGAAGTTTCTGAGAATGCTTCTGTCTAGATTTTATATGAAGATATCCCGTTTCCAACGAAATCCTCAAAGCTATCCAAATATCCACTTGCAGATTCTACAAAAAGATTGTTTCAAAACTGCTGTGTCAAAAGGAAGGTTCAACTCTGTTACTTGAGTACACACATCAAAAAGAAGTTTCTGAGAATGCTTGTTTCTGGTTTTTATGAGAAGATATTTCCTTTTTCACCATAGGCCTCAAAGCGCTGCAAATGTCCACTTCCAAATATTACAAAAAGAGTGTTTCAAACCTGCTCTATGAAAGGAAGTTTTCAACTCTATGAGTGGAATGCAAACATCACAGAGAAGTTTCTGAGAATGCATCTGTCTTGAGTTTATATGCAGAAATTCCCGTTTCCAACGAAATCTTAAAATCTATCCAAATATCCACCTGCAGATCCTACAAAAGGAGTGTTTCCAAAATGCTGTATCAAAACAAAGGTTCAACTGTGTTCGTTTAGGACACACATCACAAATAAGTTTCTGAGAATCCTTCTGTCTAGTTTTTATTTGAAGATATTTCCTTTCTCCCCGTAGGCCTGAAAGCGCTTGAAATGTCCACTTCCAGATACTACAGAAAGAGTGTTTCAAACCTGCACTCTGAAAAGGAATGTTCAATTCTGTGACTTGAATGCAAACATCAGAAAGAAGTTCCTGAGAATGCTTCTCTCTAGATTTTATACGTCATCCCGTTTCCAACGAAATCCACAAAGCTATCCAATTATCCACTTTCAGATTCCACAGAAAGAGTGTTTTAAAATTGCTCTGTAACAGAAATGTTCAACTCTGGTAGTTGAATACACACATCACAAACAAGTTTCTGAGACGGCTTCTGTCTAGTTTTTATGGGAAGATATTTCCTTTTAACCATAGGCCTCAAAGAGCTCGAAATATCCACTTCCAGGTAGTGCCGAAAGAGTGTTTCAAACCTACTCTATAAAAGGGAATATTCAACTCTGTGACTTGAATGCAAACATCACAAAGCAGTTTCTGAGAATGCTTCCGTCTAGATTTTCTATGAAGATATTCCCGTTTCCAACGAAATCTTCAAAGCTATCTAAATATCAACTTGCAGATTCTACTAAAGGAATGTCTCCAAAATGCTGTATCCAAACAAAGGTTCAGCTCTGTGAATTGAGGACATACAGCAAAAAGAAGTTTCTGAGAATGCTCCTGTCTGGATTTTATATGAAGATAACCCGTTTCCAACGAAATCCTCAAAGCTATCCAAATATCCACTTGCAGATTCTACCAAAAGAGTGTTTCAAAACTGCTCTGTCAAAAGGAAGGTTCAACACTGTTACTTGAGTACACACAACACAAAGAAGTTTCTGAGAATGCTTCTTTCTGGTTTTTATGAGAAGATATTTCCTTTTTCACCATAGGCCTCAAAGCGCCCGAAATGTCCGCTTCCAGGTAGGGCAGAAAGAGTGTTTCAAACCTGCTCTAGGAAAGGAAGTGTTCAACTCTACTGAGTTGAATGCAAACATCACAGAAATGTTTCCGAGAATGCTTCTGTCTTGATTTTATAGGAAGATATTCCGGTTTCCAACGAAATCTTCAAAGCTATCCAAATATCCACCTGCAGATTCTACAAAAGGAGTGTTTCCAAAATGCTGTATCAAAACAAAGGTTCAACTCTGTTAGTTGAGGACACACATCACAAATAAGTTTCTGAGAATGCTTCTGTCTAGTTTTTATTTGAAGGTATTTCCTTTCTCTCCATAGGCCTGAAAGCGCTTGAAATGCCCACTTCCAGATACTAGAGAAAGAGTGTTTCAAACCTGCTCTATGAAAGGGAATGTTCAATTCTGTGACTTGAATGCAAACATCACAAAGAAGTTCCTGAGAATGCTTCTCTCTAGATATTATATGTCATCCCGTTTCCAACGAAATCCTCAAAGCTATCCAAATATCCACTTGCAGATTCTACAAAAAGAGTGTTTCAAAACTGCTCTGTCAAAAGGATGGTTCAACACTGTTACATGAGTACACACAACACAAAGAAGTTTCTGTGAATGCTTCTTTCTGGTTTCTATGAGAAGATATTTCCTTTTTCACCATAGGACTCAAAGCGCTCGAAATGTCCTCTTCCAGGTAGTGCAGAAAGAGTGTTTCAAACCGGCTCTATGAAGGGAAGTGTTCAACTCCATGAACTGAATGCAAACATCACTGAGAAGTTTCTGAGAATGCTTCTGTTTGATTTTATATGAAGAAATTCCCGTTTCCAACGAAATCTTCAGAGCTATCCACATATCCACATGCAGATTCTACAAAAGGAGTGTTTCCAAAATGCTGTATCAAAACCAAGGTTCAACTCTGTTAGTTGAGGACACACATCACAAATAAGTTTCTGAGAATGCTTCTGTCTAGATTTTATATGAAGATATCCCCTTTCCAACGAATCCCTCTAAGCTATCCAAATATCCACCTGCAGATTCTACAAAAAGAGTGTTTCCAAAATGCTGTATCAAAACAAAGTTTCAACTCTGTTAGTTGAGGACACACATCACAAATAAGTTTCTGAGGATGCTTCTGTCTAGTTTTTATTCGAAGATATTTCCTTTCTCACCATAGGCCTGAAAGCGCTTGAAATGTCCACTTCCAGATACTACAGAATGAGTGTTTCAAACCTGCTCTATAAAAGTGAATGTTCAATTTCCGTGACTTCAATGCAAACATCAGAAAGAAGTTCCTGAGAATGCTTCTCTCTAGATTTTATATGTAATCCCGCTTCCAACGAAATCCTCAGAGCCATCCGAATATCCACTTTCTGATTCCACAAAAAAGGTGTTTTAAAACGGCTCTGTAAAAACAAAAGTTCAAGTCTGTTAGTTGAATACACACATCACAAACAAATTTCTGAGAATGCTTCTGTCTAGTTTTTATGGGAAGATATTTCCTTTTTCACCATAGGCCTCAAAGCGCTCGAAATGTCCACTTCCAGATAGTGCAGAAAGAGTGTTTCAAACGTGCTCTATAAAAGGGAATATTCAACTCTGTGACTTGAATGGAAACATCACAAAGCAGTTTCTGAGAATGCTTCCGTCTAGATTTTATATGAAGATATTCCCGTTTCCAACGAAATCGTCAAAGCTATCTAAATATCAACTTGCAGATTCTACTAAAGGAATGTTTCCAAAATGTTGTGTCCAAGCAATGGTTCAACTCTGTTAATTGAGGACATACAGCACAAAGAAGTTTCTGAGAATGCTCCTGTCTGGATTTTATATGAAGATATCCCGTTTCCAACGAACTCCTCAAAGCTATCCAAATATCCACTTGCAGATTCTACAAAAAGATTGTTTCAAAACTGCTGTGTCAATAGGAAGGTTCAACTCTGTTACTTGAGTACACACATCAAAAAGAAGTTTCTGAGAATGCTTGTTTCTGGTTTTTATGAGAAGAATATTTCCTTTTTCACCATAGGCCTCAAAGCGCTGCAAATGTCCACTTCCAAATATTACAAAAAGAGTGTTTCAAACGTGCTCTATGAAAGGAAGTTTTCAACTCTATGAGTGGAATGCAAACATCACAGAGAAGTTTCGGAGAATGCATCTGTCTTGAGCGTCTATGAAGAAATTCCCGTTTCCAACGAAATCTTAAAATCTATCCAAATATCCACCTGCAGATCCTACAAAAGGAGTGTTTCCAAAATGCTGTATCAAAACAAAGGTTCAACTGTGTTCGTTTAGGACACACATCACAAATAAGTTTCTGAGAATCCTTCTGTCTAGTTTTTATTTGAAGATATTTCCTTTCTCCCCGTAGGCCTGAAAGCGCTTGAAATGTCCACTTCCAGATACTACAGAAAGAGTGTTTCAAACCTGCACTCTGAAAAGGAATGTTCAATTCTGTGACTTGAATGCAAACATCAGAAAGAAGTTCCTGAGAATGCTTCTCTCTAGATTTTATACGTCATCCCGTTTCCAACGAAATCCACAAAGCTATCCAATTATCCACTTTCAGATTCCACAAAGAGTGTTTTTAAATTGCTCTGTAACAGAAATGTTCAACTCTGTTAGTTGAATACACACATCACAAACAAGTTTCTGAGACGGCTTCTGTCTAGTTTTTATGGGAAGATATTTCCTTTTAACCATAGGCCTCAAAGAGCTCGAAATATCCACTTCCAGGTAGTGCCGAAAGAGTGTTTCAAACCTACTCTATAAAAGGGAATATTCAACTCTGTGACTTGAATGCAAACATCACAAAGCAGTTTCTGAGAATGCTTCCGTCTAGATTTTCTATGAAGATATTCCCGTTTCCAACGAAATCTTCAAAGCTATCTAAATATCAACTTGCAGATTCTACTAAAGGAATGTCTCCAAAATGCTGTATCCAAACAAAGGTTCAGCTCTGTGAATTGAGGACATACAGCACAAAGAAGTTTCTGAGAATGCTCCTGTCTGGATTTTATAGGAAGATAACCCGTTTCCAACGAAATCCTCAAAGCTATCCAAATATCCACTTGCAGATTCTACCAAAAGAGTGTTTCAAAACTGCTCTGTCAAAAGGAAGGTTCAACACTGTTACTTGAGTACACACAACACAAAGAAGTTTCTGAGAATGCTTCTTTCTGGTTTTTATGAGAAGATATTTCCTTTTTCACCATAGGCCTCAAAGCGCTCGAAATGTCCGCTTCCAGGTAGTGCAGAAAGAGTGTTTCAAACCTGCTCTATGAAAGGAAGTGTTCAACTCTACTGAGTTGAATGCAAACATCACAGAGATGTTTCCGAGAATGCTTCTGTCTTGATTTTATATGAAGATATTCCGGTTTCCAACGAAATCTTCAAAGCTATCCAAATATCCACCTGCAGATTCTACAAAAGGAGTGTTTCCAAAATGCTGTATCAAAACAAAGGTTCAACTCTGTTAGTTGAGGACACACATCACAAATAAGTTTCTGAGAATGCTTCTGTCTAGTTTTTATTTGAAGGTATTTCCTTTCTCTCCATAGGCCTGAAAGCGCTTGAAATGCCCACTTCCAGATACTAGAGAAAGAGTGTTTCAAACCTGCTCTATGAAAGGGAATGTTCAATTCTGTGACTTGAATGCAAACATCACAAAGAAGTTCCTGAGAATGCTTCTCTCTAGATATTATATGTCATCCCGTTTCCAACGAAATCCTCAAAGCTATCCAAATATCCACTTGCAGATTCTACAAAAAGAGTGTTTCAAAACTCCTCTGTCAAAAGGATGGTTCAACACTGTTACATGAGTACACACAACACAAAGAAGTTTCTGAGAATGCTTCTTTCTGGTTTCTATGAGAAGATATTTCCTTTTTCACCATAGGACTCAAAGCGCTCGAAATGTCCTCTTCCAGGTAGTGCAGAAAGAGTGTTTCAAACCTGCTCTATGAAAGGAAGTGTACAACTCCATGAGCTGAATGCAAACATCACTGAGAAGTTTCTGAGAATGCTTCTGTTTGATTTTATATGAAGAAATTACCGTTTCCAACGAAATCTTCAGAGCTATCCACATATCCACCTGCAGATTCTACAAAAGGAGTGTTTCCAAAATGCTGTATCAAAACCAAGGTTCAACTCTGTTAGTTGAGGACACACATCACAAATAAGTTTCTGAGAATGCTTCTGTCTAGATTTTATATGAAGATATCCCCTTTCCAACGAATCCCTCTAAGCTATCAAAATATCCACCTGCAGATTCTACAAAAAGAGTGTTTCCAAAATGCTGTATCAAAACAAAGTTTCAACTCTGTTAGTTGAGGACACACATCACAAATAAGTTTCTGAGGATGCTTCTGTCTAGTTTTTATTCGAAGATATTTCCTTTCTCACCATAGGCCTGAAAGCGCTTGAAATGTCCACTTCCAGATCCTACAGAATGAGTGTTTCAAACCTGCTCTATCAAAGTGAATGTTCAATTCTGTGACTTCAATGCAAACATCACAAAGAAGTTCCTGAGAATGCTTCTCTCTAGATTTTATACGTAATCCCGCTTCCAACGAAATCCTCAGAGCCATCCGAATATCCACTTTCTGATTCCACAAAAAGAGTGTTTTAAAACGGCTCTGTAAAAACAAAAGTTCAACTCTGTTAGTTGAATACACACATCACAAACAAGTTTTCTGAGAATGCTTCCGTCTAGTTTTTATGGGAAGATATTTCCTTTTTCACCATAGGCCTCAAAGCACTCGAAATCTCCACTTCCAGGGAGTGCAGAAAGAGTGTTTCAAACCTGCTCTGTAAAAGAATATTTAACTCTGTGACTTGAATGCAAACATCACAAAGCAGTTTCTGACAATGCTTCCGTCTAGATTTTTTATGAAGATATTCCCGTTTCCAACGAAATCTTCAAAGCTATCTAAATATCAACTTGCAGATTCTACTAAAGGAATGTTTCCAAAATGCTGTATCCAAGCAATGGTTCAACTCTGTTAATTGAGGACATACAGCACAAAGAAGTTTCTGAGAATGCTTCTGTCTAGATTTTATATGAAGATATCCCATTTCCAACGAAATCCTCAAAGCTATCCAAATATCCACTTGCAGATTCTACAAAAAGATTGTTTCAAAACTGCTCTGTCAAAAGGATGGTTCAACACTGTTACATGAGTACACACAACACAAAGAAGTTTCTGAGAACGCTTCTTTCTGGTTTTTATGAGAAGATATTTCCTTTTTCACCATAAGCCTCAAAGCGCTCGAAATGTCCACTTCCTGGTAGTGCAGAAAGAGTTTTTCAAACCTGCTCTATGAAAGGAAGTGTTCAACTCCATGAGCTGAATGCAAACATCACAGAGAAGTTTCTGAGAATGCTTCTGTTTGATTTTATATGAAGAAATTCCCGTTTCCAACGAAATCTTCAGTAGCTATCCACATATCCACCTGCAGATTCTACAAAAGGAGTGTTTCCAAAATGCTGTATCAAAACCAAGGTTCAACTCTGTTAGTTGAGGACACACATCACAAATAAGTTTCTGAGAATGCTTCTGTCTAGATTTTATATGAAGATATCCCCTTTCCAACGAATCCCTCTAAGCTATCCAAATATCCACCTGCAGATTCTACAAAAAGAGTGTTTCCAAAATGCTGTATCAAAACAAAGTTTCAACTCTGTTAGTTGAGGACACACATCACAAATAAGTTTGAGGATGCTTCTGTCTAGTTTTTATTCGAAGATATTTCCTTTCTCACCATAGGCCTGAAAGCGCTTGAAATGTCCACTTCCAGATACTACAGAATGAGTGTTTCAAACCTGCTCTATCAAAGTGAATGTTCAATTCTGTGACTTCAATGCAAACATCACAAAGAAGTTCCTGAGAATGCTTCTCTCTAGATTTTATACGTAATCCCGCTTCCAACGAAATCCTCAGAGCCATCCGAATATCCACTTTCTGATTCCACAAAAAGAGTGTTTTAAAACGGCTCTGTAAAAACAAAAGTTCAACTCTGTTAGTTGAATACACACATCACAAACAAGTTTCTGAGAATGCTTCTGTCTAGTTTTTATGGGAAGATATTTCCTTTTTCACCATAGGCCTCAAAGCGCTCGAAATGTCCGCTTCCAGATAGTGCAGAAAGAGTGTTTCAAACGTGCTCTATAAAAGGGAATATTCAACTCTGTGACTTGAATGGAAACATCACAAAGCAGTTTCTGAGAATGCTTCCCTCTAGATTTTATATGGAGATATTCCGTTTTCGAACGAAATCTTCAAATCTATCTAAATATCAACTTGCAGATTCTACTCAAGGAATGTTTCCAAAATGCTGTATGCAAGCAATGGTTCAACTCTGTTAATTGAGGTCATACAGCACAAAGAAGTTTCTGAGAATGCTTCTGTCTAGATTTTATATGAAGATATCCCGTTTCCAACGAAATCCTCAAATCTATCCAAATATCCACTTGCAGATTCTACAAAAAGATTGTTTCAAAACTGCTGTGTCAAAAGGAAGGTTCAACTCTGTTACTTGAGTACACACATCAAAAAGAAGTTTCTGAGAATGCTTGTTTCTGGTTTTTATGAGAAGATATTTCCTTTTTCACCATAGGCCTCAAAGCGCTGCAAATGTCCACTTCCAAATATTACAAAAAGAGTGTTTCAAACCTGCTCTATGAAAGGAAGTTTTCAACTCTATGAGTGGAATGCAAACATCACAGAGAAGTTTCTGAGAATGCATCTGTCTTGAGTTTATATGAAGAAATTCCCGTTTCCAACGAAATCTTAAAATCTATCCAAATATCCACCTGCAGATTCTACAAAGGGAGTGTTTCCAAAATGCTGTATCAAAACAAAGGTTCAACTGTGTTCGTTTAGGACACACATCACCAATAAGTTTCTGAGAATCCTTCTGTCTAGTTTTTATTTGAAGATATTTCCTTTCTCCCCATAGGCCTGAAAGCGCTGGAAATGTCCACTTCCAGATACTACAGAAAGAGTGTTTCAAACCTGCACTATGAAAAGGAATGTTCAATTCTGTGACTTGAATGCAAACATCAGAAAGAAGTTCCTGAGAATGCTTCTCTCTAGATTTTATACGTCATCCCGTTTCCAACGAAATCCACAAAGCTATCCAATTATCCACTTTCAGATTCCACAAAAGAGTGTTTTAAAACTGCTCTGTAAAAAGAAATGTTCAACGCTCTTAGTTGAATACACACATCTCAAACAAGTTTCTGAGAAGGCTTCCGTCTAGTTTTTATGGGAAGATATTTCCTTTTTCACCATAGGCCTCAAAGCGCTCGAAATCTCCACTTCCAGGGAGTGCAGAAAGAGTGTTTCAAACCTGCTCTGTAAAAGAATATTTAACTCTGTGACTTGAATGCAAACATCACAAAGCAGTTTCTGACAATGCTTCCGTCTAGATTTTTTATGAAGATATTCCCGTTTCCAACGAAATCTTCAAAGCTATCTAAATATCAACTTGCAGATTCTACTAAAGGAATGTTTCCAAAATGCTGTATCCAAACAAAGGTTCAACTCTGTGAATTGAGGACATACAGCACAAAGAAGTTTCTGAAAATGCTTCTGTCTAGATTTAATATGAAGATAACCCGTTTCCAACGAAATCCTCAAAGCTATCCAAATATCCACTTGCAGATTCTACAAAAAGAGTGTTTCAAAACTGCTCTGTCAAAAGGATGCTTCAACACTGTTACATGAGTACACACAACACAAAGAAGTTTCTGAGAACGCTTCTTTCTGGTTTTTATGAGAAGATATTTCCTTTTTCACCATAGGCCTCAAAGCGCTGGAAATGTCCACTTCCTGGTAGTGCAGAAAGAGTGTTTCAAACCTGCTCTATGAAAGGAAGTGTTCAACTCCATGAGCTGAATGCAAACATCACAGAGAAGTTTCTGAGAATGCTTCTGTTTGATTTTATATGAAGAAATTCCCGTTTCCAACGAAATCTTCAAAGCTATCCACATATCCACCTGCAGATTCTACAAAAGGAGTGTTTCCAAAATGCTGTATCAAAACCAAGGTTCCACTCTGTTAGTTGAGGACACACATCACAAATAAGTTTCTGAGAATGCTTCTGTCTAGATTTTATATGAAGATATCCCCTTTCCAACGAATCCCTCTAAGCTATCCAAATATCCACCTGCAGATTCTACAAAAAGAGTGTTTCCAAAATGCTGTATCAAAACAAAGTTTCAACTCTGTTAGTTGAGGACACACATCACAAATAAGTTTCTGAGAATGCTTCTGTCTAGTTTTAATTTGAAGATATTTCCTTTCTCCCCATAGGCCTGAAAGCACTTGAAATGTCCACTTCCAGATACTACAGAATGAGTGTTTCAAACCTGCTCTATCAAAGTGAATGTTCAATTCTGTGACTTCAATGCAAACATCACAAAGTAGTTCCTGAGAATGCTTCTCTCTAGATTTTATACGTAATCCCGCTTCCAACGAAATCCTCAGAGCCATCCGAATATCCACTTTCTGATTCCACAAAAAGAGTGTTTTAAAACGGCTCTGCAAAAACAAAAGTTCAACTCTGTTAGTTGAATACACACATCACAAACAAGTTTCTGAGAATGCTTCTGTCTAGTTTTTATGGGAAGATATTTCCTTTTTCACCATAGGCCTCAAAGCGCTCGAAATGTCCACTTCCAGATAGTGCAGAAAGAATGTTTCAAACGTGCTCTATAAAAGGGAATATTCAACTCTGTGACTTGAATGGAAACATCACAAAGCAGTTTCTGAGAATGCTTCCCTCTAGATTTTATATGGAGATATTCCCTTTTCCAACGAAATCTTCAAATCTATCTAAATATCAACTTGCAGATTCTACTCAAGGAATGTTTCCAAAATGCTGTATCCAGGCAATGGTTCAACTCTGTTAATTGAGGACATACAGCACAAAGAAGTTTCTGAGAATGCTTCTGTCTAGATTTTATATGAAGATATCCCGTTTCCAACGAAATCCTCAAAGCTATCCAAATATCCACTTGCAGATTCTACAAAAAGATTGTTTCAAAACTGCTGTGTCAAGAGGAAGGTTCAACTCTGTTACTTGAGTACACACATCAAAAAGAAGTTTCTGAGAATGCTTGTTTCTGGTTTTTATGAGAAGATATTTCCTTTTTCACCATAGGCCTCAAAGCGCTGCAAATGTCCACTTCCAAATATTACAAAAAGAGTGTTTCAAACCTGCTCTATGAAAGGAAGTTTTCAACTCTATGAGTGGAATGCAAACATCACAGAGAAGTTTCTGAGAATGCATCTGTCTTGAGCTTCTATGAAGAAATTCCCGTTTCCAACGAAATCTTAAAATCTATCCAAATATCCACCTGCAGATCCTACAAAAGGAGTGTTTCCAAAATGCTGTATCAAAACAAAGGTTCAACTGTGTTCGTTTAGGACACATATCACAAATAAGTTTCTGAGAATCCTTCTGTCTAGTTTTTATTTGAAGATATTTCCTTTCTCCCCGTAGGCCTGAAAGCGCTTGAAATGTCCACTTCCAGATACTACAGAAAGAGTGTTTCAAACCTGCACTCTGAAAAGGAATGTTCAATTCTGTGACTTGAATGCAAACATCAGAAAGAAGTTCCTGAGAATGCTTCTCTCTAGATTTTATACGTCATCCCGTTTCCAACGAAATCCACAAAGCTATCCAATTATCCACTTTCAGATTCCACAAAGAGTGTTTTAAAATTGCTCTGTAACAGAAATGTTCAACTCTGTTAGTTGAATACACACATCACAAACAAGTTTCTGAGACGGCTTCTGTCTAGTTTTTATGGGAAGATATTTCCTTTTAACCATAGGCCTCAAAGAGCTCGAAATATCCACTTCCAGGTAGTGCCGAAAGAGTGTTTCAAACCTACTCTATAAAAGGGATTATTCAACTCTGTGACTTGAATGCAAACATCACAAAGCAGTTTCTGAGAATGCTTCCGTCTAGATTTTCTATGAAGATATTCCCGTTTCCAACGAAATCTTCAAAGCTATCTAAATATCAACTTGCAGATTCTACTAAAGGAATGTCTCCAAAATGCTGTATCCAAACAAAGGTTCAGCTCTGTGAATTGAGGACATACAGCACAAAGAAGTTTCTGAGAATGCTCCTGTCTGGATTTTATAGGAAGATAACCCGTTTCCAATGAAATCCTCAAAGCTATCCAAATATCCACTTGCAGATTCTACCAAAAGAGTGTTTCAAAACTACTCTGTCAAAAGGAAGGTTCAACACTGTTACTTGAGTACACACAACACAAAGAAGTTTCTGAGAATGCTTCTTTCTGGTTTTTATGAGAAGATATTTCCTTTTTCACCATAGGCCTCAAAGCGCTCGAAATGTCCGCTTCCAGGTAGTGCAGAAAGAGTGTTTCAAACCTGCTCTATGAAAGGAAGTGTTCAACTCTACTGAGTTGAATGCAAACATCACAGAGATGTTTCCGAGAATGCTTCTGTCTTGATTTTATATGAAGATATTCCGGTTTCCAACGAAATCTTCAAAGCTATCCAAATATCCACCTGCAGATTCTACAAAAGGAGTGTTTCCAAAATGCTGTATCAAAACAAAGGTTCAACTCTGTTAGTTGAGGACACACATCACAAATAAGTTTCTGAGAATGCTTCTGTCTAGTTTTTATTTGAAGGTATTTCCTTTCTCTCCATAGGCCTGAAAGCGCTTGAAATGCCCACTTCCAGATACTAGAGAAAGAGTGTTTCAAACCTGCTCTATGAAAGGGAATGTTCAATTCTGTGACTTGAATGCAAACATCACAAAGAAGTTCCTGAGAATGCTTCTCTCTAGATTTTATACGTAATCCCGCTTCCAACGAAATCCTCAGAGCCATCCGAATATCCACTTTCTGATTCCACAAAAAGAGTGTTTTAAAACGGCTCTGTAAAAACAAAAGTTCAACTCTGTTAGTTGAATACACACATCACAAACAAGTTTCTGAGAATGCTTCTGTCTAGTTTTTATGGGAAGATATTTCCTTTTTCACCATAGGCCTCAAAGCGCTCGAAATGTCCGCTCCAGATAGTGCAGAAAGAGTGTTTCAAACGTGCTCTATGAAAGGAAGTTTTCAACTCTATGAGTGGAATGCAAACATCACAGAGAAGTTTCTGAGAATGCATCTGTCTTGAGCTTCTATGAAGAAATTCCCGTTTCCAACGAAATCTTAAAATCTATCCAAATATCCACCTGCAGATCCTACAAAAGGAGTGTTTCCAAAATGCTGTATCAAAACAAAGGTTCAACTGTGTTCGTTTAGGACACACATCACAAATAAGTTTCTGAGAATCCTTCTGTCTAGTTTTTATTTGAAGATATTTCCTTTCTCCCCGTAGGCCTGAAAGCGCTTGAAATGTCCACTTCCAGATACTACAGAAAGAGTGTTTCAAACCTGCACTCTCAAAAGGAATGTTCAATTCTTTGACTTGAATGCAAACATCAGAAAGAAGTTCCTGAGAATGCTTCTCTCTAGATTTTATTCGTAATCCCGTTTCCAACGAAATCCACAAAGCTATCCAGTTATCCACTTTCAGATTCCACAAAAACAGTGTTTTAAAACTGCTCTGTAAAAAGAAATGTTCAACGCTCTTAGTTGAATACACACATCTCAAACAAGTTTCTGAGAAGGCTTCTGTCTAGTTTTTATGGGAAGATATTTCCTTTTAACCATAGGCCTCAAAGAGCTCGAAATATCCACTTCCAGGTAGTGCCGAAAGAGTGTTTCAAACCTACTCTATAAAAGGGAATATTCAACTCTGTGACTTGAATGCAAACATCACAAAGCAGTTTCTGAGAATGCTTCCGTCTAGATTTTCTATGAAGATATTCCCGTTTCCAACGAAATCTTCAAAGCTATCTAAATATCAACTTGCAGATTCTACTAAAGGAATGTCTCCAAAATGCTGTATCCAAACAAAGGTTCAGCTCTGTGAATTGAGGACATACAGCACAAAGAAGTTTCTGAGAATGCTCCTGTCTGGATTTTATATGAAGATAACCCGTTTCCAACGAAATCCTCAAAGCTCTCCAAATATCCACTTGCAGATTCTACCAAAAGAGTGTTTCAAAACTACTCTGTCAAAAGGAAGGTTCAACACTGTTACTTGAGTACACACAACACAAAGAAGTTTCTGAGAATGCTTCTTTCTGGTTTTTATGAGAAGATATTTCCTTTTTCACCATAGGCCTCAAAGCGCTCGAAATGTCCACTTCCAGGTAGTGCAGAAAGAGTGTTTCAAACCTGCTCTATGAAAGGAAGTGTTCAACTCTACTGAGTTGAATGCAAACATCACAGAGATGTTTCCGAGAATGCTTCTGTCTTGATTTTATATGAAGATATTCCGGTTTCCAACGAAATCTTCAAAGCTATCCAAATATCCACCTGCAGATTCTACAAAAGGAGTGTTTCCAAAATGCTGTATCAAAACAAAGGTTCAACTCTGTTAGTTGAGGACACACATCACAAATAAGTTTCTGAGAATGCTTCTGTCTAGTTTTTATTTGAAGGTATTTCCTTTCTCTCCATAGGCCTGAAAGCGCTTGAAATGCCCACTTCCAGATACTAGAGAAAGAGTGTTTCAAACCTGCTCTATGAAAGGGAATGTTCAATTCTGTGACTTGAATGCAAACATCACAAAGAAGTTCCTGAGAATTCTTCTCTCTAGATATTATATGTCATCCCGTTTCCAACGAAATCCTCAAAGCTATCCAAATATCCACTTGCAGATTCTACCAAAAGAGTGTTTCAAAACTACTCTGTCAAAAGGAAGGTTCAACACTGTTACTTGAGTACACACAACACAAAGAAGTTTCTGAGAATGCTTCTTTCTGGTTTTTATGAGAAGATATTTCCTTTTTCACCATAGGCCTCAAAGCGCTCGAAATGTCCGCTTCCAGGTAGTGCAGAAAGAGTGTTTCAAACCTGCTCTATGAAAGGAAGTGTTCAACTCTACTGAGTTGAATGCAAACATCACAGAGATGTTTCCGAGAATGCTTCTGTCTTGATTTTATATGAAGATATTCCGGTTTCCAACGAAATCTTCAAAGCTATCCAAATATCCACCTGCAGATTCTACAAAAGGAGTGTTTCCAAAATGCTGTATCAAAACAAAGGTTCAACTCTGTTAGTTGAGGACACACATCACAAATAAGTTTCTGAGAATGCTTCTGTCTAGTTTTTATTTGAAGGTATTTCCTTTCTCTCCATAGGCCTGAAAGCGCTTGAAATGCCCACTTCCAGATACTAGAGAAAGAGTGTTTCAAACCTGCTCTATGAAAGGGAATGTTCAATTCTGTGACTTGAATGCAAACATCACAAAGAAGTTCCTGAGAATGCTTCTCTCTAGATATTATATGTCATCCCGTTTCCAACGAAATCCTCAAAGCTATCCAAATATCCACTTGCAGATTCTACAAAAAGAGTGTTTCAAAACTGCTCTGTCAAAAGGATGGTTCAACACTGTTACATGAGTACACACAACACAAAGAAGTTTCTGAGAATGCTTCTTTCTGGTTTCTATGAGAAGATATTTCCTTTTTCACCATAGGACTCAAAGCGCTCGAAATGTCCTCTTCCAGGTAGTGCAGAAAGAGTGTTTCAAACCTGCTCTATGAAAGGAAGTGTACAACTCCATGAGCTGAATGCAAACATCACTGAGAAGTTTCTGAGAATGCTTCTGTTTGATTTTATATGAAGAAATTCCCGTTTCCAACGAAATCTTCAGAGCTATCCACATATCCACCTGCAGATTCTACAAAAGGAGTGTTTCCAAAATGCTGTATCAAAACCAAGGTTCAACTCTGTTAGTTGAGGACACACATCACAAATAAGTTTCTGAGAATGCTTCTGTCTAGATTTTATATGAAGATATCCCCTTTCCAACGAATCCCTCTAAGCTATCCAAATATCCACCTGCAGATTCTACAAAAAGAGTGTTTCCAAAATGCTGTATCAAAACAAAGTTTCAACTCTGTTAGTTGAGGACACACATCACAAATAAGTTTGAGGATGCTTCTGTCTAGTTTTTATTCGAAGATATTTCCTTTCTCACCATAGGCCTGAAAGCGCTTGAAATGTCCACTTCCAGATACTACAGAATGAGTGTTTCAAACCTGCTCTATCAAAGTGAATGTTCAATTCTGTGACTTCAATGCAAACATCACAAAGAAGTTCCTGAGAATGCTTCTCTCTAGATTTTATACGTAATCCCGCTTCCAACGAAATCCTCAGAGCCATCCGAATATCCACTTTCTGATTCCACAAAAAGAGTGTTTTAAAACGGCTCTGTAAAAACAAAAGTTCAACTCTGTTAGTTGAATACACACATCACAAACAAGTTTCTGAGAATGCTTCTGTCTAGTTTTTATGGGAAGATATTTCCTTTTTCACCATAGGCCTCAAAGCGCTCGAAATGTCCGCTTCCAGATAGTGCAGAAAGAGTGTTTCAAACGTGCTCTATAAAAGGGAATATTCAACTCTGTGACTTGAATGGAAACATCACAAAGCAGTTTCTGAGAATGCTTCCGTCTAGATTTTATATGAAGATATTCCCGTTTCCAACGAAATCTTCAAATCTATCTAAATATCAACTTGCAGATTCTACTAAAGGAATGTTTCCAAAATGCTGTATCCAAGCAATGGTTCAACTCTGTTAATTGAGGACATACAGCACAAAGAAGTTTGCTGAGAATGCTTCTGTCTAGATTTTATATGAAGATATCCCGTTTCCAACGAAATCCTCAAAGCTATCCAAATATCCACTTGCAGATTCTACAAAAAGATTGTTTCAAAACTGCTGTGTCAAAAGGAAGGTTCAACTCTGTTACTTGAGTACACACATCAAAAAGAAGTTTCTGAGAATGCTTGTTTCTGGTTTTTATGAGAAGATATTTCCTTTTTCACCATAGGCCTCAAAGCGCTGCAAATGTCCACTTCCACATATTACAAAAAGAGTGTTTCAAACCTGCTCTATGAAAGGAAGTTTTCAACTCTATGAGTGGAATGCAAACATCACAGAGAAGTTTCTGAGAATGCATCTGTCTTGAGTTTATATGCAGAAATTCCCGTTTCCAACGAAATCTTAAAATCTATCCAAATATCCACCTGCAGATCCTACAAAAGGAGTGTTTCCAAAATGCTGTATCAAAACAAAGGTTCAACTGTGTTCGTTTAGGACACACATCACAAATAAGTTTCTGAGAATCCTTCTGTCTGGTTTTTATTTGAAGAGATTTCCTTTCTCCCCGTAGGCCTGAAAGCGCTTGAAATGTCCACTTCCAGATACTACAGAAAGAGTGTTTCAAACCTGCACTCTGAAAAGGAATGTTCAATTCTGTGACTTGAATGCAAACATCAGAAAGAAGTTCCTGAGAATGCTTCTCTCTAGATTTTATACGTCATCCCGTTTCCAACGAAATCCACAAAGCTATCCAATTATCCACTTTCAGATTCCACAAAAAGAGTGTTTTAAAATTGCTCTGTAACAGAAATTTTCAACTCTGTTAGTTGAATACACACATCACAAACAAGTTTCTGAGACGGCTTCTGTCTAGTTTTTATGGGAAGATATTTCCTTTTAACCATAGGCCTCAAAGAGCTCGAAATATCCACTTCCAGGTAGTGCCGAAAGAGTGTTTCAAACCTACTCTATAAAAGGGAATATTCAACTCTGTGACTTGAATGCAAACATCACAAAGCAGTTTCTGAGAATGCTTCCGTCTAGATTTTCTATGAAGATATTCCCGTTTCCAACGAAATCTTCAAAGCTATCTAAATATCAACTTGCAGATTCTACTCAAGGAATGTTTCCAAAATGCTGTATCCAAGCAATGGTTCAACTCTGTTAATTGAGGACATACAGCACAAACAAGTTTCTGAGAATGCTTCTGTCTAGATTTTATATGAAGATATCCCGTTTCCAACGAAATCCTCAAAGCTATCCAAATATCCACTTGCAGATTCTACAAAAAGATTGTTTCAAAACTGCTGTGTCAAAAGGAAGGTTCAACTCTGTTACTTGAGTACACACATCAAAAAGAAGTTTCTGAGAATGCTTGTTTCTGGTTTTTATGAGAAGATATTTCCTTTTTCACCATAGGCCTCAAAGCGCTGCAAATGTCCACTTCCAAATATTACAAAAAGAGTGTTTCAAACGTGCTCCTATGAAAGGAAGTTTTCAACTCTATGAGTGGAATGCAAACATCACAGAGAAGTTTCGGAGAATGCATCTGTCTTGAGCTTCTATGAAGAAATTCCCGTTTCCAACGAAATCTTAAAATCTATCCAAATATCCACCTGCAGATCCTACAAAAGGAGTGTTTCCAAAATGCTGTATCAAAACAAAGGTTCAACTGTGTTCGTTTAGGACACACATCACAAATAAGTTTCTGAGAATCCTTCTGTCTAGTTTTTATTTGAAGATATTTCCTTTCTCCCCGTAGGCCTGAAAGCGCTTGAAATGTCCACTTCCAGATACTACAGAAAGAGTGTTTCAAACCTGCACTCTGAAAAGGAATGTTCAATTCTGTGACTTGAATGCAAACATCAGAAAGAAGTTCCTGAGAATGCTTCTCTCTAGATTTTAAACGTAATCCCGTTTCCAACGAAATCCACAAAGCTATCCAATTATCCACTTTCAGATTCCACCAAAAGACTGTTTTAAAACTGCTCTGTAAAAAGAAATGTTCAACGCTCTTAGTTGAATACACACATCTCAAACAAGTTTCTGAGAAGGCTTCCGTCTAGTTTTTATGGGAAGATATTTCCTTTTTCACCATAGGCCTCAAAGCGCTCGAAATCGCCACTTCCAGGGAGTGCAGAAAGAGTGTTTCAAACCTGCTCTGTAAAAGAATATTTAACTCTGTGACTTGAATGCAAACATCACAGAGCAGTTTCTGACAATGCTTCCGTCTAGATTTTTTATGAAGATATTCCCGTTTCCAACGAAATCTTCAAAGCTATCTAAATATCAACTTGCAGATTCTACTAAAGGAATGTTTCCAAAATGCTGTATCCAAACAAAGGTTCAACTCTGTGAATTGAGGACATACAGCACAAAGAAGTTTCTGAGAATGCTTCTGTCTAGATTTAATATGAAGATAACCCGTTTCCAACGAAATCCTCAAAGCTATCCAAATATCCACTTGCAGATTCTACAAAAAGAGTGTTTCAAAACTGCTCTGTCAAAAGGATGGTTCAACACTGTTACATGAGTACACACAACACAAAGAAGTTTCTGAGAACGCTTCTTTCTGGTTTTTATGAGAGGATATTTCCTTTTTCACCATAGGCCTTAAAGCGCTCGAAATGTCCACTTCCAGGTAGTGCAGAAAGAGTGTTTCAAACCTGCTCTATGAAAGGAAGTGTTCAACTCCATGAGCTGAATGCAAACATCACAGAGAAGTTCCTGAGAATGCTTCTGTTTGATTTTATATGAAGAAATTCCCGTTTCCAACGAAATCTTCAAAGCTATCCACATATCCACCTGCAGATTCTTCAAAAGGAGTGTTTCCAAAATGCTGTATCAAAACCAAGGTTCAACTCTGTTAGTTGAGGACACACATCACAAATAAGTTTCTGAGAATGCTTCTGTCTAGATTTTATATGAATTTATCCCCTTTCCAACGAATCCCACTAAGCTATCCAAGTATCCACCTGCAGATTCTACAAAAAGAGTGTTTCCAAAATGCTGTATCAAAACAAAGTTTCAACTCTGTTAGTTGAGGACACACATCACAAATAAGTTTCTGAGGATGCTTCTGTCTAGTTTTAATTTGAAGATATTTCCTTTCTCCCCATAGGCCTGAAAGCACTTGAAATGTCCACTTCCAGATACTACAGAATGAGTGTTTCAAACCTGCTCTATCAAAGTGAATGTTCAATTCTGTGACTTCAATGCAAACATCACAAAGTAGTTCCTGAGAATGCTTCTCTCTAGATTTTATATGTAATCCCGCTTCCAACGAAATCCTCAAAGCCATCCGAATATCCACTTTCTGATTCCACAAAAAGATTGTTTTAAAACTGCTCTGTAAAAACAAAAGTTCAAGTCTGTTAGTTGAATACACACATCACAAACAAGTTTCTGAGAATGCTTCTGTCTAGTTTTTATGGGAAGATATTTCCTTTTTCACCATAGGCCTCAAAGCGCTCGAAATGTCCACTTCCAGATAGTGCCGAAAGAGTGTTTCAAACGTGCTCTATAAAAGGGAATATTCAACTCTGTGACTTGAATGGAAACATCACAAAGCAGTTTCTGAGAATGCCTCCGTCTAGATTTTATATGAAGATATTCCCGTTTCCAACGAAATCTTCAAATCTATCTAAATATCAACTTGCAGATTCTACTAAAGGAATGTTTCCAAAATGCTGTATCCAAGCAATGGTTCAACTCTGTTAATTGAGGACATACAGCACAAAGAAGTTTCTGAGAATGCTTCTGTCTAGATTTTATATGAAGATATCCCGTTTCCAACGAAATCCTCAAAGCTATCCAAATATCCACTTGCAGATTCTACAAAAAGATTGTTTCAAAACTGCTGTGTCAAAAGGAAGGTTCAACTCTGTTACTTGAGTACACACATCAAAAAGCAGTTTCTGAGAATGCTTGTTTCTGGTTTTTATGAGAAGATATTTCCTTTTTCACCATAGGCCTCAAAGCGCTGCAAATGTCCACTTCCAAATATTACAAAAAGAGTGTTTCAAACCTGCTCTATGAAAGGAAGTTTTCAACTCTGTGAGTGGAATGCAAACATCACAGAGAAGTTTCGGAGAATGCATCTGTCTTGAGTTTATATGAAGAAATTCCCGTTTCCAATGAAATCTTAAAATCTATCCAAATATCCACCTGCAGATTCTACAAAAGGAGTGATTCCAAAATGCTGTATCAAAACAAAGGTTCAACTGTGTTCGTTTAGGACACACATCACAAATAAGTTTCTGAGAATCCTCCTGTCTAGTTTTTATTTCAAGATATTTCCTTTCTCCCCATAGGCTTGAAAGCGCTTGAAATGTCCACTTCCAGATACTACAGAGTGTTTCAAACCTGCACTATGAAAAGGAATGTTCAATTCTGTGACTTGAATGCAAACATCAGAAAGAAGTTCCTGAGAATGCTTCTCTCTAGATTTTATACGTCATCCCGTTTCCAACGAAATCCACAAAGCTATCCAATTATCCACTTTCAGATTCCACAAAAAGAGTGTTTTAAATTGCTCTGTAACAGAAATGTTCAACTCTGTTAGTTGAATACACACATCACAAACAAGTTTCTGAGACGGCTTCTGTCTAGTTTTTATGGGAAGATATTTCCTTTTAACCATAGGCCTCAAAGAGCTCGAAATATCCACTTCCAGGTAGTGCCGAAAGAGTGTTTCAAACCTACTCTATAAAAGGGAATATTCAACTCTGTGACTTGAATGCAAACATCACAAAGCAGTTTCTGAGAATGCTTCCGTCTAGATTTTCTATGAAGATATTCCCGTTTCCAACGAAATCTTCAAAGCTATCTAAATATCAACTTGCAGATTCTACTAAAGGAATGTCTCCAAAATGCTGTATCCAAACAAAGGTTCAGCTCTGTGAATTGAGGACATACAGCACAAAGAAGTTTCTGAGAATGCTCCTGTCTGGATTTTATAGGAAGATAACCCGTTTCCAACGAAATCCTCAAAGCTCTCCAAATATCCACTTGCAGATTCTACCAAAAGAGTGTTTCAAAACTGCTCTGTCAAAAGGAAGGTTCAACACTGTTACTTGAGTACACACAACACAAAGAAGTTTCTGAGAATGCTTCTTTCTGGTTTTTATGAGAAGATATTTCCTTTTTCACCATAGGCCTCAAAGCGCTCGAAATGTCCGCTTCCAGGTAGGGCAGAAAGAGTGTTTCAAACCTGCTCTATGAAAGGAAGTGTTCAACTCTACTGAGTTGAATGCAAACATCACAGAGATGTTTCCGAGAATGCTTCTGTCTTGATTTTATATGAAGATATTCCGGTTTCCAACGAAATCTTCAAAGCTATCCAAATATCCACCTGCAGATTCTACAAAAGGAGTGTTTCCAAAATGCTGTATCAAAACAAAGGTTCAACTCTGTTAGTTGAGGACACACATCACAAATAAGTTTCTGAGAATGCTTCTGTCTAGTTTTTATTTGAAGGTATTTCCTTTCTCTCCATAGGCCTGAAAGCGCTTGAAATGCCCACTTCCAGATACTAGAGAAAGAGTGTTTCAAACCTGCTCTATGAAAGGGAATGTTCAATTCTGTGACTTGAATGCAAACATCACAAAGAAGTTCCTGAGAATGCTTCTGTCTAGATTTAATATGAAGATAACCCGTTTCCAACGAAATCCTCAAGGCTATCCAAATATCCACTTGCAGATTCTACAAAAAGAGTGTTTCAAAACTGCTCTGTCAAAAGGATGGTTCAACACTGTTACATGAGTACACACAACACAAAGAAGTTTCTGAGAACGCTTCTTTCTGGTTTTTATGAGAAGATATTTCCTTTTTCACCATAGGCCTCAAAGCGCTCCAAATGTCCACTTCCTGGTAGTGCAGAAAGAGTGTTTCAAACCTGCTCTATGAAAGGAAGTGTTCAACTCCATGAGCTGAATGCAAACATCACAGAGAAGTTTCTGAGAATGCTTCTGTTTGATTTTATAGGAAGAAATTCCCGTTTCCAACGAAATCTTCAGAGCTATCCACATATCCACCTGCAGATTCTACAAAAGGAGTGTTTCCAAAATGCTGTATCAAAACCAAGGTTCAACTCTGTTAGTTGAGGACACACATCACAAATAAGTTTCTGAGAATGCTTCTGTCTAGATTTTATATGAAGATATCCCCTTTCCAAAGAATCCCTCTAAGCTATCCAAATATCCACCTGCAGATTCTACAAAAAGAGTGTTTCCAAAATGCTGTATCAAAACAAAGTTTCAACTCTGTTAGTTGAGGACACACATCACAAATAAGTTTGAGGATGCTTCTGTCTAGTTTTTATTCGAAGATATTTCCTTTCTCACCATAGGCCTGAAAGCGCTTGAAATGTCCACTTCCAGATACTACAGAATGAGTGTTCCAAACCTGCTCTATCAAAGTGAATGTTCAATTCTGTGACTTCAATGCAAACATCACAAAGAAGTTCCTGAGAATGCTTCTCTCTAGATTTTATATGTAATCCCGCTTCCAACGAAATCCTCAGAGCCATCCGAATATCCACTTTCTGATTCCACAAAAAGAGTGTTTTAAAACGGCTCTGTAAAAACAAAAGTTCAACTCTGTTAGTTGAATACACACATCACAAACAAGTTTCTGAGAATGCTTCTGTCTAGTTTATATGGGAAGATATTTCCTTTTTCACCATAGGCCTCAAAGCGCTCGAAATGTCCGCTTCCAGATAGTGCAGAAAGAGTGTTTCAAACGTGCTCTATAAAAGGGAATATTCAACTCTGTGACTTGAATGGAAACATCACAAAGCAGTTTCTGAGAATGCTTCCCTCTAGATTTTATATGGAGATATTCCCTTTTCCAACGAAATCTTCAAATCTATCTAAATATCAACTTGCAGATTCTACTCAAGGAATGTTTCCAAAATGCTGTATCCAGGCAATGGTTCAACTCTGTTAATTGAGGACATACAGCACAAAGAAGTTTCTGAGAATGCTTCTGTCTAGATTTTATATGAAGATATCCCGTTTCCAACGAAATCCTCAAAGCTATCCAAATATCCACTTGCAGATTCTACAAAAAGATTGTTTCAAAACTGCTGTGTCAAAAGGAAGGTTCAACTCTGTTACTTGAGTACACACATCAAAAAGAAGTTTCTGAGAATGCTTGTTTCTGGTTTTTATGAGAAGATATTTCCTTTTTCACCATAGGCCTCAAAGCGCTGCAAATGTCCACTTCCAAATATTACAAAAAGAGTGTTTCAAACCTGCTCTATGAAAGGAAGTTTTCAACTCTATGAGTGGAATGTAAACATTACAGAGAAGTTTCTGAGAATGCATCTGTCTTGAGTTTATATGAAGAAATTCCCGTTTCCAACGAAATCTTAAAATCTATCCAAATATCCACCTGCAGATTCTACAAAGGGAGTGTTTCCAAAATGCTGTATCAAAACAAAGGTTCAACTGTGTTCGTTTAGGACACACATCACCAATAAGTTTCTGAGAATCCTTCTGTCTAGTTTTTATTTGAAGATATTTCCTTTCTCCCCATAGGCCTGAAAGTGCTTGAAATGTCCACTTCCAGATACTACAGAAAGAGTGTTTCAAACCTGCACTATGAAAAGGAATGTTCAATTCTGTGACTTGAATGGAAACATCAGAAAGAAGTTCCTGAGAATGCTTCTCTCTAGATTTTATACGTCATCCCGTTTCCAACGAAATCCACAAAGCTATCCAATTATCCACTTTCAGATTCCACAAAAAGAGTGTTTTAAAACTGCTCTGTAAAAAGAAATGTTCAACGCTCTTAGTTGAATACACACATCTCAAACAAGTTTCTGAGAAGGCTTCCGTCTAGTTTTTATGGGAAGATATTTCCTTTTTCACCATAGGCCTCAAAGCGCTCGAAATCTCCACTTCCAGGGAGTGCAGAAAGAGTGTTTCAAACCTGCTCTATAAAAGAATATTTAACTCTGTGACTTGAATGCAAACATCACAAAGCAGTTTCTGACAATGCTTCCGTCTAGAATTTTATGAAGATATTCCCGTTTCCAAAGAAATCTTCAAAGCTATCCACATATCCACCTGCAGATTCTTCAAAAGGAGTGTTTCCAAAATGCTGTATCAAAACCAAGGTTCAACTCTGTTAGTTGAGGACACACATCACAAATAAGTTTCTGAGAATGCTTCTGTCTAGATTTTATATGAAGATATCCCGTTTCCAACGAAATCCTCAAAGCTATCCAAATATTCACTTGCAGATTCTACATAAAGACTGTTTCAAAACTGCTCTGTCAAAAGGATGGTTCAACACTGTTACATGAGTACACACAACACAAAGAAGTTTCTGAGAACGCTTCTTTCTGGTTTTTATGAGAAGATATTTCCTTTTTCACCATAGGCCTCAAAGCGCTCGAAATGTCCACTTCCTGGTAGTGCAGAAAGAGTGTTTCAAACCTGCTCTATGAAAGGAAGTGTTCAACTCCATGAGCTGAATGCAAACATCACAGAGAAGTTTCTGAGAATGCTTCTGTTTGATTTTATATGAAGAAATTCCCGTTTCCAACGAAATCTTCAAAGCTATCCACATATCCACCTGCAGATTCTACAAAAGGAGTGTTTCCAAAATGCTGTATCAAAACCAAGGTTCCACTCTGTTAGTTGAGGACACACATCACAAATAAGTTTCTGAGAATGCTTCTGTCTAGATTTTATATGAAGATATCCCCTTTCCAACGAATCCCACTAAGCTATCCAAATATCCACCTGCAGATTCTACAAAAAGAGTGTTTCCAAAATGCTGTATCAAAACAAAGTTTCAACTCTGTTAGTTGAGGACACACATCACAAATAAGTTTCTGAGGATGCTTCTCTCTAGTTTTTATTTGAAGATATTTCCTTTCTCCCCATAGGCCTGAAAGCGCTTGAATTGTCCGCTTCCAGATACTACAGAATGAGTGTTTCAAACCTGCTCTATCAAAGTGAATGTTCAATTCTGTGACTTCAATGCAAACATCACAAAGAAGTTCCTGAGAATGCTTCTCTCTAAATTTTATATGTAATCCCGCTTCCAACGATATCCTCAAAGCCATCCGAATATCTACTTTCTGATTCCACAAAAAGATTGTCTTAAAACTGCTCTGTAAAAACAAAAGTTCTAGTCTGTTAGTTGAATACACACATCATAAACAAGTTTCTGAGAATGCTTCTGTCTAGTTTTTATGGGAAGATATTTCCTTTTTCACCATAGGCCTCACAGCGCTCGAAATGTCCACTTCCAGATAGTGCAGAAAGAGTGTTTCAAACGTGCTCTATAAAAGAGAATATTCAACTCTGTGACTTGAATGGAAACATCACAAAGCAGTTTCTGAGAATGCCTCCGTCTAGATTTTATATGAAGATATTCCCGTTTCCAACGAAATCTTCAAATCTATCTAAATATCAACTTGCAGATTCTACTAAAGGAATGTTTCCAAAATGCTGTATCCAAGCAATGGTTCAACTCTGTTAATTGAGGACATACAGCACAAAGAAGTTTCTGAGAATGCTTCTGTCTAGATTTTATATGAAGATATCCCGTTTCCAACGAAATCCTCAAAGCTATCCAAATATCCACTTGCAGATTCTACAAAAAGATTGTTTCAAAACTGCTGTGTCAAAAGGAAGGTTCAACTCTGTTACTTGAGTACACACATCAAAAAGCAGTTTCTGAGAATGCTTGTTTCTGGTTTTTATGAGAAGATATTTCCTTTTTCACCATAGGCCTCAAAGCGCTGCAAATGTCCACTTCCAAATATTACAAAAAGAGTGTTTCAAACCTGCTCTATGAAAGGAAGTTTTCAACTCTGTGAGTGGAATGCAAACATCACAGAGAAGTTTCTGAGAATGCATCTGTCTTGAGTTTATATGAAGAAATTCCCGTTTCCAATGAAATCTTAAAATCTATCCAAATATCCACCTGCAGATTCTACAAAAGGAGTGTTTCCAAAATGCTGTATCAAAACAAAGGTTCAACTGTGTTCGTTTAGGACACACATCACAAATAAGTTTCTGAGAATCCTTCTGTCTAGTTTTTATTTCAAGATATTTCCTTTCTCCCCATAGGCTTGAAAGCGCTTGAAATGTCCACTTCCAGATACTACAGAGTGTTTCAAACCTGAACTATGAAAAGGAATGTTCAATTCTGTGACTTGAATGCAAACATCAGAAAGAAGTTCCTGAGAATGCTTCTCTCTAGATTTTATACGTCATCCCGTTTCCAACGAAATCCACAAAGCTATCCAATTATCCACTTTCAGATTCCACAAAAAGAGTGTTTTAAAACTGCTCTGTAAAAAGAAATGTTCAACGCTCTTAGTTGAATACACACATCTCAAACAAGTTTCTGAGAAGGCTTCCGTCTAGTTTTTATGGGAAGATATTTCCTTTTTCACCATAGGCCTCAAAGCGCTCGAAGTCTCCACTTCCAGGGAGTGCAGAAAGAGTGTTTCAAACCTGCTCTATAAAAGAATATTTAACTCTGTGACTTGAATGCAAACATCACAAAGCAGTTTCTGACAATGCTTCCGTCTAGAATTTTATGAAGATATTCCCGTTTCCAAAGAAATCTTCAAAGCTATCCACATATCCACCTGCAGATTCTTCAAAAGGAGTGTTTCCAAAATGCTGTATCAAAACCAAGGTTCAACTCTGTTAGTTGAGGACACACATCACAAATAAGTTTCTGAGAATGCTTCTGTCTAGATTTTATATGAAGATATCCCGTTTCCAACGAAATCCTCAAAGCTATCCAAATATTCACTTGCAGATTCTTCATAAAGACTGTTTCAAAACTGCTCTGTCAAAAGGATGGTTCAACACTGTTACATGAGTACACACAACACAAAGAAGTTTCTGAGAACGCTTCTGTCTAGTTTTTATTTGAAGATATTTCCTTTCTCCCCATAGGCCTGAAAGCGCTTGAAATGTCCACTTCCAGATACTACAGAATGAGTGTTTCAAACCTGCTCTATCAAAGTGAATGTTCAATTCTGTGACTTCAATGCAAACATCACAAAGTAGTTCCTGAGAATGCTTCTCTATAGATTTTATATGTAATCCCGCTTCCAACGAAATCCTCAAAGCCATCCGAATATCCACTTTCTGATTCCACCAAAAGATTGTTTTAAAACTGCTCTGTAAAAACAAAAGTTCAAGTCTGTTAGTTGAATACACACATCACAAACAAGTTTCTGAGAATGCTTCCGTCTAGTTTTTATGAGAAGATATTTCCTTTTTCACCATAGGCCTCAAAGCGCTCGAAATCTCCACTTCCAGGGAGTGCAGAAAGAGTGTTTCAAACCTGCTCTGTAAAAGAATATTTAACTCTGTGACTTGAATGCAAACATCACAAAGCAGTTTCTGACAGTGCTTCCCTCTAGTATTTTATATGGAGATATTCCGTTTTCGAACGAAATCTTCAAATCTATCTAAATATCAACTTGCAGATTCTACTCAAGGAATGTTTCCAAAATGCTGTATGCAAGCAATGGTTCAACTCTGTTAATTGAGGTCATACAGCACAAAGAAGTTTCTGAGAATGCTTCTGTCTAGATTTTATATGAAGATATCCCGTTTCCAACGAAATCCTCAAAGCTATCCAAATATCCACTTGCAGATTCTACAAAAAGATTGTTTCAAAACTGCTGTGTCAAAAGGAAGGTTCAACTCTGTTACTTGAGTACACACATCAAAAAGAAGTTTCTGAGAATGCTTGTTTCTGGTTTTTATGAGAAGATATTTCCTTTTTCACCATAGGCCTCAAAGCGCTGCAAATGTCCACTTCCAAATATTACAAAAAGAGTGTTTCAAACCTGCTCTATGAAAGGAAGTTTTCAACTCTATGAGTGGAATGCACACATCACAGAGAAGTTTCTGAGAATGCATCTGTCTTGAGTTTCTATGCAGAAATTCCCGTTTCCAACGAAATCTTAAAATCTATCCAAATATCCACCTGCAGATCCTACAAAAGGAGTGTTTCCAAAATGCTGTATCAAAACAAAGGTTCAACTGTGTTCGTTTAGGACACACATCACAAATAAGTTTCTGAGAATCCTTCTGTCTAGTTTTTATTTGAAGATATTTCCTTTCTCCCCGTAGGCCTGAAAGCGCTTGAAATGTCCACTTCCAGATACTACAGAAAGAGTGTTTCAAACCTGCACTCTGAAAAGGAATGTTCAATTCTGTGACTTGAATGCAAACATCAGAAAGAAGTTCCTGAGAATGCTTCTCTCTAGATTTTATACGTCATCCCGTTTCCAACGAAATCCACAAAGCTATCCAATTATCCACTTTCAGATTCCACAGAAAGAGTGTTTTAAAATTGCTCTGTAACAGAAATGTTCAACTCTGGTAGTTGAATACACACATCACAAACAAGTTTCTGAGACGGCTTCTGTCTAGTTTTTATGGGAAGATATTTCCTTTTAACCATAGGCCTCAAAGAGCTCGAAATATCCACTTCCAGGTAGTGCCGAAAGAGTGTTTCAAACCTACTCTATAAAAGGGAATATTCAACTCTGTGACTTGAATGCAAACATCACAAAGCAGTTTCTGAGAATGCTTCCGTCTAGATTTTCTATGAAGATATTCCCGTTTCCAACGAAATCTTCAAAGCTATCTAAATATCAACTTGCAGATTCTACTAAAGGAATGTCTCCAAAATGCTGTATCCAAACAAAGGTTCAGCTCTGTGAATTGAGGACATACAGCACAAAGAAGTTTCTGAGAATGCTCCTGTCTGGATTTTATAGGAAGATAACCCGTTTCCAACGAAATCCTCAAAGCTATCCAAATATCCACTTGCAGATTCTACCAAAAGAGTGTTTCAAAACTGCTCTGTCAAAAGGAAGGTTCAACACTGTTACTTGAGTACACACAACACAAAGAAGTTTCTGAGAATGCTTCTTTCTGGTTTTTATGAGAAGATATTTCCTTTTTCACCATAGGCCTCAAAGCGCTCGAAATGTCCGCTTCCAGGTAGTGCAGAAAGAGTGTTTCAAACCTGCTCTATGAAAGGAAGTGTTCAACTCTACTGAGTTGAATGCAAACATCACAGAGATGTTTCCGAGAATGCTTCTGTCTTGATTTTATATGAAGATATTCCGGTTTCCAACGAAATCTTCAAAGCTATCCAAATATCCACCTGCAGATTCTACAAAAGGAGTGTTTCCAAAATGCTGTATCAAAACAAAGGTTCAACTCTGTTAGTTGAGGACACACATCACAAATAAGTTTCTGAGAATGCTTCTGTCTAGTTTTTATTTGAAGGTATTTCCTTTCTCTCCATAGGCCTGAAAGCGCTTGAAATGCCCACTTCCAGATACTAGAGAAAGAGTGTTTCAAACCTGCTCTATGAAAGGGAATGTTCAATTCTGTGACTTGAATGCAAACATCACAAAGAAGTTCCTGAGAATGCTTCTCTCTAGATATTATATGTCATCCCGTTTCCAACGAAATCCTCAAAGCTATCCAAATATCCACTTGCAGATTCTACAAAAAGAGTGTTTCAAAACTGCTCTGTCAAAAGGATGGTTCAACACTGTTACATGAGTACACACAACACAAAGAAGTTTCTGAGAATGCTTCTTTCTGGTTTCTATGAGAAGATATTTCCTTTTTCACCATAGGACTCAAAGCGCTCGAAATGTCCTCTTCCAGGTAGTGCAGAAAGAGTGTTTCAAACCTGCTCTATGAAAGGAAGTGTACAACTCCATGAGCTGAATGCAAACATCACTGAGAAGTTTCTGAGAATGCTTCTGTTTGATTTTATATGAAGAAATTCCCGTTTCCAACGAAATCTTCAGAGCTATCCACATATCCACCTGCAGATTCTACAAAAGGAGTGTTTCCAAAATGCTGTATCAAAACCAAGGTTCAACTCTGTTAGTTGAGGACACACATCACAAATAAGTTTCTGAGAATGCTTCTGTCTAGATTTTATATGAAGATATCCCCTTTCCAACGAATCCCTCTAAGCTATCCAAATATCCACCTGCAGATTCTACAAAAAGAGTGTTTCCAAAATGCTGTATCAAAACAAAGTTTCAACTCTGTTAGTTGAGGACACACATCACAAATAAGTTTGAGGATGCTTCTGTCTAGTTTTTATTCGAAGATATTTCCTTTCTCACCATAGGCCTGAAAGCGCTTGAAATGTCCACTTCCAGATACTACAGAATGAGTGTTTCAAACCTGCTCTATCAAAGTGAATGTTCAATTCTGTGACTTCAATGCAAACATCACAAAGAAGTTCCTGAGAATGCTTCTCTCTAGATTTTATACGTAATCCCGCTTCCAACGAAATCCTCAGAGCCATCCGAATATCCACTTTCTGATTCCACAAAAAGAGTGTTTTAAAACGGCTCTGTAAAAACAAAAGTTCAACTCTGTTAGTTGAATACACACATCACAAACAAGTTTCTGAGAATGCTTCTGTCTAGTTTTTATGGGAAGATATTTCCTTTTTCACCATAGGCCTCACAGCGCTCGAAATGTCCACTTCCAGATAGTGCAGAAAGAGTGTTTCAAACGTGCTCTATAAAAGAGAATATTCAACTCTGTGACTTGAATGGAAACATCACAAAGCAGTTTCTGAGAATGCCTCCGTCTAGATTTTATATGAAGATATTCCCGTTTCCAACGAAATCTTCAAATATATCTAAATATCAACTTGCAGATTCTACTAAAGGAATGTTTCCAAAATGCTGTATCCAAGCAATGGTTCAACTCTGTTAATTGAGGACATACAGCACAAAGAAGTTTCTGAGAATGCTTCTGTCTAGATTTTATATGAAGATATCCCGTTTCCAACGAAATAATCAAAGCTATCCAAATATCCACTTGCAGATTCTACAAAAAGATTGTTTCAAAACTGCTGTGTCAAAAGGAAGGTTCAACTCTGTTACTTGAGTACACACATCAAAAAGCAGTTTCTGAGAATGCTTGTTTCTGCTTTTTATGAGAAGATATTTCCTTTTTCACCATAGGCCTCAAAGCGCTGCAAATGTCCACTTCCAAATATTACAAAAAGAGTGTTTCAAACCTGCTCTATGAAAGGAAGTTTTCAACTCTATGAGTGGAATGCAAACATCACAGAGAAGTTTCTGAGAATGCATCTGTCTTGAGTTTATATGAAGAAATTCCCGTTTCCAATGAAATCTTAAAATCTATCCAAATATCCACCTGCAGATTCTACAAAAGGAGTGTTTCCAAAATGCTGTATCAAAACAAAGGTTCAACTGTGTTCGTTTAGGACACACATCACCAATAAGTTTCTGAGAATACTTCTGTCTAGTTTTTATTTCAAGATATTTCCTTTCTCCCCATAGGCTTGAAAGCGCTTGAAATGTCCACTTCCAGATACTACAGAGTGTTTCAAACCTGCACTATGAAAAGGAATGTTCAATTCTGTGACTTGAATGCAAACATCAGAAAGAAGTTCCTGAGAATGCTTCTCTCTAGATTTTATACGTAATCCCGTTTCCAAAGAAATCCACAAAGCTATCCAATTATCCACTTTCAGATTCCACAAAAAGAGTGTTTTAAAACTGCTCTGTAAAAAGAAATGTTCAACGCTCTTAGTTGAATACACACATCTCAAACAAGTTTCTGAGAAGGCTTCCGTCTAGTTTTTATGGGAAGATATTTCCTTTTTCACCATAGGCCTCAAAGCGCTCGAAATCTCCATTTCCAGGGAGTGCAGAAAGAGTGTTTCAAACCTGCTCTGTAAAAGAATATTTAACTCTGTGACTTGAATGCAAACATCACAAAGCAGTTTCTGACAATGCTTCCGTCTAGATTTTTTATGAAGATATTCCCGTTTCCAACGAAATCTTCAAAGCTATCTAAATATCAACTTGCAGATTCTACTAAAGGAATGTTTCCAAAATGCTGTATCCAAACAAAGGTTCAACTCTGTGAATTGAGGACATACAGCACAAAGAAGTTTCTGAGAATGCTTCTGTCTAGATTTAATATGAAGATAACCCGTTTCCAACGAAATCCTCAAAGCTATCCAAATATCCACTTGCAGATTCTACAAAAAGAGTGTTTCAAAACTGCTCTGTCAAAAGGATGGTTCAACACTGTTACATGAGTACACACAACACAAAGAAGTTTCTGAGAACGCTTCTTTCTGGTTTTCATGAGAAGATATTTCCTTTTTGACCATAGGCCTCAAAGCGCTCGAAATGTCCACTTCCAGGTAGTGCAGAAAGAGTGTTTCAAACCTGCTCTATGAAAGGAAGTGTTCAACTCCCATGAGCTGAATGCAAACATCACAGAGAAGTTCCTGAGAATGCTTCTGTTTGATTTTATATGAAGAAATTCCCGTTTCCAACGAAATCTTCAGAGCTATCCACATATCCACCTGCAGATTCTACAAAAGGAGTGTTTCCAAAATGCTGTATCAAAACCAAAGTTCAACTCTGTTAGTTGAGGACACACATCACAAATAAGTTTCTGAGAATGCTTCTGTCTAGATTCTATATGAAGATATCCCCTTTCCAACGAATCCCTCTAAGCTATCCAAATATCCACCTGCAGATTCTACAAAAAGAGTGTTTCCAAAATGCTGTATCAAAACAAAGTTTCAACTCTGTTAGTTGAGGACACACATCACAAATAAGTTTGAGGATGCTTCTGTCTAGTTTTTATTCGAAGATATTTCCTTTCTCACCATAGGCCTGAAAGCGCTTGAAATGTCCACTTCCAGATACTACAGAATGAGTGTTTCAAACCTGCTCTATCAAAGTGAATGTTCAATTCTGTGACTTCAATGCAAACATCACAAAGAAGTTCCTGAGAATGCTTCTCTCTAGATTTTATATGTAATCCCGCTTCCAACGAAATCCTCAGAGCCATCCGAATATCCACTTTCTGATTCCACAAAAAGAGTGTTTTAAAACGGCTCTGTAAAAACAAAAGTTCAACTCTGTTAGTTGAATACACACATCACAAACAAGTTTCTGAGAATGCTTCTGTCTAGTTTTTATGGGAAGATATTTCCTTTTTCACCATAGGCCTCAAAGCGCTCGAAATGTCCACTTCCAGATAGCGCAGAAAGAGTGTTTCAAACGTGCTCTATAAAAGGGAATATTCAACTCTGTGACTTGAATGGAAACATCACAAAGCAGTTTCTGAGAATGCTTCCCTCTAGATTTTATATGGAGATATTCCGTTTTCGAACGAAATCTTCAAATCTATCTAAATATCAACTTGCAGATTCTACTCAAGGAATGTTTCCAAAATGCTGTATGCAAGCAATGGTTCAACTCTGTTAATTGAGGTCATACAGCACAAAGAAGTTTCTGAGAATGCTTCTGTCTAGATTTTATATGAAGATATCCCGTTTCCAACGAAATCCTCAAAGCTATCCAAATATCCACTTGCAGATTCTACAAAAAGATTGTTTCAAAACTGCTGTGTCAAAAGGAAGGTTCAACTCTGTTACTTGAGTACACACATCAAAAAGAAGTTTCTGAGAATGCTTGTTTCTGGTTTTTATGAGAAGATATTTCCTTTTTCACCATAGGCCTCAAAGCGCTGCAAATGTCCACTTCCAAATATTACAAAAAGAGTGTTTCAAACCTGCTCTATGAAAGGAAGTTTTCAACTCTATGAGTGGAATGCAAACATCACAGAGAAGTTTCTGAGAATGCATCTGTCTTGAGTTTCTATGCAGAAATTCCCGTTTCCAACGAAATCTTAAAATCTATCCAAATATCCACCTGCAGATCCTACAAAAGGAGTGTTTCCAAAATGCTGTATCAAAACAAAGGTTCAACTGTGTTCGTTTAGGACACACATCACAAATAAGTTTCTGAGAATCCTTCTGTCTAGTTTTTATTTGAAGATATTTCCTTTCTCCCCGTAGGCCTGAAAGCGCTTGAAATGTCCACTTCCAGATACTACAGAAAGAGTGTTTCAAACCTGCACTCTGAAAAGGAATGTTCAATTCTGTGACTTGAATGCAAACATCAGAAAGAAGTTCCTGAGAATGCTTCTCTCTAGATTTTATACGTCATCCCGTTTCCAACGAAATCCACAAAGCTATCCAATTATCCACTTTCAGATTCCACAGAAAGAGTGTTTTAAAATTGCTCTGTAACAGAAATGTTCAACTCTGGTAGTTGAATACACACATCACAAACAAGTTTCTGAGACGGCTTCTGTCTAGTTTTTATGGGAAGATATTTCCTTTTAACCATAGGCCTCAAAGAGCTCGAAATATCCACTTCCAGGTAGTGCCGAAAGAGTGTTTCAAACCTACTCTATAAAAGGGAATATTCAACTCTGTGACTTGAATGCAAACATCACAAAGCAGTTTCTGAGAATGCTTCCGTCTAGATTTTCTATGAAGATATTCCCGTTTCCAACGAAATCTTCAAAGCTATCTAAATATCAACTTGCAGATTCTACTAAAGGAATGTCTCCAAAATGCTGTATCCAAACAAAGGTTCAGCTCTGTGAATTGAGGACATACAGCACAAAGAAGTTTCTGAGAATGCTCCTGTCTGGATTTTATATGAAGATAACCCGTTTCCAACGAAATCCTCAAAGCTATCCAAATATCCACTTGCAGATTCTACCAAAAGAGTGTTTCAAAACTGCTCTGTCAAAAGGAAGGTTCAACACTGTTACTTGAGTACACACAACACAAAGAAGTTTCTGAGAATGCTTCTTTCTGGTTTTTATGAGAAGATATTTCCTTTTTCACCATAGGCCTCAAAGAGCTCGAAATGTCCGCTTCCAGGTAGGGCAGAGAGAGTGTTTCAAACCTGCTCTATGAAAGGAAGTGTTCAACTCTACTGAGTTGAATGCAAACATCACAGAGATGTTTCCGAGAATGCTTCTGTCTTGATTTTATATGAAGATATTCCGGTTTCCAACGAAATCTTCAAAGCTATCCACATATCCACCTGCAGATTCTACAAAAGGAGTGTTTCCAAAATGCTGTATCAAAACCAAGGTTCAACTCTGTTAGTTGAGGACACACATCACAAATAAGTTTCTGAGAATGCTTCTGTCTAGTTTTTATTTGAAGGTATTTCCTTTCTCTCCATAGGCCTGAAAGCGCTTGAAATGCCCACTTCCAGATACTAGAGAAAGAGTGTTTCAAACCTGCTCTATGAAAGGGAATGTTCAATTCTGTGACTTGAATGCAAACATCACAAAGAAGTTCCTGAGAATGCTTCTGTCTAGATTTAATATGAAGATAACCCGTTTCCAACGAAATCCTCAAAGCTATCCAAATATCCACTTGCAGATTCTACAAAAAAAGTGTTTCAAAACTGCTCTGTCAAAAGGATGGTTCAACACTGTTACATGAGTACACACAACACAAAGATGTTTCTGAGAACTCTTCTTTCTGGTTTTTATGAGAAGATATTTCCTTTTTCACCATAGGCCTCAAAGCGCTCGAAATGTCCACTTCCAGGTAGTGCAGAAAGAGTGTTTCAAACCTGCTCTATGAAAGGAAGTGTTCAACTCCATGAGCTGAATGCAAACATCACAGAGAAGTTCCTGAGAATGCTTCTGTTTGATTTTATATGAAGAAATTCCCGTTTCCAACGAAATCTTCAAAGCTATCCACATATCCACCTGCAGATTCTTCAAAAGGAGTGTTTCCAAAATGCTGTATCAAAACCAAGGTTCAACTTCTGTTAGTTGAGGACATACAGCACAAAGAAGTTTCTGAGAATGCTTCTGTCTAGATTTTATATGAAGATATCCCCTTTCCAACGAATCCCTCTAAGCTATCCAAGTATCCACCTGCAGATTCTACAAAAAGAGTGTTTCCAAAATGCTGTATCAAAACAAAGTTTCAACTCTGTTAGTTGAGGACACACATCACAAATAAGTTTCTGAGGATGCTTCTGTCTAGTTTTAATTTGAAGATATTTCCTTTCTCACCATAGGCCTGAAAGCGCTTGAAATGTCCACTTCCAGATACTACAGCATGAGTGTTTCAAACCTGCTCTATCATAGTGAATGTTCAATTCTGTGACTTCAATGCAAACATCACAAAGTAGTTACCTGAGAATGCTTCTCTCTAGATTTTATACGTAATCCCGCTTCCAACGAAATCCTCAGTAGCCATCCGAATATCCACTTTCTGATTCCACAAAAAGAGTGTTTTAAAACGGCTCTGTAAAAACAAAAGTTCAACTCTGTTAGTTGAATACACACATCACAAACAAGTTTCTGAGAATGCTTCTGTCTAGTTTTTATGGGAAGATATTTCCTTTTTCACCATAGGCCTCAAAGCGCTCGAAATGTCCACTTCCAGATAGTGCAGAAAGAGTGTTTCAAACGTGCTCTATAAAAGGGAATATTCAACTCTGTGACTTGAATGGAAACATCACAAAGCAGTTTCTGAGAATGCTTCCCTCTAGATTTTATATGGAGATATTCCGTTTTCGAACGAAATCTTCAAATCTATCTAAATATCAACTTGCAGATTCTACTCAAGGAATGTTTCCAAAATGCTGTATGCAAGCAATGGTTCAACTCTGTTAATTGAGGTCCTACAGCACAAAGAAGTTTCTGAGAATGCTTCTGTCTAGATTTTATATGAAGATATCCCGTTTCCAACGAAATCCTCAAAGCTATCCAAATATCCACTTGCAGATTCTACAAAAAGATTGTTTCAAAACTGCTGTGTCAAAAGGAAGGTTCAACTCTGTTACTTGAGTACACACATCAAAAAGAAGTTTCTGAGAATGCTTGTTTCTGGTTTTTATGAGAAGATATTTCCTTTTTCACCATAGGCCTCAAAGCGCTGCAAATGTCCACTTCCACATATTACAAAAAGAGTGTTTCAAACCTGCTCTATGAAAGGAAGTTTTCAACTCTATGAGTGGAATGCAAACATCACAGAGAAGTTTCTGAGAATGCATCTGTCTTGAGTTTCTATGCAGAAATTCCCGTTTCCAACGAAATCTTAAAATCTATCCAAATATCCACCTGCAGATCCTACAAAAGGAGTGTTTCCAAAATGCTGTATCAAAACAAAGGTTCAACTGTGTTCGTTTAGGACACACATCACAAATAAGTTTCTGAGAATCCTTCTGTCTAGTTTTTATTTCAAGATATTTCCTTTCTCCCCATAGGCTTGAAAGCGCTTGAAATGTCCACTTCCAGATACTACAGAGTGTTTCAAACCTGCACTATGAAAAGGAATGTTCAATTCTGTGACTTGAATGCAAACATCAGAGAGAAGTTCCTGAGAATGCTTCTCTCTAGATTTTAAACGTAATCCCGTTTCCAACGAAATCCACAAAGCTATCCAATTATCCACTTTCAGATTCCACCAAAAGAGTGTTTTAAAACTGCTCTGTAAAAAGAAATGTTCAACGCTCTTAGTTGAATACACACATCTCAAACAAGTTTCTGAGAAGGCTTCTGTCTAGTTTTTATGGGAAGATATTTCCTTTTTCACCATAGGCCTCAAAGCGCTCGAAATCTCCACTTCCAGGGAGTGCAGAAAGAGTGTTTCAAACCTGCTCTGTAAAAGAATATTTAACTCTGTGACTTGAATGCAAACATCACAGAGCAGTTTCTGACAATGCTTCCGTCTAGATTTTTTATGAAGATATTCCCGTTTCCAACGAAATCTTCAAAGCTATCTAAATATCAACTTGCAGATTCTACTAAAGGAATGTTTCCAAAATGCTGTATCCAAACAAAGGTTCAGCTCTGTGAATTGAGGACATACAGCACAAAGAAGTTTCTGAGAATGCTCCTGTCTGGATTTTATATGAAGATAACCCGTTTCCAAAGAACTCCTCAAAGCTATCCAAATATCCACTTGCAGATTCTACCAAAAGAGTGTTTCAAAACTGCTCTGTCAAAAGGAAGTTTCAACACTGTTACTTGAGTACACACAACACAAAGAAGTTTCTGAGAATGCTTCTTTCTGGTTTTTATGAGAAGATATTTCCTTTTTCACCATAGGCCTCAAAGCGCTTGAAATGTCCACTTCCTGGTAGTGCAGAAAGAGTGTTTCAAACCTGCTCTCTGAAAGGAAGTGTTCAACTCCATGAGCTGAATGCAAACATCACAGAGAAGTTTCTGAGAATGCTTCTGTTTGATTTTATATGAAGAAATTCCCGTTTCCAACGAAATCTTCAGAAGCTATCCACATATCCACCTGCAGATTCTACAAAAGGAGTGTTTCCAAAATGCTGTATCAAAACCAAAGTTCAACTCTGTTAGTTGAGGACACACATCACAAATAAGTTTCTGAGAATGCTTCTGTCTAGATTCTATATGAAGATATCCCCTTTCCAACGAATCCCTCTAAGCTATCCAAATATCCACCTGCAGATTCTACAAAAAGAGTGTTTCCAAAATGCTGTATCAAAACAAAGTTTCAACTCTGTTAGTTGAGGACACACATCACAAATAAGTTTGAGGATGCTTCTGTCTAGTTTTTATTCGAAGATATTTCCTTTCTCACCATAGGCCTGAAAGCGCTTGAAATGTCCACTTCCAGATACTACAGAATGAGTGTTTCAAACCTGCTCTATCAAAGTGAATGTTCAATTCTGTGACTTCAATGCAAACATCACAAAGAAGTTCCTGAGAATGCTTCTCTCTAGATTTTATATGTAATCCCGCTTCCAACGAAATCCTCAGAGCCATCCGAATATCCACTTTCTGATTCCACAAAAAGAGTGTTTTAAAACGGCTCTGTAAAAACAAAAGTTCAACTCTGTTAGTTGAATACACACATCACAAACAAGTTTCTGAGAATGCTTCTGTCTAGTTTTTATGGGAAGATATTTCCTTTTTCACCATAGGCCTCAAAGCGCTCGAAATGTCCACTTCCAGATAGTGCAGAAAGAGTGTTTCAAACGTGCTCTAGAAAAGAGAATATTCAACTCTGTGACTTGAATGGAAACATCACAAAGCAGTTTCTGAGAATGCCTCCGTCTAGATTTTATATGAAGATATTCCCGTTTCCAACGAAATCTTCAAATCTATCTAAATATCAACTTGCAGATTCTACTAAAGGAATGTTTCCAAAATGCTGTATCCAAGCAATGGTTCAACTCTGTTAATTGAGGACATACAGCACAAAGAAGTTTCTGAGAATGCTTCTGTCTAGATTTTATATGAAGATATCCCGTTTCCAACGAAATCCTCAAAGCTATCCAAATATCCACTTGCAGATTCTACAAAAAGATTGTTTCAAAACTGCTGTGTCAAAAGGAAGGTTCAACTCTGTTACTTGAGTACACACATCAAAAAGCAGTTTCTGAGAATGCTTGTTTCTGGTTTTTATGAGAAGATATTTCCTTTTTCACCATAGGCCTCAAAGCGCTGCAAATGTCCACTTCCAAATATTACAAAAAGAGTGTTTCAAACCTGCTCTATGAAAGGAAGTTTTCAACTCTGTGAGTGGAATGCAAACATCACAGAGAAGTTTCTGAGAATGCATCTGTCTTGAGTTTATATGAAGAAATTCCCGTTTCCAATGAAATCTTAAAATCTATCCAAATATCCACCTGCAGATTCTACAAAAGAGTGCTTCCAAAATGCTATATCAAAACAAAGGTTCAACTGTGTTCGTTGAGAACACACATCACAAATAAGTTTCTGAGAATCCTTCTGTCTAGTTTTTATTTGAAGAGATTTCCTTTCTCCCCGTAGGCCTGAAAGCGCTTGAAATGTCCACTTCCAGATACTACAGAAAGAGTGTTTCAAACCTGCACTCTGAAAAGGAATGTTCAATTCTGTGACTTGAATGCAAACATCAGAAAGAAGTTCCTGAGAATGCTTCTCTCTAGATTTTATACGTCATCCCGTTTCCAACGAAATCCACAAAGCTATCCAATTATCCACTTTCAGATTCCACAAAAAGAGTGTTTTAAAATTGCTCTGTAACAGAAATGTTCAACTCTGTTAGTTGAATACACACATCACAAACAAGTTTCTGAGACGGCTTCTGTCTAGTTTTTATGGGAAGATATTTCCTTTTAACCATAGGCCTCAAAGAGCTCGAAATATCCACTTCCAGGTAGTGCCGAAAGAGTGTTTCAAACCTACTCTATAAAAGGGAATATTCAACTCTGTGACTTGAATGCAAACATCACAAAGCAGTTTCTGAGAATGCTCCGTCTAGATTTTCTATGAAGATATTCCCGTTTCCAACGAAATCTTCAAAGCTATCTAAATATCAACTTGCAGATTCTACTAAAGGAATGTCTCCAAAATGCTGTATCCAAACAAAGGTTCAGCTCTGTGAATTGAGGACATACAGCACAAAGAAGTTTCTGAGAATGCTCGCTGTCTGGATTTTATATGAAGATAACCCGTTTCCAACGAAATCCTCAAAGCTATCCAAATATCCACTTGCAGATTCTACCAAAAGAGTGTTTCAAAACTGCTCTGTCAAAAGGAAGGTTCAACACTGTTACTTGAGTACACACAACACAAAGAAGTTTCTGAGAATGCTTCTTTCTGGTTTTTATGAGAAGATATTTCCTTTTTCACCATAGGCCTCAAAGCGCTCGAAATGTCCGCTTCCAGGTAGTGCAGAAAGAGTGTTTCAAACCTGCTCTATGAAAGGAAGTGTTCAACTCTACTGAGTTGAATGCAAACATCACAGAGATGTTTCCGAGAATGCTTCTGTCTTGATTTTATATGAAGATATTCCGGTTTCCAACGAAATCTTCAAAGCTATCCAAATATCCACCTGCAGATTCTACAAAAGGAGTGTTTCCAAAATGCTGTATCAAAACAAAGGTTCAACTCTGTTAGTTGAGGACACACATCACAAATAAGTTTCTGAGAATGCTTCTGTCTAGTTTTTATTTGAAGGTATTTCCTTTCTCTCCATAGGCCTGAAAGCGCTTGAAATGCCCACTTCCAGATACTAGAGAAAGAGTGTTTCAAACCTGCTCTATGAAAGGGAATGTTCAATTCTGTGACTTGAATGCAAACATCACAAAGAAGTTCCTGAGAATGCTTCTCTCTAGATATTATATGTCATCCCGTTTCCAACGAAATCCTCAAAGCTATCCAAATATCCACTTGCAGATTCTACAAAAAGAGTGTTTCAAAACTGCTCTGTCAAAAGGATGGTTCAACACTGTTACATGAGTACACACAACACAAAGAAGTTTCTGAGAATGCTTCTTTCTGGTTTCTATGAGAAGATATTTCCTTTTTCACCATAGGACTCAAAGCGCTCGAAATGTCCTCTTCCAGGTAGTGCAGAAAGAGTGTTTCAAACCTGCTCTATGAAAGGAAGTGTACAACTCCATGAGCTGAATGCAAACATCACTGAGAAGTTTCTGAGAATGCTTCTGTTTGATTTTATATGAAGAAATTCCCGTTTCCAACGAAATCTTCAGAGCTATCCACATATCCACCTGCAGATTCTACAAAAGGAGTGTTTCCAAAATGCTGTATCAAAACCAAGGTTCAACTCTGTTAGTTGAGGACACACATCACAAATAAGTTTCTGAGAATGCTTCTGTCTAGATTTTATATGAAGATATCCCCTTTCCAACGAATCCCTCTAAGCTATCCAAATATCCACCTGCAGATTCTACAAAAAGAGTGTTTCCAAAATGCTGTATCAAAACAAAGTTTCAACTCTGTTAGTTGAGGACACACATCACAAATAAGTTTGAGGATGCTTCTGTCTAGTTTTTATTCGAAGATATTTCCTTTCTCACCATAGGCCTGAAAGCGCTTGAAATGTCCACTTCCAGATACTACAGAATGAGTGTTTCAAACCTGCTCTATCAAAGTGAATGTTCAATTCTGTGACTTCAATGCAAACATCACAAAGAAGTTCCTGAGAATGCTTCTCTCTAGATTTTATACGTAATCCCGCTTCCAACGAAATCCTCAGAGCCATCCGAATATCCACTTTCTGATTCCACAAAAAGAGTGTTTTAAAACGGCTCTGTAAAAACAAAAGTTCAACTCTGTTAGTTGAATACACACATCACAAACAAGTTTCTGAGAATGCTTCTGTCTAGTTTTTATGGGAAGATATTTCCTTTTTCACCATAGGCCTCAAAGCGCTCGAAATGTCCGCTTCCAGATAGTGCAGAAAGAGTGTTTCAAACGTGCTCTATAAAAGGGAATATTCAACTCTGTGACTTGAATGGAAACATCACAAAGCAGTTTCTGAGAATGCTTCCCTCTAGATTTTATATGGAGATATTCCCTTTTCCAACGAAATCTTCAAATCTATCTAAATATCAACTTGCAGATTCTACTCAAGGAATGTTTCCAAAATGCTGTATCCAGGCAATGGTTCAACTCTGTTAATTGAGGACATACAGCACAAAGAAGTTTCTGAGAATGCTTCTGTCTAGATTTTATGTGAAGATATCCCGTTTCCAACGAAATCCTCAAAGCTATCCAAATATCCACTTGCAGATTCTACAAAAAGATTGTTTCAAAACTGCTGTGTCAAGAGGAAGGTTCAACTCTGTTACTTGAGTACACACATCAAAAAGAAGTTTCTGAGAATGCTTGTTTCTGGTTTTTATGAGAAGATATTTCCTTTTTCACCATAGGCCTCAAAGCGCTGCAAATGTCCACTTCCAAATATTACAAAAAGAGTGTTTCAAACCTGCTCTATGAAAGGAAGTTTTCAACTCTATGAGTGGAATGCAAACATCACAGAGAAGTTTCTGAGAATGCATCTGTCTTGAGTTTCTATGAAGAAATTCCCGTTTCCAACGAAATCTTAAAATCTATCCAAATATCCACCTGCAGATTCTACAAAAGGAGTGTTTCCAAAATGCTGTATCAAAACAAAGGTTCAACTGTGTTCGTTTAGGACACACATCACAAATAAGTTTCTGAGAAGCCTTCTGTCTAGTTTTTATTTGAAGATATTTCCTTTCTCCCCATAGGCCTGAAAGCGCTTGAAATGTCCACTTCCAGATACTACAGAAAGAGTGTTTCAAACCTGCACTATGAAAAGGAATGTTCAATTCTGTGACTTGAATGCAAACATCAGAAAGAAGTTCCTGAGAATGCTTCTCTCTAGATTTTATACGTCATCCCGTTTCCAACGAAATCCACAAAGCTATCCAATTATCCACTTTCAGATTCCACAAAAGAGTGTTTTAAAACTGCTCTGTAAAAAGAAATGTTCAACGCTCTTAGTTGAATACACACATCTCAAACAAGTTTCTGAGAAGGCTTCCGTCTAGTTTTTATGGGAAGATATTTCCTTTTTCACCATAGGCCTCAAAGCGCTCGAAATCTCCACTTCCAGGGAGTGCAGAAAGAGTGTTTCAAACCTGCTCTGTAAAAGAATATTTAACTCTGTGACTTGAATGCAAACATCACAAAGCAGTTTCTGACAATGCTTCCGTCTAGATTTTTTATGAAGATATTCCCGTTTCCAACGAAATCTTCAAAGCTATCTAAATATCAACTTGCAGATTCTACTAAAGGAATGTTTCCAAAATGCTGTATCCAAACAAAGGTTCAACTCTGTGAATTGAGGACATACAGCACAAAGAAGTTTCTGAGAATGCTCCTGTCTGGATTTTATAGGAAGATAACCCGTTTCCAACGAAATCCTCAAAGCTATCCAAATATCCACTTGCAGATTCTACCAAAAGAGTGTTTCAAAACTGCTCTGTCAAAAGGAAGGTTCAACACTGTTACTTGAGTACACACAACACAAAGAAGTTTCTGAGAATGCTTCTTTCTGGTTTTTATGAGAAGATATTTCCTTTTTCACCATAGGCCTCAAAGAGCTTGAAATGTCCGCTTCCAGGTAGGGCAGAAAGTGTGTTTCAAACCTGCTCTATGAAAGGAAGTGTTCAACTCTACTGAGTTGAATGCAAACATCACAGAGATGTTTCCGAGAATGCTTCTGTCTTGATTTTATATGAAGATATTCCGGTTTCCAACGAAATCTTCAAAGCTATCCAAATATCCACCTGCAGATTCTACAAAAGGAGTGTTTCCAAAATGCTGTATCAAAACAAAGGTTCAACTCTGTTAGTTGAGGACACACATCACAAATAAGTTTCTGAGAATGCTTCTGTCTAGTTTTTATTTGAAGGTATTTCCTTTCTCTCCATAGGCCTGAAAGCGCTTGAAATGCCCACTTCCAGATACTAGAGAAAGAGTGTTTCAAACCTGCTCTATGAAAGGGAATGTTCAATTCTGTGACTTGAATGCAAACATCACAAAGAAGTTCCTGAGAATGCTTCTCTCTAGATATTATATGTCATCCCGTTTCCAACGAAATCCTCAAAGCTATCCAAATATCCACTTGCAGATTCTACAAAAAGAGTGTTTCAAAACTGCTCTGTCAAAAGGATGGTTCAACACTGTTACATGAGTACACACAACACAAAGAAGTTTCTGAGAATGCTTCTTTCTGGTTTCTATGAGAAGATATTTCCTTTTTCACCATAGGACTCAAAGCGCTCGAAATGTCCTCTTCCAGGTAGTGCAGAAAGAGTGTTTCAAACCGGCTCTATGAAAGGAAGTGTTCAACTCCATGAACTGAATGCAAACATCACTGAGAAGTTTCTGAGAATGCTTCTGTTTGATTTTATATGAAGAAATTCCCGTTTCCAACGAAATCTTCAGAGCTATCCACATATCCACCTGCAGATTCTACAAAAGGAGTGTTTCCAAAATGCTGTATCAAAACCAAAGTTCAACTCTGTTAGTTGAGGACACACATCACAAATAAGTTTCTGAGAATGCTTCTGTCTAGATTCTATATGAAGATATCCCCTTTCCAACGAATCCCTCTAAGCTATCCAAATATCCACCTGCAGATTCTACAAAAAGAGTGTTTCCAAAATGCTGTATCAAAACAAAGTTTCAACTCTGTTAGTTGAGGACACACATCACAAATAAGTTTGAGGATGCTTCTGTCTAGTTTTTATTCGAAGATATTTCCTTTCTCACCATAGGCCTGAAAGCGCTTGAAATGTCCACTTCCAGATACTACAGAATGAGTGTTTCAAACCTGCTCTATCAAAGTGAATGTTCAATTCTGTGACTTCAATGCCAACATCACAAAGAAGTTCCTGAGAATGCTTCTCTCTAGATTTTATATGTAATCCCGCTTCCAACGAAATCCTCAGAGCCATCCGAATATCCACTTTCTGATTCCACAAAAAGAGTGTTTTAAAACGGCTCTGTAAAAACAAAAGTTCAACTCTGTTAGTTGAATACACACATCACAAACAAGTTTCTGAGAATGCTTCCGTCTAGTTTTTATGGGAAGATATTTCCTTTTTCACCATAGGCCTCAAAGCGCTCGAAATCTCCACTTCCAGGGAGTGCAGAAAGAGTGTTTCAAACCTGCTCTATAAAAGAATATTTAACTCTGTGACTTGAATGCAAACATCACAGAGCAGTTTCTGACAATGCTTCCCTCTAGATTTTATATGGAGATATTCCGTTTTCGAACGAAATCTTCAAATCTATCTAAATATCAACTTGCAGATTCTACTCAAGGAATGTTTCCAAAATGCTGTATGCAAGCAATGGTTCAACTCTGTTAATTGAGGTCATACAGCACAAAGAAGTTTACTGAGAATGCTTCTGTCTAGGATTTTATATGAAGATATCCCGTTTGCAACGAAATCCTCAAAGCTATCCAAATATCCACTTGCAGATTCTACAAAAAGATTGTTTCAAAACTGCTGTGTCACAAGGAAGGTTCAACTCTGTTACTTGAGTACACACATCAAAAAGCAGTTTCTGAGAATGCTTGTTTCTGGTTTTTATCACAAGATATTTCCTTTTTCACCATAGGCCTCAAAGCGCTGCAAATGTCCACTTCCAAATATTACAAAAAGAGTGTTTCAAACCTGCTCTATGAAAGGAAGTTTTCAACTCTATGAGTGGAATGCAAACATCACAGAGAAGTTTCTGAGAATGCATCTCTGTCTTGAGTTTATATGAAGAAATTCCCGTTTCCAACGAAATCTTAAAATCTATCCAAATATCCACCTGCAGATTCTACAAAAGGAGTGTTTCCAAAATGCTGTATCAAAACAAAGGTTCAACTGTGTTCGTTTAGGACACACATCACCAATAAGTTTCTGAGAATCCTTCTGTCTAGTTTTTATTTGAAGATATTTCCTTTCTCCCCATAGGCCTGAAAGCGCTGGAAATGTCCACTTCCAGATAGTACAGAAAGAGTGTTTCAAACCTGCACTATGAAAAGGAATGTTCAATTCTGTGACTTGAATGCAAACATCAGAAAGAAGTTTCTGAGAATGCTTCTCTCTAGATTTTATACGTCATCCCGTTTCCAACGAAATCCACAAAGCTATCCAATTATCCACTTTCAGATTCCACAAAAAGAGTGTTTTAAAACTGCTCTGTAAAAAGAAATGTTCAACGCTCTTAGTTGAATACACACATCTCAAACAAGTTTCTGAGAAGGCTTCTGTCTAGTTTCTATGGGAAGATATTTCCTTTTAACCATAGGCCTCAAAGAGCTCGAAATATCCACTTCCAGGTAGTGCCGAAAGAGTGTTTCAAACCTACTCTATAAAAGGGAATATTCAACTCTGTGACTTGAATGCAAACATCACAAAGCAGTTTCTGAGAATGCTTCCGTCTAGATTTTCTATGAAGATATTCCCGTTTCCAACGAAATCTTCAAAGCTATCTAAATATCAACTTGCAGATTCTACTAAAGGAATGTCTCCAAAATGCTGTATCCAAACAAAGGTTCAGCTCTGTGAATTGAGGACATACAGCACAAAGAAGTTTCTGAGAATGCTCCTGTCTGGATTTTATAGGAAGATAACCCGTTTCCAACGAAATCCTCAAAGCTATCCAAATATCCACTTGCAGATTCTACCAAAAGAGTGTTTCAAAACTACTCTGTCAAAAGGAAGGTTCAACACTGTTACTTGAGTACACACAACACAAAGAAGTTTACTGAGAATGCTTCTTTCTGGTTTTTATGAGAAGATATTTCCTTTTTCACCATAGGCCTCAAAGCGCTCGAAATGTCCGATTCCAGGTAGTGCAGAAAGAGTGTTTCAAACCTGCTCTATGAAAGGAAGTGTTCAACTCTACTGAGTTGAATGCAAACATCACAGAGATGTTTCCGAGAATGCTTCTGTCTTGATTTTATAGGAAGATATTCCGGTTTCCAACGAAATCTTCAAAGCTATCCAAATATCCACCTGCAGATTCTACAAAAGGAGTGTTTCCAAAATGCTGTATCAAAACAAAGGTTCAACTCTGTTAGTTGAGGACACACATCACAAATAAGTTTCTGAGAATGCTTCTGTCTAGTTTTTATTTGAAGGTATTTCCTTTCTCTCCATAGGCCTGAAAGCGCTTGAAATGCCCACTTCCAGATACTAGAGAAAGAGTGTTTCAAACCTGCTCTATGAAAGGGAATGTTCAATTCTGTGACTTGAATGCAAACATCACAAAGAAGTTCCTGAGAATGCTTCTCTCTAGATATTATATGTCATCCCGTTTCCAACGAAATCCTCAAAGCTATCCAAATATCCACTTGCAGATTCTACAAAAAGAGTGTTTCAAAACTGCTCTGTCAAAAGGATGGTTCAACACTGTTACATGAGTACACACAACACAAAGAAGTTTCTGAGAATGCTTCTTTCTGGTTTCTATGAGAAGATATTTCCTTTTTCACCATAGGACTCAAAGCGCTCGAAATGTCCTCTTCCAGGTAGTGCAGAAAGAGTGTTTCAAACCGGCTCTATGAAAGGAAGTGTTCAACTCCATGAACTGAATGCAAACATCACTGAGAAGTTTCTGAGAATGCTTCTGTTTGATTTCATATGAAGAAATTCCCGTTTCCAACGAAATCTTCAGAGCTATCCACATATCCACCTGCAGATTCTACAAAAGGAGTGTTTCCAAAATGCTGTATCAAAACCAAGGTTCAACTCTGTTAGTTGAGGACACACATCACAAATAAGTTTCTGAGAATGCTTCTGTCTAGATTTTATATGAAGATATCCCCTTTCCAACGAATCCCTCTAAGCTATCCAAATATCCACCTGCAGATTCTACAAAAAGAGTGTTTCCAAAATGCTGTATCAAAACAAAGTTTCAACTCTGTTAGTTGAGGACACACATCACAAATAAGTTTCTGAGGATGCTTCTGTCTAGTTTTTATTCGAAGATATTTCCTTTCTCACCATAGGCCTGAAAGCGCTTGAAATGTCCACTTCCAGATACTACAGAATGAGTGTTTCAAACCTGCTCTATAAAAGTGAATGTTCAATTCCGTGACTTCAATGCAAACATCAGAAAGAAGTTCCTGAGAATGCTTCTCTCTAGATTTTATATGTAATCCCGCTTCCAACGAAATCCTCAGAGCCATCCGAATATCCACTTTCTGATTCCACAAAAAGAGTGTTTTAAAACGGCTCTGTAAAAACAAAAGTTCAACTCTGTTAGTTGAATACACACATCACAAACAAGTTTCTGAGAATGCTTCTGTCTAGTTTTTATGGGAAGATATTTCCTTTTTCACCATAGGCCTCAAAGCGCTCGAAATGTCCACTTCCAGATAGTGCAGAAAGAGTGTTTCAAACGTGCTCTATAAAAGGGAATATTCAACTCTGTGACTTGAATGGAAACATCACAAAGCAGTTTCTGAGAATGCTTCCCTCTAGATTTTATATGGAGATATTCCCTTTTCCAACGAAATCTTCAAATCTATCTAAATATCAACTTGCAGATTCTACTCAAGGAATGTTTCCAAAATGCTGTATCCAAGCAATGGTTCAACTCTGTTAATTGAGGACATACAGCACAAAGAAGTTTCTGAGAATGCTTCTGTCTAGATTTTATATGAAGATATCCCGTTTCCAACGAAATCCTCAAAGCTATCCAAATATCCACTTGCAGATTCTACAAAAAGATTGTTTCAAAACTGCTGTGTCAAAAGGAAGGTTCAACTCTGTTACTTGAGTACACACATCAAAAAGAAGTTTCTGAGAATGCTTGTTTCTGGTTTTTATGAGAAGATATTTCCTTTTTCACCATAGGCCTCAAAGCGCTGCAAATGTCCACTTCCAAATATTACAAAAAGAGTGTTTCAAACCTGCTCTATGAAAGGAAGTTTTCAACTCTATGAGTGGAATGCAAACATCACAGAGAAGTTTCTGAGAATGCATCTGTCTTGAGTTTATATGCAGAAATTCCCGTTTCCAACGAAATCTTAAAATCTATCCAAATATCCACCTGCAGATCCTACAAAAGGAGTGTTTCCAAAATGCTGTATCAAAACAAAGGTTCAACTGTGTTCGTTTAGGACACACATCACAAATAAGTTTCTGAGAATCCTTCTGTCTAGTTTTTATTTGAAGATATTTCCTTTCTCCCCGTAGGCCTGAAAGCGCTTGAAATGTCCACTTCCAGATACTACAGAAAGAGTGTGTTTCAAACCTGCACTCTGAAAAGGAATGTTCAATTCTGTGACTTGAATGCAAACATCAGAAAGAAGTTCCTGAGAATGCTTCTCTCTAGATTTTATACGTCATCCCGTTTCCAACGAAATCCACAAAGCTATCCAATTATCCACTTTCAGATTCCACAGAAAGAGTGTTTTAAAATTGCTCTGTAACAGAAATGTTCAACTACTGGTAGTTGAATACACACATCACAAACAAGTTTCTGAGACGGCTTCTGTCTAGTTTTTATGGGAAGATATTTCCTTTTAACCATAGGCCTCAAACAGCTCGAAATATCCACTTCCAGGTAGTGCCGAAAGAGTGTTTCAAACCTACTCTGTAAAAGGGAATATTCAACTCTGTGACTTGAATGGAAACATCACAAAGCAGTTTATGAGAATGCTTCCGTCTAGATTTTATATGAAGATATTCCCGTTTCCAACGAAATCTTCAAAGCTATCTAAATATCAACTTGCAGATTCTACTAAAGGAATGTTTCCAAAATGCTGTATCGAAGCAATGGTTCAACTCTGTTAATTGAGGACATACAGCACAAAGAAGTTTCTGAGAATGCTCCTGTCTGGATTTTATATGAAGATAACCCGTTTCCAACAAAATCCTCAAAGCTATCCAAATATCCACTTGCAGATTCTACCAAAAGAGTGTTTCAAAACTGCTCTGTCAAAAGGAAGGTTCAACACTGTTACTTGAGTACACACAACACAAAGAAGTTTCTGAGAATGCTTGTTTCTGGTTTTTATGAGAAGATATTTCCTTTTTCACCATAGGCCTCAAAGCGCTCGAAATGTCCACTTCCAGGTAGTGCAGAAAGAGTGTTTCAAACCTGCTCTATGAAAGGAAGTGTTCAACTCTACTGAGTTGAATGCAAACATCACAGAGATGTTTCCGAGAATGCTTCTGTCTTGATTTTATATGAAGATATTCCGGTTTCCAACGAAATCTTCAAAGCTATCCAAATATCCACCTGCAGATTCTACAAAAGGAGTGTTTCCAAAATGCTGTATCAAAACAAAGGTTCAACTCTGTTAGTTGAGGACACACATCACAAATAAGTTTCTGAGAATGCTTCTGTCTAGTTTTTATTTGAAGGTACTTCCTTTCTCTCCATAGGCCTGAAAGCGCTTGAAATGCCCACTTCCAGATACTAGAGAAAGTGTTTCAAACCTGCTCTATGAAAGGGAATGTTCAATTCTGTGACTTGAATGCAAACATCACAAAGAAGTTCCTGAGAATGCTTCTCTCTAGATATTATATGTCATCCCGTTTCCAACGAAATCCTCAAAGCTATCCAAATATCCACTTGCAGATTCTACAAAAAGAGTGTTTCAAAACTGCTCTGTCAAAAGGATGGTTCAACACTGTTACATGAGTACACACAACACAAAGAAGTTTCTGAGAATGCTTCTTTCTGGTTTCTATGAGAAGATATTTCCTTTTTCACCATAGGACTCAAAGCGCTCGAAATGTCCGCTTCCAGGTAGTGCAGAAAGAGTGTTTCAAACCTGCTCTATGAAAGGAAGTGTACAACTCCATGAGCTGAATGCAAACATCACTGAGAAGTTTCTGAGAATGCTTCTGTTTGATTTTATATGAAGAAATTCCCGTTTCCAACGAAATCTTCAGAGCTATCCACATATCCACCTGCAGATTCTACAAAAGGAGTGTTTCCAAAATGCTGTATCAAAACCAAGGTTCAACTCTGTTAGTTGAGGACACACATCACAAATAAGTTTCTGAGAATGCTTCTGTCTAGATTTTATATGAAGATATCCCCTTTCCAACGAATCCCTCTAAGCTATCCAAATATCCACCTGCAGATTCTACAAAAAGAGTGTTTCCAAAATGCTGTATCAAAACAAAGTTTCAACTCTGTTAGTTGAGGACACACATCACAAATAAGTTTCTGAGAATGCTTCTGTCTAGTTTTTATTCGAAGATATTTCCTTTCTCACCATAGGCCTGAAAGCGCTTGAAATGTCCACTTCCAGATCCTACAGAATGAGTGTTTCAAACCTGCTCTATCAAAGTGAATGTTCAATTCTGTGACTTCAATGCAAACATCACAAAGAAGTTCCTGAGAATGCTTCTCTCTAGATTTTATATGTAATCCCGCTTCCAACGAAATCCTCAGAGCCATCCGAATATCCACTTTCTGATTCCACAAAAAGAGTGTTTTAAAACGGCTCTGTAAAAACAAAAGTTCAACTCTGTTAGTTGAATACACACATCACAAACAAGTTTCTGAGAATGCTTCTGTCTAGTTTTTATGGGAAGATATTTCCTTTTTCACCATAGGCCTCAAAGCGCTCGAAATGTCCACTTCCAGATAGTGCAGAAAGAGTGTTTCAAACGTGCTCTATAAAAGGGAATATTCAACTCTGTGACTTGAATGGAAACATCACAAAGCAGTTTCTGAGAATGCTTCCCTCTAGATTTTATATGGAGATATTCCCTTTTCCAACGAAATCTTCAAATCTATCTAAATATCAACTTGCAGATTCTACTCAAGGAATGTTTCCAAAATGCTGTATCCAAGCAATGGTTCAACTCTGTTAATTGAGGACATACAGCACAAAGAAGTTTCTGAGAATGCTTCTGTCTAGATTTTATATGAAGATATCCCGTTTCCAACGAAATCCTCAAAGCTATCCAAATATCCACTTGCAGATTCTACAAAAAGATTGTTTCAAAACTGCTGTGTCAAAAGGAAGGTTCAACTCTGTTACTTGAGTACACACATCAAAAAGAAGTTTCTGAGAATGCTTGTTTCTGGTTTTTATGAGAAGATATTTCCTTTTTCACCATAGGCCTCAAAGCGCTGCAAATGTCCACTTCCAAATATTACAAAAAGAGTGTTTCAAACCTGCTCTATGAAAGGAAGTTTTCAACTCTATGAGTGGAATGCAAACATCACAGAGAAGTTTCTGAGAATGCATCTGTCTTGAGTTTATATGCAGAAATTCCCGTTTCCAACGAAATCTTAAAATCTATCCAAATATCCACCTGCAGATCCTACAAAAGGAGTGTTTCCAAAATGCTGTATCAAAACAAAGGTTCAACTGTGTTCGTTTAGGACACACATCACAAATAAGTTTCTGAGAATCCTTCTGTCTAGTTTTTATTTGAAGATATTTCCTTTCTCCCCGTAGGCCTGAAAGCGCTTGAAATGTCCACTTCCAGATACTACAGAAAGAGTGTTTCAAACCTGCACTCTGAAAAGGAATGTTCAATTCTGTGACTTGAATGCAAACATCAGAAAGAAGTTCCTGAAAATGCTTCTCTCTAGATTTTATACGTCATCCCGTTTCCAACGAAATCCACAAAGCTATCCAATTATCCACTTTCAGATTCCACAAAAAGAGTGTTTTAAAATTGCTCTGTAACAGACATGTTCAACTCTGGTAGTTGAATACACACATCACAAACAAGTTTCTGAGACGGCTTCTGTCTAGTTTTTATGGGAAGATATTTCCTTTTAACCATAGGCCTCAAAGAGCTCGAAATATCCACTTCCAGGTAGTGCCGAAAGAGTGTTTCAAACCTACTCTATAAAAGGGAATATTCAACTCTGTGACTTGAATGCAAACATCACAAAGCAGTTTCTGAGAATGCTTCCGTCTAGATTTTCTATGAAGATATTCCCGTTTCCAACGAAATCTTCAAAGCTATCTAAATATCAACTTGCAGATTCTACTAAAGGAATGTCTCCAAAATGCTGTATCCAAACAAAGGTTCAGCTCTGTGAATTGAGGACATACAGCACAAAGAAGTTTCTGAGAATGCTCCTGTCTGGATTTTATATGAAGATAACCCGTTTCCAACGAAATCCTCAAAGCTATCCCAAATATCCACTTGCAGATTCTACCAAAAGAGTGTTTCAAAACTGCTCTGTCAAAAGGAAGGTTCAACACTGTTACTTGAGTACACACAACACAAAGAAGTTTCTGAGAATGCTTCTTTCTGGTTTTTATGAGAAGATATTTCCTTTTTCACCATAGGCCTCAAAGCGCTCGAAATGTCCGCTTCCAGGTAGTGCAGAAAGAGTGTTTCAAACCTGCTCTATGAAAGGAAGTGTTCAACTCTACTGAGTTGAATGCAAACATCACAGAGATGTTTCCGAGAATGCTTCTGTCTTGATTTTATATGAAGATATTCCGGTTTCCAACGAAATCTTCAAAGCTATCCAAATATCCACCTGCAGATTCTACAAAAGGAGTGTTTCCAAAATGCTGTATCAAAACAAAGGTTCAACTCTGTTAGTTGAGGACACACATCACAAATAAGTTTCTGAGAATGCTTCTGTCTAGTTTTTATTTGAAGGTATTTCCTTTCTCTCCATAGGCCTGAAAGCGCTTGAAATGCCCACTTCCAGATACTAGAGAAAGAGTGTTTCAAACCTGCTCTATGAAAGGGAATGTTCAATTCTGTGACTTGAATGCAAACATCACAAAGAAGTTCCTGAGAATGCTTCTCTCTAGATATTATATGTCATCCCGTTTCCAACGAAATCCTCAAAGCTATCCAAATATCCACTTGCAGATTCTACAAAAAGAGTGTTTCAAAACTGCTCTGTCAAAAGGATGGTTCAACACTGTTACATGAGTACACACAACACAAAGAAGTTTCTGAGAATGCTTCTTTCTGGTTTCTATGAGAAGATATTTCCTTTTTCACCATAGGACTCAAAGCGCTCGAAATGTCCTCTTCCAGGTAGTGCAGAAAGAGTGTTTCAAACCGGCTCTATGAAAGGAAGTGTTCAACTCCATGAACTGAATGCAAACATCACTGAGAAGTTTCTGAGAATGCTTCTGTTTGATTTTATATGAAGAAATTCCCGTTTCCAACGAAATCTTCAGAGCTATCCACATATCCACCTGCAGATTCTACAAAAGGAGTGTTTCCAAAATGCTGTATCAAAACCAAAGTTCAACTCTGTTAGTTGAGGACACACATCACAAATAAGATTCTGAGAATGCTTCTGTCTAGATTCTATATGAAGATATCCCCTTTCCAACGAATCCCTCTAAGCTATCCAAATATCCACCTGCAGATTCTACAAAAAGAGTGTTTCCAAAATGCTGTATCAAAACAAAGTTTCAACTCTGTTAGTTGAGGACACACATCACAAATAAGTTTGAGGATGCTTCTGTCTAGTTTTTATTTGAAGATATTTTCTTTCTCACCATAGGCCTGAAAGCGCTTGAAATGTCCGCTTCCAGATACTACAGAATGAGTGTTTCAAACCTGCTCTATCAAAGTGAATGTTCAATTCTGTGACTTCAATGCAAACATCACACAGTAGTTCCTGAGAATGCTTCTCTCTAGATTTTATATGTAATCCCGCTTCCAACGAAATCCTCAAAGCCATCCGAATATCCACTTTCTGATTCCACAAAAAGATTGTTTTAAAACTGCTCTGTAAAAACAAAAGTTCTAGTCTGTTAGTTGAATACACACATCACAAACAAGTTTCTGAGAATGCTTCTGTCTAGTTTTTATGGGAAGATATTTCCTTTTTCACCATAGGCCTCACAGCCCTCGAAATGTCCACTTCCAGATGGTGCAGAAAGAGTGTTTCAAACGTGCTCTATAAAAGAGAATATTCAACTCTGTGACTTGAATGGAAACATCACAAAGCAGTTTCTGAGAATGCCTCCGTCTAGATTTTATATGAAGATATTCCCGTTTCCAACGAAATCTTCAAATCTATCTAAATATCAACTTGCAGATTCTACTAAAGGAATGTTTCCAAAATGCTGTATCCAAGCAATGGTTCAACTCTGTTAATTGAGGACATACAGCACAAAGAAGTTTCTGAGAATGCTTCTGTCTAGATTTTATATGAAGATATCCCGTTTCCAACGAAATCCTCAAAGCTATCCAAATATCCACTTGCAGATTCTACAAAAAGATTGTTTCAAAACTGCTGTGTCAAAAGGAAGGTTCAACTCTGTTACTTGAGTACACACATCAAAAAGAAGTTTCTGAGAATGCTTGTTTCTGGTTTTTATCAGAAGATATTTCCTTTTTCACCATAGGCCTCAAAGCGCTGCAAATGTCCACTTCCAAATATTACAAAAAGAGTGTTTCAAACCTGCTCTATGAAAGGAAGTTTTCAACTCTATGAGTGGAATGCAAACATCACAGAGAAGTTTCTGAGAATGCATCCGTCTTGAGATTATATGAAGAAATTCCCGTTTCCAACGAAATCTTAAAATCTATCCAAATATCCACCTGCAGATTCTACAAAAGGAGTGTTTCCAAAATGCTGTATCAAAACAAAGGTTCAACTGTGTTCGTTTAGGACACACATCACAAATAAGTTTCTGAGAAGCCTTCTGTCTAGTTTTTATTTGAAGATATTTCCTTTCTCCCCATAGGCCTGAAAGCGCTGGAAATGTCCACTTCCAGATAGTACAGAAAGAGTGTTTCAAACCTGCACTATGAAAAGGAATGTTCAATTCTGTGACTTGAATGCAAACATCAGAAAGAAGTTTCTGAGAATGCTTCTCTCTAGATTTTATACGTCATCCTGTTTCCAACGAAATCCACAAAGCTATCCAATTATCCACTTTCAGATTCCACAAAGAGTGTTTTAAAATTGCTCTGTAACAGAAATGTTCAACTCTGTTAGTTGAATACACAGATCACAAACAAGTTTCTGAGACGGCTTCTGTCTAGTTTTTATGGGAAGATATTTCCTTTTAACCATAGGCCTCAAAGAGCTCGAAATATCCACTTCCAGGTAGTGCCGAAAGAGTGTTTCAAACCTACTCTATAAAAGGGAATATTCAACTCTGTGACTTGAATGCAAACATCACAAAGCAGTTTCTGAGAATGCTTCCGTCTAGATTTTTTATGAAGATATTCCCGTTTCCAACGAAATCTTCAAAGCTATCTAAATATCAACTTGCAGATTCTAATAAAGGAATGTTTCCAAAATGCTGTATCCAAACAAAGGTTCAACTCTGTGAATTGAGGACATACAGCACAAAGAAGTTTCTGAGAATGCTTCTGTCTAGATTTAATATGAAGATAACCCGTTTCCAACGAAATCCTCAAAGCTATCCAAATATCCACTTGCAGATTCTACAAAAAGAGTGTTTCAAAACTGCTCTGTCAAAAGGATGGTTCAACACTGTTACATGAGTACACACAACACAAAGAAGTTTCTGAGAACGCTTCTTTCTGGTTTTTATGAGAAGATATTTCCTTTTTCACCATAGGCCTCAAAGCGCTCGAAATGTCCACTTCCTGGTAGTGCAGAAAGAGTGTTTCAAACCTGCTCTATGAAAGGAAGTGTTCAACTCCATGAGCTGAATGCAAACATCACAGAGAAGTTTCTGAGAATGCTTCTGTTTGATTTTATATGAAGAAATTCCCGTTTCCAACGAAATCTTCAGAGCTATCCACATATCCACATGCAGATTCTACAAAAGGAGTGTTTCCAAAATGCTGTATCAAAACCAAGGTTCAACTCTGTTAGTTGAGGACACACATCACAAATAAGTTTCTGAGAATGCTTCTGTCTAGATTTTATATGAAGATATCCCCTTTCCAACGAATCCCTCTAAGCTATCCAAATATCCACCTGCAGATTCTACAAAAAGAGTGTTTCCAAACTGCTGTATCAAAACAAAGTTTCAACTCTGTTAGTTGAGGACACACATCACAAATAAGTTTCTGAGGATGCTTCTGTCTAGTTTTTATTTGAAGATATTTCCTTTCTCCCCATAGGCCTGAAAGCGCTTGAAATGTCCACTTCCAGATACTACAGAATGAGTGTTTCAAACCTGCTCTATGAAAGTGAATGTTCAATTCTGTGACTTCAATGCAAACATCACAAAGTAGTTCCTGAGAATGCTTCTCTCTAGATTTTATACGTAATCCCGCTTCCAACGAAATCCTCAGAGCCATCCGAATATCCACTTTCTGATTCCACAAAAAGAGTGTTTTAAAACGGCTCTGTAAAAACAAAAGTTCAACTCTGTTAGTTGAATACACACATCACAAACAAGTTTCTGAGAATGCTTCTGTCTAGTTTTTATGGGAAGATATTTCCTTTTTCACCATAGGCCTCAAAGCGCTCGAAATGTCCGCTTCCAGATAGTGCAGAAAGAGTGTTTCAAACGTGCTCTATAAAAGGGAATATTCAACTCTGTGACTTGAATGGAAACATCACAAAGCAGTTTCTGAGAATGCTTCCCTCTAGATTTTATATGGAGATATTCCCTTTTCCAACGAAATCTTCAAATCTATCTAAATATCAACTTGCAGATTCTACTCAAGGAATGTTTCCAAAATGCTGTATCCAGGCAATGGTTCAACTCTGTTAATTGAGGACATACAGCACAAAGAAGTTTCTGAGAATGCTTCTGTCTAGATTTTATATGAAGATATCCCGTTTCCAACGAAATCCTCAAAGCTATCCAAATATCCACTTGCAGATTCTACAAAAAGATTGTTTCAAAACTGCTGTGTCAAAAGGAAGGTTCAACTCTGTTACTTGAGTACACACATCAAAAAGAAGTTTCTGAGAATGCTTGTTTCTGGTTTTTATGAGAAGATATTTCCTTTTTCACCATAGGCCTCAAAGCGCTGCAAATGTCCACTTCCAAATATTACAAAAAGAGTGTTTCAAACCTGCTCTATGAAAGGAAGTTTTCAACTCTATGAGTGGAATGCAAACATCACAGAGAAGTTTCTGAGAATGCATCTGTCTTGAGTTTATATGCAGAAATTCCCGTTTCCAACGAAATCTTAAAATCTATCCAAATATCCACCTGCAGATCCTACAAAAGGAGTGTTTCCAAAATGCTGTATCAAAACAAAGGTTCAACTGTGTTCGTTTAGGACACACATCACAAATAAGTTTCTGAGAATCCTTCTGTCTAGTTTTTATTTGAAGATATTTCCTTTCTCCCCGTAGGCCTGAAAGCGCTTGAAATGTCCACTTCCAGATACTACAGAAAGAGTGTTTCAAACCTGCACTCTGAAAAGGAATGTTCAATTCTGTGACTTGAATGCAAACATCAGAAAGAAGTTCCTGAGAATGCTTCTCTCTAGATTTTATACGTCATCCCGTTTCCAACGAAATCCACAAAGCTATCCAATTATCCACTTTCAGATTCCACAGAAAGAGTGTTTTAAAATTGCTCTGTAACAGAAATGTTCAACTCTGGTAGTTGAATACACACATCACAAACAAGTTTCTGAGACGGCTTCTGTCTAGTTTTTATGGGAAGATATTTCCTTTTAACCATAGGCCTCAAAGAGCTCGAAATATCCACTTCCAGGTAGTGCCGAAAGAGTGTTTCAAACCTACTCTATAAAAGGGAATATTCAACTCTGTGACTTGAATGCAAACATCACAAAGCAGTTTCTGAGAATGCTTCCGTCTAGATTTTCTATGAAGATATTCCCGTTTCCAACGAAATCTTCAAAGCTATCTAAATATCAACTTGCAGATTCTACTAAAGGAACGTCTCCAAAATGCTGTATCCAAACAAAGGTTCAGCTCTGTGAATTGAGGACATACAGCACAAAGAAGTTTCTGAGAATGCTCCTGTCTGGATTTTATATGAAGATAACCCGTTTCCAACGAAATCCTCAAAGCTATCCAAATATCCACTTGCAGATTCTACCAAAAGAGTGTTTCAAAACTGCTCTGTCAAAAGGAAGGTTCAACACTGTTACTTGAGTACACACAACACAAAGAAGTTTCTGAGAATGCTTCTTTCTGGTTTTTATGAGAAGATATTTCCTTTTTCACCATAGGCCTCAAAGCGCTCGAAATGTCCGCTTCCAGGTAGTGCAGAAAGAGTGTTTCAAACCTGCTCTATGAAAGGAAGTGTTCAACTCTACTGAGTTGAATGCAAACATCACAGAGATGTTTCCGAGAATGCTTCTGTCTTGATTTTATATGAAGATATTCCGGTTTCCAACGAAATCTTCAAAGCTATCCAAATATCCACCTGCAGATTCTACAAAAGGAGTGTTTCCAAAATGCTGTATCAAAACAAAGGTTCAACTCTGTTAGTTGAGGACACACATCACAAATAAGTTTCTGAGAATGCTTCTGTCTAGTTTTTATTTGAAGGTATTTCCTTTCTCTCCATAGGCCTGAAAGCGCTTGAAATGCCCACTTCCAGATACTAGAGAAAGAGTGTTTCAAACCTGCTCTATGAAAGGGAATGTTCAATTCTGTGACTTGAATGCAAACATCACAAAGAAGTTCCTGAGAATGCTTCTCTCTAGATATTATATGTCATCCCGTTTCCAACGAAATCCTCAAAGCTATCCAAATATCCACTTGCAGATTCTACAAAAAGAGTGTTTCAAAACTGCTCTGTCAAAAGGATGGTTCAACACTGTTACATGAGTACACACAACACAAAGAAGTTTCTGAGAATGCTTCTTTCTGGTTTCTATGAGAAGATATTTCCTTTTTCACCATAGGACTCAAAGCGCTCGAAATGTCCTCTTCCAGGTAGTGCAGAAAGAGTGTTTCAAACCTGCTCTATGAAAGGAAGTGTACAACTCCATGAGCTGAATGCAAACATCACTGAGAAGTTTCTGAGAATGCTTCTGTTTGATTTTATATGAAGAAATTCCCGTTTCCAACGAAATCTTCAGAGCTATCCACATATCCACCTGCAGATTCTACAAAAGGAGTGTTTCCAAAATGCTGTATCAAAACCAAGGTTCAACTCTGTTAGTTGAGGACACACATCACAAATAAGTTTCTGAGAATGCTTCTGTCTAGATTTTATATGAAGATATCCCCTTTCCAACGAATCCCTCTAAGCTATCAAAATATCCACCTGCAGATTCTACAAAAAGAGTGTTTCCAAAATGCTGTATCAAAACAAAGTTTCAACTCTGTTAGTTGAGGACACACATCACAAATAAGTTTCTGAGGATGCTTCTGTCTAGTTTTTATTCGAAGATATTTCCTTTCTCACCATAGGCCTGAAAGCGCTTGAAATGTCCACTTCCAGATACTACAGAATGAGTGTTTCAAACCTGCTCTATCAAAGTGAATGTTCAATTCTGTGACTTCAATGCAAACATCACAAAGAAGTTCCTGAGAATGCTTCTCTCTAGATTTTAAATGTAATCCCGCTTCCAACGAAATCCTCAAAGCCATCCGAATATCCACTTTCTGATTCCACAAAAAGATTGTTTTAAAACTGCTCTGTAAAAACAAAAGTTCAAGTCTGTTAGTTGAATACACACATCACAAACAAGTTTCTGAGAATGCTTCAGTCTAGTTTTTATGGGAAGATATTTCCTTTTTCACCATAGGCCTCAAAGCGCTCGAAATGTCCACTTCCAGATAGTGCAGAAAGAGTGTTTCAAACGTGCTCTATAAAAGAGAATATTCAACTCTGTGACTTGAATGGAAACATCACAAAGCAGTTTCTGAGAATGCCTCCGTCTAGATTTTATATGAAGATATTCCCGTTTCCAACGAATTCTTCAAATCTATCTAAATATCAACTTGCAGATTCTACTAAAGGAATGTTTCCAAAATGCTGTATCCAAGCAATGGTTCAACTCTGTTAATTGAGGACATACAGAACAAAGAAGTTTCTGAGAATGCTTCTGTCTAGATTTTATATGAAGATATCCCGTTTCCAACGAAATCCTCAAAGCTATCCAAATATCCACTTGCAGATTCTACAGAAAGATTGTTTCAAAACTGCTGTGTCAAAAGGAAGGTTCAACTCTGTTACTTGAGTACACACATCAAAAAGCAGTTTCTCAGAATGCTTGTTTCTGGTTTTTATGAGAAGATATTTCCTTTTTCACCATAGGCCTCAAAGCGCTGCAAATGTCCACTTCCAAATATTACAAAAAGAGTGTTTCAAACCTGCTCTATGAAAGGAAGTTTTCAACTCTATGAGTGGAATGCAAACATCACAGAGAAGTTTCTGAGAATGCATCTGTCTTGAGTTTATATGAAGAAATTCCCGTTTCCAATGAAATCTTAAAATCTTTCCAAATATCCACCTGCAGATTCTACAAAAGGAGTGTTTCCTAAATGCTGTATCAAAAGAAAGGTTCAACTGTGTTCGTTTAGGACACACATCACAAATAAGTTTCTGAGAATCCTTCTGTCTGGTTTTTATTTGAAGAGATTTCCTTTCTCCCCGTAGGCCTGAAAGCGCTTGAAATGTCCACTTCCAGATACTACAGAAAGAGTGTTTCAAACCTGCACTCTGAAAAGGAATGTTCAATTCTGTGACTTGAATGCAAACATCAGAAAGAAGTTCCTGAGAATGCTTCTCTCTAGATTTTATACGTCATCCCGTTTCCAACGAAATCCACAAAGCTATCCAATTATCCACTTTCAGATTCCACAAAAAGAGTGTTTTAAAATTGCTCTGTAACAGAAATGTTCAACTCTGTTAGTTGAATACACACATCACAAACAAGTTTCTGAGACGGCTTCTGTCTAGTTTTTATGGGAAGATATTTCCTTTTAACCATAGGCCTCAAAGAGCTCGAAATATCCACTTCCAGGTAGTGCCGAAAGAGTGTTTCAAACCTACTCTATAAAAGGGAATATTCAACTCTGTGACTTGAATGCAAACATCACAAAGCAGTTTCTGAGAATGCTTCCGTCTAGATTTTCTATGAAGATATTCCCGTTTCCAACGAAATCTTCAAAGCTATCTAAATATCAACTTGCAGATTCTACTAAAGGAATGTCTCCAAAATGCTGTATCCAAACAAAGGTTCAGCTCTGTGAATTGAGGACATACAGCACAAAGAAGTTTCTGAGAATGCTCCTGTCTGGATTTTATATGAAGATAACCCGTTTCCAACGAAATCCTCAAAGCTATCCAAATATCCACTTGCAGATTCTACCAAAAGAGTGTTTCAAAACTGCTCTGTCAAAAGGAAGGTTCAACACTGTTACTTGAGTACACACAACACAAAGAAGTTTCTGAGAATGCTTCTTTCTGGTTTTTATGAGAAGATATTTCCTTTTTCACCATAGGCCTCAAAGCGCTCGAAATGTCCGCTTCCAGGTAGTGCAGAAAGAGTGTTTCAAACCTGCTCTATGAAAGGAAGTGTTCAACTCTACTGAGTTGAATGCAAACATCACAGAGATGTTTCCGAGAATGCTTCTGTCTTGATTTTATATGAAGATATTCCGGTTTCCAACGAAATCTTCAAAGCTATCCAAATATCCACCTGCAGATTCTACAAAAGGAGTGTTTCCAAAATGCTGTATCAAAACAAAGGTTCAACTCTGTTAGTTGAGGACACACATCACAAATAAGTTTCTGAGAATGCTTCTGTCTAGTTTTTATTTGAAGGTATTTCCTTTCTCTCCATAGGCCTGAAAGCGCTTGAAATGCCCACTTCCAGATACTAGAGAAAGAGTGTTTCAAACCTGCTCTATGAAAGGGAATGTTCAATTCTGTGACTTGAATGCAAACATCACAAAGAAGTTCCTGAGAATGCTTCTCTCTAGATATTATATGTCATCCCGTTTCCAACGAAATCCTCAAAGCTATCCAAATATCCACTTGCAGATTCTACAAAAAGAGTGTTTCAAAACTGCTCTGTCAAAAGGATGGTTCAACACTGTTACATGAGTACACACAACACAAAGAAGTTTCTGAGAATGCTTCTTTCTGGTTTCTATGAGAAGATATTTCCTTTTTCACCATAGGACTCAAAGCGCTCGAAATGTCCTCTTCCAGGTAGTGCAGAAAGAGTGTTTCAAACCGGCTCTATGAAAGGAAGTGTTCAACTCCATGAACTGAATGCAAACATCACTGAGAAGTTTCTGAGAATGCTTCTTTTTTGATTTTATATGAAGAAATTCCCGTTTCCAACGAAATCTTCAGAGCTATCCACATATCCACCTGCAGATCCTACAAAAGGAGTGTTTCCAAAATGCTGTATCAAAACAAAGGTTCAACTGTGTTCGTTTAGGACACACATCACAAATAAGTTTCTGAGAATCCTTCTGTCTAGTTTTTATTTGAAGATATTTCCTTTCTCCCCGTAGGCCTGAAAGCGCTTGAAATGTCCACTTCCAGATACTACAGAAAGAGTGTTTCAAACCTGCACTCTGAAAAGGAATGTTCAATTCTGTGACTTGAATGCAAACATCAGAAAGAAGTTCCTGAGAATGCTTCTCTCTAGATTTTATACGTCATCCCGTTTCCAACGAAATCCACAAAGCTATCCAATTATCCACTTTCAGATTCCACAAAAAGAGTGTTTTAAAATTGCTCTGTAACAGAAATGTTCAACTCTGTTAGTTGAATACACACATCACAAACAAGTTTCTGAGACGGCTTCTGTCTAGTTTTTATGGGAAGATATTTCCTTTTAACCATAGGCCTCAAAGAGCTCGAAATATCCACTTCCAGGTAGTGCCGAAAGAGTGTTTCAAACCTACTCTATAAAAGGGAATATTCAACTCTGTGACTTGAATGCAAACATCACAAAGCAGTTTCTGAGAATGCTTCCGTCTAGATTTTCTATGAAGATATTCCCGTTTCCAACGAAATCTTCAAAGCTATCTAAATATCAACTTGCAGATTCTACTAAAGGAATGTCTCCAAAATGCTGTATCCAAACAAAGGTTCAGCTCTGTGAATTGAGGACATACAGCACAAAGAAGTTTCTGAGAATGCTCCTGTCTGGATTTTATAGGAAGATAACCCGTTTCCAACGAAATCCTCAAAGCTATCCAAATATCCACTTGCAGATTCTACCAAAAGAGTGTTTCAAAACTGCTCTGTCAAAAGGAAGGATCAACACTGTTACTTGAGTACACACAACACAAAGAAGTTTCTGAGAATGCTTCTTTCTGGTTTTTATGAGAAGATATTTCCTTTTTCACCATAGGCCTCAAAGCGCTCGAAATGTCCGCTTCCAGGTAGTGCAGAAAGAGTGTTTCAAACCTGCTCTATGAAAGGAAGTGTTCAACTCTACTGAGTTGAATGCAAACATCACAGAGATGTTTCCGAGAATGCTTCTGTCTTGATTTTATATGAAGATATTCCGGTTTCCAACGAAATCTTCAAAGCTATCCAAATATCCACCTGCAGATTCTACAAAAGGAGTGTTTCCAAAATGCTGTATCAAAACAAAGGTTCAACTCTGTTAGTTGAGGACACACATCACAAATAAGTTTCTGAGAATGCTTCTGTCTAGTTTTTATTTGAAGGTATTTCCTTTCTCTCCATAGGCCTGAAAGCGCTTGAAATGCCCACTTCCAGATACTAGAGAAAGAGTGTTTCAAACCTGCTCTATGAAAGGGAATGTTCAATTCTGTGACTTGAATGCAAACATCACAAAGAAGTTCCTGAGAATGCTTCTCTCTAGATATTATATGTCATCCCGTTTCCAACGAAATCCTCAAAGCTATCCAAATAGCCACTTGCAGATTCTACAAAAAGAGTGTTTCAAAACTCCTCTGTCAAAAGGATGGTTCAACACTGTTACATGAGTACACACAACACAAAGAAGTTTCTGAGAATGCTTCTTTCTGGTTTCTATGAGAAGATATTTCCTTTTTCACCATAGGACTCAAAGCGCTCGAAATGTCCTCTTCCAGGTAGTGCAGAAAGAGTGTTTCAAACCTGATCTATGAAAGGAAGTGTTCAACTCCATGAGCTGAATGCAAACATCACTGAGAAGTTTCTGAGAATGCTTCTGTTTGATTTTATATGAAGAAATTCCCGTTTCCAACGAAATCTTCAGAGCTATCCACATATCCACCTGCAGATTCTACAAAAGGAGAGTTTCCAAAATGCTGTATCAAAACCAAGGTTCAACTCTGTTAGTTGAGGACACACATCACAAATAAGTTTCTGAGAATGCTTCTGTCTAGATTTTATATGAAGATATCCCCTTTCCAACGAATCCCTCTAAGCTATCCAAATAGCCACCTGCAGATTCTACGAAAGGAGTGTTTCCAAAAGGCTGTATTAAAACAAAGTTTCAACTGTGTTAGTTGAGGACACACATCACAAATAAGTTTCTGAGGATGCTTCGGTCTAGTTTTTATTTGAAGATATTTCCTTTCTCACCATAGGCCTGAAAGCGCTTGAAATGTCCACTTCCAGATACTACAGAATGAGTGTTTCAAACCTGCTCTATAAAAGTGAATGTTCAATTCTGTGACTTCAATGCAAACATCACAAAGAAGTTCCTGAGAATGCTTCTCTCTAGATTTTATACGTAATCCCGCTTCCAACGAAATCCTCAGAGCCATCCGAATATCCACTTTCTGATTCCACAAAAAGAGTGTTTTAAAACGGCTCTGTAAAAACAAAAGTTCAACTCTGTTAGTTGAATACACACATCACAAACAAGTTTCTGAGAATGCTTCTGTCTAGTTTTTATGGGAAGATATTTCCTTTTTCACCATAGGCCTCAAAGCGCTCGAAATGTCCACTTCCAGATAGTGCAGAAAGAGTGTTTCAAACGTGCTCTATAAAAGAGAATATTCAACTCTGTGACTTGAATGGAAACATCACAAAGCAGTTTCTGAGAATGCCTCCGTCTAGATTTTATATGAAGATATTCCCGTTTCCAACGAAATCTTCAAATCTATCTAAATATCAACTTGCAGATTCTACTAAAGGAATGTTTCCAAAATGCTGTATCCAAGCAATGGTTCAACTCTGTTAATTGAGGACATACAGCACAAAGAAGTTTCTGAGAATGCTTCTGTCTAGATTTTATATGAAGATATCCCGTTTCCAACGAAATCCTCAAAGCTATCCAAATATCCACTTGCAGATTCTACAAAAAGATTGTTTCAAAACTGCTGTGTCAAAAGGAAGGTTCAACTCTCTTACTTGAGTACACACATCAAAAAGCAGTTTCTGAGAATGCTTGTTTCTGCTTTTTATGAGAAGATATTTCCTTTTTCACCATAGGCCTCAAAGCGCTGCAAATGTCCACTTCCAAATATTACAAAAAGAGTGTTTCAAACCTGCTCTATGAAAGGAAGTTTTCAACTCTATGAGTGGAATGCAAACATCACAGAGAAGTTTCTGAGAATGCATCTGTCTTGAGTTTATATGAAGAAATTCCCGTTTCCAATGAAATCTTAAAATCTATCCAAATATCCACCTGCAGATTCTACAAAAGGAGTGTTTCCAAAATGCTGTATCAAAACAAAGGTTCAACTGTGTTCGTTTAGGACACACATCACAAATAAGTTTCTGAGAATCCTTCTGTCTAGTTTTTATTTCAAGATATTTCCTTTCTCCCCATAGGCTTGAAAGCGCTTGAAATGTCCACTTCCAGATACTACAGAGTGTTTCAAACCTGCACTATGAAAAGGAATGTTCAATTCTGTGACTTGAATGCAAACATCAGAAAGAAGTTCCTGAGAATGCTTCTCTCTAGATTTTAAACGTCATCCCGTTTCCAACGAAATACACAAAGCTATCCAATTATCCACTTTCAGATTCCACCAAAAGAGTGTTTTAAAACTGCTCTGTAAAAAGAAATGTTCAACGCTCTTAGTTGAATACACACATCTCAAACAAGTTTCTACGAAGGCTTCCGTCTAGTTTTTATGGGAAGATATTTCCTTTTTCACCATAGGCCTCAAAGCGCTCGAAATCTCCACTTCCAGGGAGTGCAGAAAGACTGTTTCAAACCTGCTCTGTAAAAGAATATTTAACTCTGTGACTTGAATGCAAACATCACAGAGCAGTTTCTGACAATGCTTCCGTCTAGATTTTTTATGAAGATATTCCCGTTTCCAACGAAATCTTCAAAGCTATCTAAATATCAACTTGCAGATTCTACTAAAGGAATGTTTCCAAAATGCTGTATCCAAACAAAGGTTCAGCTCTGTGAATTGAGGACATACAGCACAAAGAAGTTTTCTGAGAATGCTTATCTGTCTAGATTTAATATGAAGATAACCCGTTTCCAACGAAATCCTCAAAGCTATCCAAATATCCACTTGCAGATTCTACAAAAAGAGTGTTTCAAAACTGCTCTGTCAAAAGGATGGTTCAACACTGTTACATGAGTACACACAACACAAAGAAGTTTCTGAGAACGCTTCTTTCTGGTTTTTATGAGAGGATATTTCCTTTTTCACCATAGGCCTCAAAGCGCTCGAAATGTCCACTTCTAGGTAGTGCAGAAAGAGTGTTTCAAACCTGCTCTATGAAAGGAAGTGTTCAACTCCATGAGCTGAATGCAAACATCACAGAGAAGTTTCTGAGAATGCTTCTGTTTGATTTTATATGAAGAAATTCCCGTTTCCAACGAAATCTTCAAAGCTATCCACATATCCACCTGCAGATTCTTCAAAAGGAGTGTTTCCAAAATGCTGTATCAAAACCAAGGTTCAACTCTGTTAGTTGAGGACACACATCACAAATAAGTTTCTGAGAATGCTTCTGTCTAGATTTTATATGAAGATATCCCCTTTCCAACGAATCCCTCTAAGCTATCCAAGTATCCACCTGCAGATCCTACAAAAAGAGTGTTTCCAAAATGTTGTATCAAAACAAAGTTTCCACTCTGTGAGTTGAGGACACACATCACAAATAAGTTTCTGAGGATGCTTCTGTCTAGTTTTTATTTGAAGATATTTCCTTTCTCACCATAGGCCTGAAAGCGCTTGAAATGTCCACTTCCAGATACTACAGCATGAGTGTTTCAAACCTGCTCTATCAAAGTGAATGTTCAATTCTGTGACTTCAATGCAAACATCACAAAGTAGTTCCTGAGAATGCTTCTCTCTAGATTTTATATGTAATCCCGCTTCCAACGAAATCCTCAAAGCCATCCGAATATCCACTTTCTGATTCCACAAAAAGATTGTTTTAAAACTGCTCTGTAAAAACAAAAGTTCAAGTCTGTTAGTTGAATACACACATCACAAACAAGTTTCTGAGAATGCTTCTGTCTAGTTTTTATGGGAAGATATTTCCTTTTTCACCATAGGCCTCAAAGCGCTCGAAATGTCCACTTGCAGATAGTGCAGAAAGAGTGTTTCAAACGTGCTCTATAAAAGAGAATATTCAACTCTGTGACTTGAATGGAAACATCACAAAGCAGTTTCTGAGAATGCCTCCGTCTAGATTTTATATGAAGATATTCCCGTTTCCAACGAAATCTTCAAATCTATCTAAATATCAACTTGCAGATTCTACTAAAGGAATGTTTCCAAAATGCTGTATCCAAGCAATGGTTCAACTCTGTTAATTGAGGACATACAGCACAAAGAAGTTTCTGAGAATGCTTCTGTCTAGATTTTATATGAAGATATCCCGTTTCCAACGAAATCCTCAAAGCTATCCAAATATCCACTTGCAGATTCTACAAAAAGATTGTTTCAAAACTGCTGTGTCAAAAGGAAGGTTCAACTCTGTTACTTGAGTACACACATCAAAAAGCAGTTTCTGAGAATGCTTGTTTCTGGTTTTTATGAGAAGATATTTCCTTTTTCACCATAGGCCTCAAAGCGCTGCAAATGTCCAGTTCCAAATATTACAAAAAGAGTGTTTCAAACCTGCTCTATGAAAGGAAGTTTTCAACTCTATGAGTGGAATGCAAACATCACAGAGAAGTTTCTGAGAATGCATCTGTCTTGAGTTTATATGAAGAAATTCCCGTTTCCAATGAAATCTTAAAATCTATCCAAATATCCACCTGCAGATTCTACAAAAGGAGTGTTTCCAAAATGCTGTATCAAAACAAAGGTTCAACTGTGTTCGTTTAGGACACACATCACAAATAAGTTTCTGAGAATCCTTCTGTCTAGTTTTTATTTGAAGATATTTCCTTTCTCCCCATAGTCCTGAAAGCGCTTGAAATGTCCACTTCCAGATACTACAGAAAGAGTGTTTCAAACCTGCACTATGAAGAGGAATGTTCAATTCTGTGACTTGAATGCAAACATCAGAAAGAAGTTCCTGAGAATGCTTCTCTCTTGATTTTATACGTAATCCCGTTTCCAACGAAATCCACAAAGCTATCCAATTATCCACTTTCAGATTCCACAAAAAGAGTGTTTTAAAACTGCTCTGTAAAAAGAAATGTTCAACGCTCTTAGTTGAATACACACATCTCAAACAAGTTTCTGAGAAGGCTTCCGTCTAGTTTTTATGGGAAGATATTTCCTTTTTCACCATAGGCCTCAAAGCGCTCGAAATCTCCACTTCCAGGTAGTGCAGAAAGAGTGTTTCAAACCTGCTCTATAAAAGACTATTTAACTCTGTGACTTGAATGCAAACATCACAAAGCAGTTTCTGACAATGCTTCCGTCTAGATTTTTTATGAAGATATTCCCGTTTCCAACGAAATCTTCAAAGCTATCTAAATATCCACTTGCAGATTCTACTAAAGGAATGTTTCTAAAATGCTGTATCCAAACAAAGGTTCAACTCTGTGAATTGAGGACATACAGCACAAAGAAGTTTCTCAGAATGCTTCTGTCTAGATTTAATATGAAGATAACCCGTTTCCAACGAAATCCTCAAAGCTATCCAAATATCCACTTGCAGATTCTACAAAAAGAGTGTTTCAAAACTGCTCTGTCAAAAGGATGGTTCAACACTGTTACATGAGTACACACAACACAAAGAAGTTTCTGAGAATGCTTCCTTCTGGTTTTTATGAGAAGATATTTCCTTTTTCACCATAGGCCTCAAAGCGCTCGAAATGTCCACTTCCAGGTAGTGCAGAAAGAGTGTTTCAAACCTGCTCTATGAAAGGAAGTGTTCAACTCCATGAGCTGAATACAAACATCACAGAGAAGTTTCTGAGAATGCTTCTCTTTGATTTTATATGAAGAAATTCCCGTTTCCAACGAAATCTTCAAAGCTATCCACATATCCACCTGCAGATTCTACAAAAGGAGTGTTTCCAAAATGCTGTATCAAAACCAAGGTTCAACTCTGTTAGTTGAGGACACACATCACAAATAAGTTTCTGAGAATGCTTCTGTCTAGATTTTATATGAAGATATCCCCTTTCCAACGAATCCCTCTAAGCTATCCAAATATCCACCTGCAGATTCTACAAAAAGAGTGTTTCCAAAATGCTGTATCAAAACAAAGTTTCAACTCTGTTAGTTGAGGACACACATCACAAATAAGTTTCTGAGGATGCTTCTGTCTAGTTTTTATTTGAAGATATTTCCTTTCTCCCCATAGGCCTGAAAGCGCTTGAAATGTCCACTTCCAGATACTACAAAATGAGTGTTTCAAACCTGCTCTATCAAAGTGAATGTTCAATTCTGTGACTTCAATGCAAACATCACAAAGTAGTTCCTGAGAATGTTTCTCTCTAGATTTTATATGTAATCCCGCTTCCAACGAAATCCTCAAAGCCATCCGAATATCCACTTTCTGATTCCACAAAAAGATTGTTTTAAAACTGCTCTGTAAAAACAAAAGTTCAAGTCTGTTAGTTGAATACACACATCACAAACAAGTTTCTGAGAATGCTTCTGTCTAGTTTTTATGGGAAGATATTTCCTTTTTCACCATAGGCCTCAAAGCGCTCGAAATGTCCACTTCCAGATAGTGCAGAAAGAGTGTTTCAAACGTGCTCTATAAAAGAGAATATTCAACTCTGTGACTTGAATGGAAACATCACAAAGCAGTTTCTGAGAATGCCTCCGTCTAGATTTTATATGAAGATATTCCCGTTTCCAACGAAATCTTCAAATCTATCTAAATATCAACTTGCAGATTCTACTAAAGGAATGTTTCCAAAATGCTGTATCCAAGCAATGGTTCAACTCTGTTAATTGAGGACATACAGCACAAAGAAGTTTCTGAGAATGCTTCTGTCTAGATTTTATATGAAGATATCCCGTTTCCAACGAAATCCTCAAAGCTATCCAAATATCCACTTGCAGATTCTACAAAAAGATTGTTTCAAAACTGCTGTGTCAAAAGGAAGGTTCAACTCTGTTACTTGAGTACACACATCAAAAAGCAGTTTCTGAGAATGCTTGTTTCTGGTTTTTATGAGAAGATATTTCCTTTTTCACCATAGGCCTCAAAGCGCTGCAAATGTCCAGTTCCAAATATTACAAAAAGAGTGTTTCAAACCTGCTCTATGAAAGGAAGTTTTCAACTCTATGAGTGGAATGCAAACATCACAGAGAAGTTTCTGAGAATGCATCTGTCTTGAGTTTATATGAAGAAATTCCCGTTTCCAATGAAATCTTAAAATCTATCCAAATATCCACCTGCAGATTCTACAAAAGGAGTGTTTCCAAAATGCTGTATCAAAACAAAGGTTCAACTGTGTTCGTTTAGGACACACATCACAAATAAGTTTCTGAGAATCCTTCTGTCTAGTTTTTATTTCAAGATATTTCCTTTCTCCCCATAGGCTTGAAAGCGCTTGAAATGTCCACTTCCAGATACTACAGAGTGTTTCAAACCTGCACTATGAAAAGGAATGTTCAATTCTGTGACTTGAATGCAAACATCAGAAAGAAGTTCCTGAGAATGCTTCTCTCTAGATTTTAAACGTCATCCCGTTTCCAACGAAATCCACAAAGCTATCCAATTATCCACTTTCAGATTCCACCAAAAGACTGTTTTAAAACTGCTCTGTAAAAAGAAATGTTCAACGCTCTTAGTTGAATACACACATCTCAAACAAGTTTCTGAGAAGGCTTCCGTCTAGTTTTTATGGGAAGATATTTCCTTTTTCACCATAGGCCTCAAAGCGCTCGAAATCGCCACTTCCAGGGAGTGCAGAAAGAGTGTTTCAAACCTGCTCTGTAAAAGAATATTTAACTCTGTGACTTGAATGCAAACATCACAGAGCAGTTTCTGACAATGCTTCCGTCTAGATTTTTTATGAAGATATTCCCGTTTCCAACGAAATCTTCAAAGCTATCTAAATATCAACTTGCAGATTCTACTAAAGGAATGTTTCCAAAATGCTGTATCCAAACAAAGGTTCAACTCTGTGAATTGAGGACATACAGCACAAAGAAGTTTCTGAGAATGCTTCTGTCTAGATTTAATATGAAGATAACCCGTTTCCAACGAAATCCTCAAAGCTATCCAAATATCCACTTGCAGATTCTACAAAAAGAGTGTTTCAAAACTGCTCTGTCAAAAGGATGGTTCAACACCGTTACATGAGTACACACAGCACAAAGAAGTTTCTGAGAACGCTTCTTTCTGGTTTTTATGAGAAGATATTTCCTTTTTCACCATAGGCCTCAAAGCGCTCGAAATGTCCACTTCCTGGTAGTGCAGAAAGAGTGTTTCAAACCTGCTCTATGAAAGGAAGTGTTCAACTCCATGAGCTGAATGCAAACATCACAGAGAAGTTTCTGAGAATGCTTCTGTTTGATTTTATATGAAGAAATTCCCGTTTCCAACGAAATCTTCAAAGCTATCCACATATCCACCAGCAGATTCTTCAAAAGGAGTGTTTCCAAAATGCCGTATCAAAACCAAGGTTCAACTCTGTTAGTTGAGGACACACATCACAAATAAGTTTCTGAGAATGCTTCTGTCTAGATTTTATATGAAGATATCCCCTTTCCAACGAATCCCTCTAAGCTATCCAAATATCCACCTGCAGATTCTACAAAAAGAGTGTTTCCAAAATGCTGTATCAAAACAAAGTTTCAACTCTGTTAGTTGAGGACACACATCACAAATAAGTTTCTGAGGATGCTTCTGTCTAGTTTTTATTCGAAGATATTTCCTTTCTCACCATAGGCCTGAAAGCGCTTGAAATGTCCACTTCCAGATACTACAGAATGAGTGTTTCAAACCTGCTCTATAAAAGTGAATGTTCAATTCCGTGACTTCAATGCAAACATCAGAAAGAAGTTCCTGAGAATGCTTCTCTCTAGATTTTATACGTAATCCCGCTTCCAACGAAATCCTCAGAGCCATCCGAATATCCACTTTCTGATTCCACAAAAAGAGTGTTTTAAAACGGCTCTGTAAAAACAAAAGTTCAACTCTGTTAGTTGAATACACACATCACAAACAAGTTTCTGAGAATGCTTCTGTCTAGTTTTTATGGGAAGATATTTCCTTTTTCACCATAGGCCTCAAAGCGCTCGAAATGTCCGCTTCCAGATAGTGCAGAAAGAGTGTTTCAAACGTGCTCTATAAAAGGGAATATTCAACTCTGTGACTTGAATGGAAACATCACAAAGCAGTTTCTGAGAATGCTTCCCTGTAGATTTTATATGGAGATATTCCCTTTTCCAACGAAATCTTCAAATCTATCTAAATATCAACTTGCAGATTCTACTCAAGGAATGTTTCCAAAATGCTGTATCCAGGCAATGGTTCAACTCTGTTAATTGAGGACATACAGCACAAAGAAGTTTCTGAGAATGCTTCTGTCTAGATTTTATATGAAGATATCCCGTTTCCAACGAAATCCTCAAAGCTATCCAAATATCCACTTGCAGATTCTACAAAAAGATTGTTTCAAAACTGCTGTGTCAAAAGGAAGGTTCAACTCTGTTACTTGAGTACACACATCAAAAAGAAGTTTCTGAGAATGCTTGTTTCTGGTTTTTATGAGAAGATATTTCCTTTTTCACCATAGGCCTCAAAGCGCTGCAAATGTCCACTTCCAAATATTACAAAAAGAGTGTTTCAAACCTGCTCTATGAAAGGAAGTTTTCAACTCTATGAGTGGAATGCAAACATCACAGAGAAGTTTCTGAGAATGCATCTGTCTTGAGTTTATATGCAGAAATTCCCGTTTCCAACGAAATCTTAAAATCTATCCAAATATCCACCTGCAGATCCTACAAAAGGAGTGTTTCCAAAATGCTGTATCAAAACAAAGGTTCAACTGTGTTCGTTTAGGACACACATCACAAATAAGTTTCTGAGAATCCTTCTGTCTAGTTTTTATTTGAAGATATTTCCTTTCTCCCCGTAGGCCTGAAAGCGCTTGAAGTGTCCACTTCCAGATACTACAGAAAGAGTGTTTCAAACCTGCACTCTGAAAAGGAATGTTCAATTCTGTGACTTGAATGCAAACATCAGAAAGAAGTTCCTGAGAATGCTTCTCTCTAGATTTTATACGTCATCCCGTTTCCAACGAAATCCACAAAGCTATCCAATTATCCACTTTCAGATTCCACAAAAAGAGTGTTTTAAAATTGCTCTGTAACACAAATGTTCCACTCTGGTAGTTGAATACACACATCACAAACAAGTTTCTGAGACGGCTTCTGTCTAGTTTTTATGGGAAGATATTTCCTTTTAACCATAGGCCTCAAAGAGCTCGAAATATCCACTTCCAGGTAGTGCCGAAAGAGTGTTTCAAACCTACTCTATAAAAGGGAATATTCAACTCTGTGACTTGAATGCAAACATCACAAAGCAGTTTCTGAGAATGCTTCCGTCTAGATTTTCTATGAAGATATTCCCGTTTCCAACGAAATCTTCAAAGCTATCTAAATATCAACTTGCAGATTCTACTAAAGGAATGTCTCCAAAATGCTGTATCCAAACAAAGGTTCAGCTCTGTGAATTGAGGACATACAGCACAAAGAAGTTTCTGAGAATGCTCCTGTCTGGATTTTATAGGAAGATAACCCGTTTCCAACGAAATCCTCAAAGCTATCCAAATATCCACTTGCAGATTCTACCAAAAGAGTGTTTCAAAACTACTCTGTCAAAAGGAAGGTTCAACACTGTTACTTGAGTACACACAACACAAAGAAGTTTCTGAGAATGCTTCTTTCTGGTTTTTATGAGAAGATATTTCCTTTTTCACCATAGGCCTCAAAGCGCTCGAAATGTCCGCTTCCAGGTAGTGCAGAAAGAGTGTTTCAAACCTGCTCTATGAAAGGAAGTGTTCAACTCTACTGAGTTGAATGCAAACATCACAGAGATGTTTCCGAGAATGCTTCTGTCTTGATTTTATATGAAGATATTCCGGTTTCCAACGAAATCTTCAAAGCTATCCAAATATCCACCTGCAGATTCTACAAAAGGAGTGTTTCCAAAATGCTGTATCAAAACAAAGGTTCAACTCTGTTAGTTGAGGACACACATCACAAATAAGTTTCTGAGAATGCTTCTGTCTAGTTTTTATTTGAAGGTATTTCCTTTCTCTCCATAGGCCTGAAAGCGCTTGAAATGCCCACTTCCAGATACTAGAGAAAGAGTGTTTCAAACCTGCTCTATGAAAGGGAATGTTCAATTCTGTGACTTGAATGCAAACATCACAAAGAAGTTCCTGAGAATGCTTCTCTCTAGATATTATATGTCATCCCGTTTCCAACGAAATCCTCAAAGCTATCCAAATATCCACTTGCAGATTCTACAAAAAGAGTGTTTCAAAACTGCTCTGTCAAAAGGATGGTTCAACACTGTTACATGAGTACACACAACACAAAGAAGTTTCTGAGAATGCTTCTTTCTGGTTTCTATGAGAAGATATTTCCTTTTTCACCATAGGACTCAAAGCGCTCGAAATGTCCTCTTCCAGGTAGTGCAGAAAGAGTGTTTCAAACCTGCTCTATGAAAGGAAGTGTACAACTCCATGAGCTGAATGCAAACATCACTGAGAAGTTTCTGAGAATGCTTCTGTTTGATTTTATATGAAGAAATTCCCGTTTCCAACGAAATCTTCAGAGCTATCCACATATCCACCTGCAGATTCTACAAAAGGAGTGTTTCCAAAATGCTGTATCAAAACCAAGGTTCAACTCTGTTAGTTGAGGACACACATCACAAATAAGTTTCTGAGAATGCTTCTGTCTAGATTTTATATGAAGATATCCCCTTTCCAACGAATCCCTCTAAGCTATCCAAATATCCACCTGCAGATTCTACAAAAAGAGTGTTTCCAAAATGCTGTATCAAAACAAAGTTTCAACTCTGTTAGTTGAGGACACACATCACAAATAAGTTTGAGGATGCTTCTGTCTAGTTTTTATTCGAAGATATTTCCTTTCTCACCATAGGCCTGAAAGCGCTTGAAATGTCCACTTCCAGATACTACAGAATGAGTGTTTCAAACCTGCTCTATGAAAGGGAATGTTCAATTCTGTGACTTGAATGCAAACATCACAAAGAAGTTCCTGAGAATGCTTCTCTCTAGATTTTATACGTAATCCCGCTTCCAACGAAATCCTCAGAGCCATCCGAATATCCACTTTCTGATTCCACAAAAAGAGTGTTTTAAAACGGCTCTGTAAAAACAAAAGTTCAACTCTGTTAGTTGAATACACACATCACAAACAAGTTTCTGAGAATGCTTCTGTCTAGTTTTTATGGGAAGATATTTCCTTTTTCACCATAGGCCTCAAAGCGCTCGAAATGTCCGCTTCCAGATAGTGCAGAAAGAGTGTTTCAAACGTGCTCTATAAAAGGGAATATTCAACTCTGTGACTTGAATGGAAACATCACAAAGCAGTTTCTGAGAATGCTTCCCTCTAGATTTTATATGGAGATATTCCCTTTTCCAACGAAATCTTCAAATCTATCTAAATATCAACTTGCAGATTCTACTCAAGGAATGTTTCCAAAATGCTGTATCCAGGCAATGGTTCAACTCTGTTAATTGAGGACATACAGCACAAAGAAGTTTCTGAGAATGCTTCTGTCTAGATTTTATATGAAGATATCCCGTTTCCAACGAAATCCTCAAAGCTATCCAAATATCCACTTGCAGATTCTACAAAAAGATTGTTTCAAAACTGCTGTGTCAAAAGGAAGGTTCAACTCTGTTACTTGAGTACACACATCAAAAAGAAGTTTCTGAGAATGCTTGTTTCTGGTTTTTATGAGAAGATATTTCCTTTTTCACCATAGGCCTCAAAGCGCTGCAAATGTCCACTTCCAAATATTACAAAAAGAGTGTTTCAAACCTGCTCTATGAAAGGAAGTTTTCAACTCTATGAGTGGAATGCAAACATCACAGAGAAGTTTCTGAGAATGCATCTGTCTTGAGCTTCTATGAAGAAATTCCCGTTTCCAACGAAATCTTAAAATCTATCCAAATATCCACCTGCAGATCCTACAAAAGGAGTGTTTCCAAAATGCTGTATCAAAACAAAGGTTCAACTGTGTTCGTTTAGGACACACATCACAAATAAGTTTCTGAGAATCCTTCTGTCTAGTTTTTATTTGAAGATATTTCCTTTCTCCCCGTAGGCCTGAAAGCGCTTGAAATGTCCACTTCCAGATACTACAGAAAGAGTGTTTCAAACCTGCACTCTGAAAAGGAATGTTCAATTCTGTGACTTGAATGCAAACATCAGAAAGAAGTTCCTGAGAATGCTTCTCTCTAGATTTTATACGTCATCCCGTTTCCAACGAAATCCACAAAGCTATCCAATTATCCACTTTCAGATTCCACAAAGAGTGTTTTAAAATTGCTCTGTAACAGAAATGTTCAACTCTGTTAGTTGAATACACACATCACAAACAAGTTTCTGAGACGGCTTCTGTCTAGTTTTTATGGGAAGATATTTCCTTTTAACCATAGGCCTCAAAGAGCTCAAAATATCCACTTCCAGGTAGTGCCGAAAGAGTGTTTCAAACCTACTCTATAAAAGGGAATATTCAACTCTGTGACTTGAATGCAAACATCACAAAGCAGTTTCTGAGAATGCTTCCGTCTAGATTTTCTATGAAGATATTCCCGTTTCCAACGAAATCTTCAAAGCTATCTAAATATCAACTTGCAGATTCTACTAAAGGAATGTCTCCAAAATGCTGTATCCAAACAAAGGTTCAGCTCTGTGAATTGAGGACATACAGCACAAAGAAGTTTCTGAGAATGCTCCTGTCTGGATTTTATATGAAGATAACCCGTTTCCAACGAAATCCTCAAAGCTATCCAAATATCCCCTTGCAGATTCTACCAAAAGAGTGTTTCAAACCTGCTCTGTCAAAAGGAAGGTTCAACACTGTTACTTGAGTACACACAACACAAAGAAGTTTCTGAGAATGCTTCTTTCTGGTTTTTATGAGAAGATATTTCCTTTTTCACCATAGGCCTCAAAGCGCTCGAAATGTCCGCTTCCAGGTAGTGCAGAAAGAGTGTTTCAAACCTGCTCTATGAAAGGAAGTGTTCAACTCCATGAGCTGAATGCAAACATCACAGAGAAGTTTCTGAGAATGCTTCTGTTTGATTTTACATGAAGAAATTCCCGTTTCCAACGAAATCTTCAAAGCTATCCACATATCCACCTGCAGATTGTACAAAAGGAGTGTTTCCAAAATGCTGTATCAAAACCAAGGTTCAACTCTGTTAGTTGAGGACACACATCACAAATAAGTTTCTGAGAATGCTTCTGTCTAGATTTTATATGAAGATATCCCCTTTCCAACGAATCCCTCTAAGCTATCCAAATATGCACCTGCAGATTCTACAAAAAGAGTGTTTCCAAAAGGCTGTATCAAAACAAAGTTTCAACTCTGTTAGTTGAGGACACACATCACAAATAAGTTTCTGACGATGCTTCTGTCTAGTTTTTATTTGAAGATATTTCCTTTCTCACCATAGGCCTGAAAGCGCTTGAAATGTCCACTTCCAGATACTACAGAATGAGTGTTTCAAACCTGCTCTATCAAAGTGAATGTTCAATTCTGTGACTTCAATGCAAACATCACAAAGAAGTTCCTGAGAATGCTTCTCTCTAGATTTTATATGTAATCCCGCTTCCAACGAAATCCTCAGAGCCATCCGAATATCCACTTTCTGATTCCACAAAAAGAGTGTTTTAAAACTGCTCTGTAGAAACAAAAGTTCAACTCAGTTGAATACACACATCACAAACAAGTTTCTGAGAATGCTTCTGTCTAGTTTTTATGGGAAGATATTTCCTTTTTCACCATAGGCCTCAAAGCGCTCGAAATGTCCACTTCCAGATAGTGCAGAAAGAGTGTTTCAAACGTGCTCTATAAAAGGGAATATTCAACTCTGTGACTTGAATGGAAACATCACAAAGCAGTTTCTGAGAATGCTTCCGTCTAGATTTTCTATGAAGATATTCCCTTTTCCAACGAAATCTTCAAATCTATCTAAATATCAACTTGCAGATTCTACTAAAGGAATGTTTCCAAAATGCTGTATCCAAGCAATGGTTCAACTCTGTTAATTGAGGACATACAGCACAAAGAAGTTTCTGAGAATGCTTCTGTCTAGATTTTATATGAAGATATCCCGTTTCCAACGAAATCCTCAAAGCTATCCAAATATCCACTTGCAGATTCTACAAAAAGATTGTTTCAAAACTGCTGTGTCAAAAGGAAGGTTCAACTCTGTTACTTGAGTACACACATCAAAAAGAAGTTTCTGAGAATGCTTGTTTCTGGTTTTTATGAGAAGATATTTCCTTTTTCACCATAGGCCTCAAAGCGCTGCAAATGTCCACTTCCAAATATTACAAAAAGAGTGTTTCAAACCTGCTCTATGAAAGGAAGTTTTCAACTCTATGAGTGGAATGCAAACATCACAGAGAAGTTTCTGAGAATGCATCTGTCTTGAGCTTCTATGAAGAAATTCCCGTTTCCAACGAAATCTTAAAATCTATCCAAATATCCACCTGCAGATCCTACAAAAGGAGTGTTTCCAAAATGCTGTATCAAAACAAAGGTTCAACTGTGTTCGTTTAGGACACACATCACAAATAAGTTTCTGAGAATCCTTCTGTCTAGTTTTTATTTGAAGATATTTCCTTTCTCCCCGTAGGCCTGAAAGCGCTTGAAATGTCCACTTCCAGATACTACAGAAAGAGTGTTTCAAACCTGCACTCTGAAAAGGAATGTTCAATTACTGTGACTTGAATGCAAACATCAGAAAGAAGTTCCTGAGAATGCTTCTCTCTAGATTTTATACGTCATCCCGTTTCCAACGAAATCCACAAAGCTATCCAATTATCCACTTTCAGATTCCACAAAAAGAGTGTTTTAAAATTGCTCTGTAACAGAAATGTTCAACTCTGTTAGTTGAATACACACATCACAAACAAGTTTCTGAGACGGCTTCTGTCTAGTTTTTATGGGAAGATATTTCCTTTTAACCATAGGCCTCAAAGAGCTCGAAATATCCACTTCCAGGTAGTGCCGAAAGAGTGTTTCAAACCTACTCTATAAAAGGGAATATTCAACTCTGTGACTTGAATGCAAACATCACAAAGCAGTTTCTGAGAATGCTTCCATCTAGATTTTCTATGAAGATATTCCCGTTTCCAACGAAATCTTCAAAGCTATCTAAATATCAACTTGCAGATTCTACTAAAGGAATGTCTCCAAAATGCTGTATCCAAACAAAGGTTCAGCTCTGTGAATTGAGGACATACAGCACAAAGAAGTTTCTGAGAATGCTCCTGTCTGGATTTTATATGAAGATAACCCGTTTCCAACGAAATCCTCAAAGCTATCCAAATATCCACTTGCAGATTCTACAAAAAGAGTGTTTCAAAACTGCTCTGTCAAAAGGATGGTTCAACACTGTTACATGAGTACACACAACACAAAGAAGTTTCTGAGAATGCTTCTTTCTGGTTTCTATGAGAAGATATTTCCTTTTTCACCATAGGACTCAAAGCGCTCGAAATGTCCTCTTCCAGGTAGTGCAGAAAGAGTGTTTCAAACCGGCTCTATGAAGGGAAGTGTTCAACTCCATGAACTGAATGCAAACATCACTGAGAAGTTTCTGAGAATGCTTCTGTTTGATTTTATATGAAGAAATTCCCGTTTCCAACGAAATCTTCAAAGCTATCCACATATCCACCTGCAGATTCTACAAAAGAAGTGTTTCCAAAATGCTGTATCAAAACCAAGGTTCAACTCTGTTAGTTGAGGACACACATCACAAATAAGTTTCTGAGAATGCTTCTGTCTAGATTTTATATGAAGATATCCCCTTTCCAACGAATCCCTCTAAGCTATCAAAATATCCACCTGCAGATTCTACAAAAAGAGTGTTTCCAAAATGCTGTATCAAAACAAAGTTTTAACTCTGTTAGTTGAGGACACACATCACAAATAAGTTTCTGAGGATGGTTCTGTCTAGTTTTTATTCGAAGATATTTCCTTTCCCACCATAGGCCTGAAAGCGCTTGAAATGTCCACTTCCAGATACTACAGAATGAGTGTTTCAAACCTGCTCTATCAAAGTGAATGTTCAATTCTGTGACTTCAATGCAAACATCACAAAGAAGTTCCTGAGAATGCTTCTCTCTAGATTTTATACGTAATCCCGCTTCCAACGAAATCCTCAGAGCCATCCGAATATCCACTTTCTGATTCCACAAAAAGAGTGTTTTAAAACGGCTCTGTAAAAACAAAAGTTCAACTCTGTTAGTTGAATACACACATCACAAACAAGTTTCTGAGAATGCTTCTGTCTAGTTTTTATGGGAAGATATTTCCTTTTTCACCATAGGCCTCAAAGCGCTCGAAATGTCCACTTCCAGATAGTGCAGAAAGAGTGTTTCAAACGTGCTCTATAAAAGGGAATATTCAACTCTGTGACTTGAATGGAAACATCACAAAGCAGTTTCTGAGAATGCTTCCCTCTAGATTTTATATGGAGATATTCCCTTTTCCAACGAAATCTTCAAATCTATCTAAATATCAACTTGCAGATTCTACTCAAGGAATGTTTCCAAAATGCTGTATGCAAGCAATGGTTCAACTCTGTTAATTGAGGTCATACAGCACAAAGAAGTTTCTGAGAATGCTCTGTCTAGATTTTATATGAAGATATCCCGTTTCCAACGAAATCCTCAAAGCTATCCAAATATCCACTTGCAGATTCTACAAAAAGATTGTTTCAAAACTGCTGTGTCAAAAGGAAGGTTCAACTCTGTTACTTGAGTACACACATCAAAAAGAAGTTTCTGAGAATGCTTTGTTTCTGGTTTTTATGAGAAGATATTTCCTTTTTCACCATAGGCCTCAAAGCGCTGCAAATGTCCACTTCCAAATATTACAAAAAGAGTGTTTCAAACCTGCTCTATGAAAGGAAGTTTTCAACTCTATGATTGGAATGCAAACATCACAGAGAAGTTTCTGAGAATGCATCTGTCTTGAGCTTCTATGAAGAAATTCCCGTTTCCAACGAAATCTTAAAATCTATCCAAATATCCACCTGCAGATCCTACAAAAGGAGTGTTTCCAAAATGCTGTATCAAAACAAAGGTTCAACTGTGTTCGTTTAGGACACACATCACAAATAAGTTTCTGAGAATCCTTCTGTCTAGTTTTTATTTGAAGATATTTCCTTTCTCCCCGTAGGCCTGAAAGCGCTTGAAATGTCCACTTCCAGATACTACAGAAAGAGTGTTTCAAACCTGCACTCTGAAAAGGAATGTTCAATTACTGTGACTTGAATGCAAACATCAGAAAGAAGTTCCTGAGAATGCTTCTCTCTAGATTTTATACGTCATCCCGTTTCCAACGAAATCCACAAAGCTATCCAATTATCCACTTTCAGATTCCACAAAGAGTGTTTTAAAATTGCTCTGTAACAGAAATGTTCAACTCTGTTAGTTGAATACACACATCACAAACAAGTTTCTGAGACGGCTTCTGTCTAGTTTTTATGGGAAGATATTTCCTTTTAACCATAGGCCTCAAAGAGCTCGAAATATCCACTTCCAGGTAGTGCCGAAAGAGTGTTTCAAACCTACTCTATAAAAGGGAATATTCAACTCTGTGACTTGAATGCAAACATCACAAAGCAGTTTCTGAGAATGCTTCCGTCTAGATTTTCTATGAAGATATTCCCGTTTCCAACGAAATCTTCAAAGCTATCTAAATATCAACTTGCAGATTCTACTAAAGGAATGTCTCCAAAATGCTGTATCCAAACAAAGGTTCAGCTCTGTGAATTGAGGACATACAGCACAAAGAAGTTTCTGAGAATGCTCCTGTCTGGATTTTATAGGAAGATAACCCGTTCCCAACGAAATCCTCAAAGCTATCCAAATATCCACTTGCAGATTCTACCAAAAGAGTGTTTCAAAACTACTCTGTCAAAAGGAAGGTTCAACACTGTTACTTGAGTACACACAACACAAAGAAGTTTCTGAGAATGCTTCTTTCTGGTTTTTATGAGAAGATATTTCCTTTTTCACCATAGGCCTCAAAGCGCTCGAAATGTCCGCTTCCAGGTAGTGCAGAAAGAGTGTTTCAAACCTGCTCTATGAAAGGAAGTGTTCAACTCTACTGAGTTGAATGCAAACATCACAGAGATGTTTCCGAGAATGCTTCTGTCTTGATTTTATATGAAGATATTCCGGTTTCCAACGAAATCTTCAAAGCTATCCAAATATCCACCTGCAGATTCTACAAAAGGAGTGTTTCCAAAATGCTGTATCAAAACAAAGGTTCAACTCTGTTAGTTGAGGACACACATCACAAATAAGTTTCTGAGAATGCTTCTGTCTAGTTTTTATTTGAAGGTATTTCCTTTCTCTCCATAGGCCTGAAAGCGCTTGAAATGCCCACTTCCAGATACTAGAGAAAGAGTGTTTCAAACCTGCTCTATGAAAGGGAATGTTCAATTCTGTGACTTGAATGCAAACATCACAAAGAAGTTCCTGAGAATGCTTCTCTCTAGATATTATATGTCATCCCGTTTCCAACGAAATCCTCAAAGCTATCCAAATATCCACTTGCAGATTCTACAAAAAGAGTGTTTCAAAACTGCTCTGTCAAAAGGATGGTTCAACACTGTTACATGAGTACACACAACACAAAGAAGTTTCTGAGAATGCTTCTTTCTGGTTTCTATGAGAAGATATTTCCTTTTTCACCATAGGACTCAAAGCGCTCGAAATGTCCTCTTCCAGGTAGTGCAGAAAGAGTGTTTCAAACCTGCTCTATGAAAGGAAGTGTTCAACTCCATGAGCTGAATGCAAACATCACTGAGAAGTTTACTGAGAATGCTTCTGTTTGATTTTATATGAAGAAATTTCCGTTTCCAACGAAATCTTCAAAGCTATCCACATATCCACCTGCAGATTCTTCAAAAGGAGTGTTTCCAAAATGCTGTATCAAAACCAAGGTTCAACTCTGTTAGTTGAGGACACACATCACAAATAAGTTTCTGAGAATGCTTCTGTCTAGATTCTATATGAAGATATCCCCTTTCCAACGAATCCCTCTAAGCTATCCAAATATCCACCTGCAGATTCTACAAAAAGAGTGTTTCCAAAATGCTGTATCAAAACAAAGTTTCAACTCTGTTAGTTGAGGACACACATCACAAATAAGTTTGAGGATGCTTCTGTCTAGTTTTTATTCGAAGATATTTCCTTTCTCACCATAGGCCTGAAAGCGCTTGAAATGTCCACTTCCAGATCCTACAGAATGAGTGTTTCAAACCTGCTCTATCAAAGTGAATGTTCAATTCTGTGACTTCAATGCAAACATCACAAAGAAGTTCCTGAGAATGCTTCTCTCTAGATTTTATATGTAATCCCGCTTCCAACGAAATCCTCAGAGCCATCCGAATATCCACTTTCTGATTCCACAAAAAGAGTGTTTTAAAACTGCTCTGTAGAAACAAAAGTTCAACTCAGTTGAATACACACATCACAAACAAGTTTCTGAGAATGCTTCTGTCTAGTTTTTATGGGAAGATATTTCCTTTTTCACCATAGGCCTCAAAGCGCTCGAAATGTCCACTTCCAGATAGTGCAGAAAGAGTGTTTCAAACGTGCTCTATAAAAGAGAATATTCAACTCTGTGACTTGAATGGAAACATCACAAAGCAGTTTCTGAGAATGCTTCCGTGTAGATTTTATATGAAGATATTCCCGTTTCCAACGAAATCTTCAAATCTATCTAAATATCAACTTGCAGATTCTACTAAAGGAATGTTTCCAAAATGCTGTATGCAAGCAATGGTTCAACTCTGTTAATTGAGGACATACAGCACAAAGAAGTTTCTGAGAATGCTTCCTGTCTAGATTTTATATGAAGATATCCCGTTTCCAACGAAATCCTCAAAGCTATCCAAATATCCACTTGCAGATTCTACAAAAAGATTGTTTCAAAACTGCTGTGTCAAAAGGAAGGTTCAACTCTGTTACTTGAGTACACACATCAAAAAGCAGTTTCTGAGAATGCTTGTTTCTGGTTTTTATGAGAAGATATTTCCTTTTTCACCATAGGTCTCAAAGCGCTGCAAATGTCCACTTCCAAATATTACAAAAAGAGTGTTTCAAACCTGCTCTATGAAGGGAAGTTTTCAAATCTGTGAGTGGAATGCAAACATCACAGAGAAGTTTCTGAGAATGCATCTGTCTTGAGTTTATATGAAGAAATTCCCGTTTCCAATGAAATCTTAAAATCTATCCAAATATCCACCTGCAGATTCTACAAAAGGAGTGTTTCCAAAATGCTGTATCAAAACAAAGGTTCAACTGTGTTCGTTTAGGACACACATCACAAATAAGTTTCTGAGAATCCTTCTGTCTAGTTTTTATTTCAAGATATTTCCTTTCTCCCCATAGGCCTGAAAGCGCTTGAAATGTCCACTTCCAGATACTACAGAGTGTTTCAAACCTGCACTATGAAAAGGAATGTTCAATTCTGTGACTTGAATGCAAACATCAGAAAGAAGTTCCTGAGAATGCTTCTCTCTAGATTTTAAACGTAATCCCGTTTCCAACGAAATCCACAAAGCTATCCAATTATCCACTTTCAGATTGCACCAAAAGAGTGTTTTAAAACTGCTCTGTAAAAAGAAATGTTCAACGCTCTTAGTTGAATACACACATCTCAAACAAGTTTCTGAGAAGGCTTCCGTCTAGTTTTTACAGGAAGATATTTCCTTTTTCACCATAGGCCTCAAAGCGCTCGAAATCTCCACTTCCAGGGAGTGCAGAAAGAGTGTTTCAAACCTGCTCTATAAAAGAATATTTAACTCTGTGACTTGAATGCAAACATCACAGAGCAGTTTCTGACAATGCTTCCCTCTAGGATTTTATATGGAGATATTCCCTTTTCCAACGAAATCTTCAAATCTATCTAAATATCAACTTGCAGATTCTACTCAAGGAATGTTTCCAAAATGCTGTATCCAGGCAATGGTTCAACTCTGTTAATTGAGGACATACAGCACAAAGAAGTTTCTGAGAATGCTTCTGTCTAGATTTTATATGAAGATATCCCGTTTCCAACGAAATCCTCAAAGCTATCCAAATATCCACTTGCAGATTCTACAAAAAGATTGTTTCAAAACTGCTGTGTCAAGAGGAAGGTTCAACTCTGTTACTTGAGTACACACATCAAAAAGAAGTTTCTGAGAATGCTTGTTTCTGGTTTTTATGAGAAGATATTTCCTTTTTCACCATAGGCCTCAAAGCGCTGCAAATGTCCACTTCCAAATATTACAAAAAGAGTGTTTCAAACCTGCTCTATGAAAGGAAGTTTTCAACTCTATGAGTGGAATGCAAACATCACAGAGAAGTTTCTGAGAATGCATCTGTCTTGAGTTTATATGAAGAAATTCCCGTTTCCAATGCAATCTTAAAATCTATCCAAATATCCACCTGCAGATTCTACAAAAGGAGTGTTTCCAAAATGCTGTATCAAAACAAAGGTTCAACTGTGTTCGTTTAGGACACACATCACAAATAAGTTTCTGAGAATCCTTCTGTCTAGTTTTTATTTCAAGATATTTCCTTTCTCCCCATAGGCTTGAAAGCGCTTGAAATGTCCACTTCCAGATACTACAGAGTGTTTCAAACCTGAACTATGAAAAGGAATGTTCAATTCTGTGACTTGAATGCAAACATCAGAAAGAAGTTCCTGAGAATGCTTCTCTCTAGATTTTATACGTCATCCCGTTTCCAACGAAATCCACAAAGCTATCCAATTATCCACTTTCAGATTCCACAAAAAGAGTGTTTTAAAACTGCTCTGTAAAAAGAAATGTTCAACGCTCTTAGTTGAATACACACATCTCAAACAAGTTTCTGAGAAGGCTTCCGTCTAGTTTTTATGGGAAGATATTTCCTTTTTCACCATAGGCCTCAAAGCGCTCGAAGTCTCCACTTCCAGGGAGTGCAGAAAGAGTGTTTCAAACCTGCTCTATAAAAGAATATTTAACTCTGTGACTTGAATGCAAACATCACAAAGCAGTTTCTGACAATGCTTCTGTTTGATTTTATATGAAGAAATTCCCGTTTCCAACGAAATCTTCAAAGCTATCCACATATCCACCTGCAGATTCTTCAAAAGGAGTGTTTCCAAAATGCTGTATCAAAACCAAGGTTCAACTCTGTTAGTTGAGGACATACAGCACAAAGAAGTTTCTGAGAATGCTTCTGTCTAGTTTTTATTTGACGATATCCCCTTTCCAACGAATCCCTCTAAGCTATCCAAATATCCACCTGTAGATTCTACAAAAAGAGTGTTTCCAAAATGCTGTATCAAAACAAAGTTTCAACTCTGTTACTTGAGGACACACATCACAAATAAGTTTCTGAGGATGCTTCTGTCTAGTTTTTATTTGAAGATATTTCCTTTCTCCCCATAGGCCTGAAAGCGCTTGAAATGTCCACTTCCAGATACTACAGAATGAGTGTTTCAAACCTGCTCTATCAAAGTGAATGTTCAATTCTGTGACTTCAATGCAAACATCACAAAGTAGTTCCTGAGAATGCTTCTCTCTAGATTTTATATGTAATCCCGCTTCCAACGAAATCCTCAAAGCCATCCGAATATCCACTTTCTGATTCCACAAATGGATTGTCTTAAAACTGCTCTGTAAAAACAAAAGTTCAAGTCTGTTAGTTGAATACACACATCACAAACAAGTTTCTGAGAATGCTTCTGTCTAGTTTTTATGGGAAGATATTTCCTTTTTCACCATAGGCCTCACAGCGCTCGAAATGTCCACTTCCAGAGAGTGCAGAAAGAGTGTTTCAAACGTGCTCTATAAAAGAGAATATTCAACTCTGTGACTTGAATGGAAACATCACAAAGCAGTTTCTGAGAATGCCTCCCTCTAGATTTTATATGGAGATATTCCCTTTTCCAACGAAATCTTCAAATCTATCTAAATATCAACTTGCAGATTCTACTCAAGGAATGTTTCCAAAATGCTGTATCCAGGCAATGGTTCAACTCTGTTAATTGAGGACATACAGCACAAAGAAGTTTCTGAGAATGCTTCTGTCTAGATTTTATATGAATATATCCCGTTTCCAATGAAATCCTCAAAGCTATCCAAATATCCACATGCAGATTCTACAAAAAGATTGTTTCAAAACTGCTGTGTCAAAAGGAAGGTTCAACTCTGTTACTTGAGTACACACATCAAAAAGAACTTTCTGAGAATGCTTGTTTCTGGTTTTTATGAGAAGATATTTCCTTTTCACCATAGGCCTCAAAGCGCTGCAAATTTCCACTTCCAAATATTACAAAAAGAGTGTTTCAAACCTGCTCTATGAAAGGAAGTTTTCAACTCTATGAGTGGAATGCAAACATCACAGAGAAGTTTCTGAGAATGCATCTGTCTTGAGTTTCTATGCAGAAATTCCCGTTTCCAACGAAATCTTAAAATCTATCCAAATATCCACCTGCAGATCCTACAAAAGGAGTGTTTCCAAAATGCTGTATCAAAACAAAGGTTCAACTGTGTTCGTTTAGGACACACATCACAAATAAGTTTCTGAGAATCCTTCTGTCTAGTTTTTATTTGAAGATATTTCCTTTCTCCCCGTAGGCCTGAAAGCGCTTGAAATGTCCACTTCCAGATACTACAGAAAGAGTGTTTCAAACCTGCACTCTGAAAAGGAATGTTCAATTCTGTGACTTGAATGCAAACATCAGAAAGAAGTTCCTGAGAATGCTTCTCTCTAGATTTTATACGTCATCCCGTTTCCAACGAAATCCACAAAGCTATCCAATTATCCACTTTCAGATTCCACAGAAAGAGTGTTTTAAAATTGCTCTGTAACAGAAATGTTCAACTCTGGTAGTTGAATACACACATCACAAACAAGTTTCTGAGACGGCTTCTGTCTAGTTTTTATGGGAAGATATTTCCTTTTAACCATAGGCCTCAAAGAGCTCGAAATATCCACTTCCAGGTAGTGCCGAAAGAGTGTTTCAAACCTACTCTATAAAAGGGAATATTCAACTCTGTGACTTGAATGCAAACATCACAAAGCAGTTTCTGAGAATGCTTCCGTCTAGATTTTCTATGAAGATATTCCCGTTTCCAACGAAATCTTCAAAGCTATCTAAATATCAACTTGCAGATTCTACTAAAGGAATGTCTCCAAAATGCTGTATCCAAACAAAGGTTCAGCTCTGTGAATTGAGGACATACAGCACAAAGAAGTTTCTGAGAATGCTCCTGTCTGGATTTTATATGAAGATAACCCGTTTCCAACGAATTCCTCAAAGCTATCCAAATATCCACTTGCAGATTCTACCAAAAGAGTGTTTCAAAACTGCTCTGTCAAAAGGAAGGTTCAACACTGTTACTTGAGTACACACAACACAAAGAAGTTTCTGAGAATGCTTCTTTCTGGTTTTTATGAGAAGATATTTCCTTTTTCACCATAGGCCTCAAAGCGCTCGAAATGTCCGCTTCCAGGTAGTGCAGAAAGAGTGTTTCAAACCTGCTCTATGAAAGGAAGTGTTCAACTCTACTGAGTTGAATGCAAACATCACAGAGATGTTTCCGAGAATGCTTCTGTCTTGATTTTATATGAAGATATTCCGGTTTCCAACGAAATCTTCAAAGCTATCCAAATATCCACCTGCAGATTCTACAAAAGGAGTGTTTCCAAAATGCTGTATCAAAACAAAGGTTCAACTCTGTTAGTTGAGGACACACATCACAAATAAGTTTCTGAGAATGCTTCTGTCTAGTTTTTATTTGAAGGTATTTCCTTTCTCTCCATAGGCCTGAAAGCGCTTGAAATGCCCACTTCCAGATACTAGAGAAAGAGTGTTTCAAACCTGCTCTATGAAAGGGAATGTTCAATTCTGTGACTTGAATGCAAACATCACAAAGAAGTTCCTGAGAATGCTTCTCTCTAGATATTATATGTCATCCCGTTTCCAACGAAATCCTCAAAGCTATCCAAATATCCACTTGCAGATTCTACAAAAAGAGTGTTTCAAAACTGCTCTGTCAAAAGGATGGTTCAACACTGTTACATGAGTACACACAACACAAAGAAGTTTCTGAGAATGCTTCTTTCTGGTTTCTATGAGAAGATATTTCCTTTTTCACCATAGGACTCAAAGCGCTCGAAATGTCCTCTTCCAGGTAGTGCAGAAAGAGTGTTTCAAACCTGCTCTATGAAAGGAAGTGTACAACTCCATGAGCTGAATGCAAACATCACTGAGAAGTTTCTGAGAATGCTTCTGTTTGATTTTATAGGAAGAAATTCCCGTTTCCAACGAAATCTTCAGAGCTATCCACATATCCACCTGCAGATTCTACAAAAGGAGTGTTTCCAAAATGCTGTATCAAAACCAAGGTTCAACTCTGTTAGTTGAGGACACACATCACAAATAAGTTTCTGAGAATGCTTCTGTCTAGATTTTATATGAAGATATCCCCTTTCCAAAGAATCCCTCTAAGCTATCCAAATATCCACCTGCAGATTCTACAAAAAGAGTGTTTCCAAAATGCTGTATCAAAACAAAGTTTCAACTCTGTTAGTTGAGGACACACATCACAAATAAGTTTGAGGATGCTTCTGTCTAGTTTTTATTCGAAGATATTTCCTTTCTCACCATAGGCCTGAAAGCGCTTGAAATGTCCACTTCCAGATACTACAGAATGAGTGTTCCAAACCTGCTCTATCAAAGTGAATGTTCAATTCTGTGACTTCAATGCAAACATCACAAAGAAGTTCCTGAGAATGCTTCTCTCTAGATTTTATATGTAATCCCGCTTCCAACGAAATCCTCAGAGCCATCCGAATATCCACTTTCTGATTCCACAAAAAGAGTGTTTTAAAACGGCTCTGTAAAAACAAAAGTTCAACTCTGTTAGTTGAATACACACATCACAAACAAGTTTCTGAGAATGCTTCCGTCTAGTTTTTATGGGAAGATATTTCCTTTTTCACCATAGGCCTCAAAGCGCTCGAAATCTCCACTTCCAGGGAGTGCAGAAAGAGTGTTTCAAACCTGCTCTATAAAAGAATATTTAACTCTGTGACTTGAATGCAAACATCACAGAGCAGTTTCTGACAATGCTTCCGTCTAGATTTTTTATGAAGATATTCCCGTTTCCAACGAAATCTTCAAAGCTATCTCAATATCAACTTGCAGATTCTACTAAAGGAATGTTTCCAAAATGCTGTATCCAAACAAAGGTTCAACTCTGTGAATTGAGGACATACAGCACAAAGAAGTTTCTGAGAATGCTTCTGTCTAGATTTAATATGAAGATAACCCGTTTCCAACGAAATCCTCAAAGCTATCCAAATATCCACTGGCAGATTCTACAAAAAGAGTGTTTCAAAACTGCTCTGTCAAAAGGATGGTTCAACACTGTTACATGAGTACACACAACACAAAGAAGTTTCTGAGAACGCTTCTTTCTGGTTTTTATGAGAGGATATTTCCTTTTTCACCATAGGCCTCAAAGCGCTCGAAATGTCCACTTCCAGGTAGTGCAGAAAGAGTGTTTCAAACCTGCTCTATGAAAGGAAGTGTTCAACTCCATGAGCTGAATGCAAACATCACAGAGAAGTTCCTGAGAATGCTTCTGTTTGATTTTATATGAAGAAATTCCCGTTTCCAACGAAATCTTCAAAGCTATCCACATATCCACCTGCAGATTCTTCAAAAGGAGTGTTTCCAAAATGCTGTATCAAAACCAAGGTTCAACTCTGTTAGTTGAGGACACACATCACAAATAAGTTTCTGAGAATGCTTCTGTCTAGGTTTTATATGAAGATATCCCCTTTCCAACGAATCCCTCTAAGCTATCCAAGTATCCACCTGCAGATTCTACAAAAAGAGTGTTTCCAAAATGCTGTATCAAAACAAATTTCAACTCTGTTAGTTGAGGACACACATCACAAATAAGTTTCTGAGGATGCTTCTGTCTAGTTTTTATTCGAAGATATTTCCTTTCTCACCATAGGCCTGAAAGCGCTTGAAATGTCCACTTCCAGATACTACAGAATGAGTGTTTCAAACCTGCTCTATCAAAGTGAATGTTCAATTCTATGACTTCAATGCAAACATCACAAAGAAGTTCCTGAGAATGCTTCTCTCTAGATTTTATACGTAATCCCGCTTCCAACGAAATCCTCAGAGCCATCCGAATATCCACTTTCTGATTCCACAAAAAGAGTGTTTTAAAACGGCTCTGTAAAAACAAAAGTTCAACTCTGTTAGTTGAATACACACATCACAAACAAGTTTCTGAGAATGCTTCTGTCTAGTTTTTATGGGAAGATATTTCCTTTTTCACCATAGGCCTCAAAGCGCTCGAAATGTCCGCTTCCAGATAGTGCAGAAAGAGTGTTTCAAACGTGCTCTATAAAAGGGAATATTCAACTCTGTGACTTGAATGGAAACATCACAAAGCAGTTTCTGAGAATGCTTCCCTCTAGATTTTATATGGAGATATTCCCTTTTCCAACGAAATCTTCAAATCTATCTAAATATCAACTTGCAGATTCTACTCAAGGAATGTTTCCAAAATGCTGTATCCAGGCAATGGTTCAACTCTGTTAATTGAGGACATACAGCACAAAGAAGTTTCTGAGAATGCTTCTGTCTAGATTTTATATGAAGATATCCCGTTTCCAACGAAATCCTCAAAGCTATCCAAATATCCACTTGCAGATTCTACAAAAAGATTGTTTCAAAACTGCTGTGTCAAGAGGAAGGTTCAACTCTGTTACTTGAGTACACACATCAAAAAGAAGTTTCTGAGAATGCTTGTTTCTGGTTTTTATGAGAAGATATTTCCTTTTTCACCATAGGCCTCAAAGCGCTGCAAATGTCCACTTCCAAATATTACAAAAAGAGTGTTTCAAACCTGCTCTATGAAAGGAAGTTTTCAACTCTATGAGTGGAATGCAAACATCACAGAGAAGTTTCTGAGAATGCATCTGTCTTGAGTTTATATGCAGAAATTCCCGTTTCCAACGAAATCTTAAAATCTATCCAAATATCCACCTGCAGATCCTACAAAAGGAGTGTTTCCAAAATGCTGTATCAAAACAAAGGTTCAACTGTGTTCGTTTAGGACACACATCACAAATAAGTTTCTGAGAATCCTTCTGTCTGGTTTTTATTTGAAGAGATTTCCTTTCTCCCCGTAGGCCTGAAAGCGCTTGAAATGTCCACTTCCAGATACTACAGAAAGAGTGTTTCAAACCTGCACTCTGAAAAGGAATGTTCAATTCTGTGACTTGAATGCAAACATCAGAAAGAAGTTCCTGAGAATGCTTCTCTCTAGATTTTATACGTCATCCCGTTTCCAACGAAATCCACAAAGCTATCCAATTATCCACTTTCAGATTCCACAAAAAGAGTGTTTTAAATTGCTCTGTAACAGAAATGTTCAACTCTGTTAGTTGAATACACACATCACAAACAAGTTTCTGAGACGGCTTCTGTCTAGTTTTTATGGGAAGATATTTCCTTTTAACCATAGGCCTCAAAGAGCTCGAAATATCCACTTCCAGGTAGTGCCGAAAGAGTGTTTCAAACCTACTCTATAAAAGGGAATATTCAACTCTGTGACTTGAATGCAAACATCACAAAGCAGTTTCTGAGAATGCTTCCGTCTAGATTTTCTATGAAGATATTCCCGTTTCCAACGAAATCTTCAAAGCTATCTAAATATCAACTTGCAGATTCTACTAAAGGAATGTCTCCAAAATGCTGTATCCAAACAAAGGTTCAGCTCTGTGAATTGAGGACATACAGCACAAAGAAGTTTCTGAGAATGCTCCTGTCTGGATTTTATAGGAAGATAACCTGTTTCCAACGAAATCCTCAAAGCTATCCAAATATCCACTTGCAGATTCTACCAAAAGAGTGTTTCAAAACTGCTCTGTCAAAAGGAAGGTTCAACACTGTTACTTGAGTACACACAACACAAAGAAGTTTCTGAGAATGCTTCTTTCTGGTTTTTATGAGAAGATATTTCCTTTTTCACCATAGGCCTCAAAGCAGCTCGAAATGTCCGCTTCCAGGTAGGGCAGAAAGAGTGTTTCAAACCTGCTCTATGAAAGGACGTGTTCAACTCTACTGAGTTGAATGCAAACATCACAGAGATGTTTCCGAGAATGCTTCTGTCTTGATTTTATATGAAGATATTCCGGTTTCCAACGAAATCTTCAAAGCTATCCAAATATCCACCTGCAGATTCTACAAAAGGAGTGTTTCCAAAATGCTGTATCAAAACAAAGGTTCAACTCTGTTAGTTGAGGACACACATCACAAATAAGTTTCTGAGAATGCTTCTGTCTAGTTTTTATTTGAAGGTATTTCCTTTCTCTCCATAGGCCTGAAAGCGCTTGAAATGCCCACTTCCAGATACTAGAGAAAGAGTGTTTCAAACCTGCTCTATGAAAGGGAATGTTCAATTCTGTGACTTGAATGCAAACATCACAAAGAAGTTCCTGAGAATGCTTCTCTCTAGATATTATATGTCATCCCGTTTCCAACGAAATCCTCAAAGCTATCCAAATATCCACTTGCAGATTCTACAAAAAGAGTGTTTCAAAACTGCTCTGTCAAAAGGATGGTTCAACACTGTTACATGAGTACACACAACACAAAGAAGTTTCTGAGAATGCTTCTTTCTGGTTTCTATGAGAAGATATTTCCTTTTTCACCATAGGACTCAAAGCGCTCGAAATGTCCTCTTCCAGGTAGTGCAGAAAGAGTGTTTCAAACCGGCTCTATGAAGGGAAGTGTTCAACTCCATGAACTGAATGCAAACATCACTGAGAAGTTTCTGAGAATGCTTCTGTTTGATTTTATATGAAGAAATTCCCGTTTCCAACGAAATCTTCAGAGCTATCCACATATCCACCTGCAGATTCTACAAAAGGAGTGTTTCCAAAATGCTGTATCAAAACCAAGGTTCAACTCTGTTAGTTGAGGACACACATCACAAATAAGTTTCTGAGAATGCTTCTGTCTAGATTTTATATGAAGATATCCCCTTTCCAACGAATCCCTCTAAGCTATCCAAATATCCACCTGCAGATTCTACAAAGAGTGTTTCCAAAATGCTGTATCAAAACAAAGTTTCAACTCTGTTAGTTGAGGACACACATCACAAATAAGTTTCTGAGGATGCTTCTGTCTAGTTTTTATTCGAAGATATTTCCTTTCTCACCATAGGCCTGAAAGCGCTTGAAATGTCCACTTCCAGATACTACAGAATGAGTGTTTCAAACCTGCTCTATAAAAGTGAATGTTCAATTCCGTGACTTCAATGCAAACATCAGAAAGAAGTTCCTGAGAATGCTTCTCTCTAGATTTTATATGTAATCCCGCTTCCAACGAAATCCTCAAAGCCATCCGAATATCCACTTTCTGATTCCACAAAAAGATTGTTTTAAAACTGCTCTGTAAAAACAAAAGTTCAAGTCTGTTAGTTGAACACACACATCACAAACAAGTTTCTGAGAATGCTTCCGTCTAGTTTTTATGGGAAGATATTTCCTTTTTCACCATAGGCCTCAAAGCGCTCGAAATCTCCACTTCCAGGGAGTGCAGAAAGAGTGTTTCAAACCTGCTCTATAAAAGAATACTTAACTCTGTGACTTGAATGCAAACATCACAGAGCAGTTTCTGACAATACTTCCGTCTAGATTTTTTATGAAGATATTCCCGTTTCCAACGAAATTTTCAAAGCTATCTAAATATCAACTTGCAGATTCTACTAAAGGAATGTTTCCAAAATGCTGTATCCAAACAAAGGTTCAACTCTGTGAATTGAGGACATACAGCACAAAGAAGTTTCTGAGAATGCTTCTGTCTAGATTTAATATGAAGATAACCCGTTTCCAACGAAATCCTCAAAGCTATCCAAATATCCACTTGCAGATTCTACAAAAAGAGTGTTTCAAAACTGCTCTGTCAAAAGGATGGTTCAACACTGTTACATGAGTACACACAACACAAAGAAGTTTCTGAGAACGCTTCTTTCTGGTTTTTATGAGAAGATATTTCCTTTTTCACCATAGGCCTCAAAGCGCTCGAAATGTCCACTTCCAGGTAGTGCAGAAAGAGTGTTTCAAACCTGCTCTATGAAAGGAAGTGTTCAACTCCATGAGCTGAATGCAAACATCACAGAGAAGTTCCTGAGAATGCTTCTGTTTGATTTTACATGAAGAAATTCCCGTTTCCAACGAAATCTTCAAAGCTATCCACATATCCACCTGCAGATTCTACAAAAGGAGTGTTTCCAAAATGCTGTATCAAAACCAAGGTTCAACTCTGTTAGTTGAGGACACACATCACAAATAAGTTTCTGAGAATGCTTCTGTCTAGATTTTATATGAAGATATCCCCTTTCCAACGAATCCCTCTAAGCTATCCAAATATGCACCTGCAGATTCTACAAAAAGAGTGTTTCCAAAAGGCTGTATCAAAACAAAGTTTCAACTCTGTTAGTTGAGGACACACATCACAAATAAGTTTCTGACGATGCTTCTGTCTAGTTTTTATTTGAAAATATTTCCTTTCTCACCATAGGCCTGAAAGCGCTTGAAATGTCCACTTCCAGATACTACAGAATGAGTGTTTCAAACCTGCTCTATCAAAGTGAATGTTCAATTCTGTGACTTCAATGCAAACATCACAAAGAAGTTCCTGAGAATGCTTCTCTCTAGATTTTATATGTAATCCCGCTTCCAACGAAATCCTCAGAGCCATCCGAATATCCACTTTCTGATTCCACAAAAAGAGTGTTTTAAAACTGCTCTGTAGAAACAAAAGTTCAACTCAGTTGAATACACACATCACAAACAAGTTTCTGAGAATGCTTCTGTCTAGTTTTTATGGGAAGATATTTCCTTTTTCACCATAGGCCTCAAAGCGCTCGGAATGTCCGCTTCCAGATAGTGCAGAAAGAGTGTTTCAAACGTGCTCTATAAAAGGGAATATTCAACTCTGTGACTTGAATGGAAACATCACAAAGCAGTTTCTGAGAATGCTTCCCTCTAGATTTTATATGGAGATATTCCCTTTTCCAACGAAATCTTCAAATCTATCTAAAGATCAACTTGCAGATTCTACTCAAGGAATGTTTCCAAAATGCTGTATGCAAGCAATGGTTCAACTCTGTTAATTGAGGTCATACAGCACAAAGAAGTTTCTGAGAATGCTTCTGTCTAGATTTTATATGAAGATATCCCGTTTCCAACGAAATCCTCAAAGCTATCCAAATATCCACTTGCAGATTCTACAAAAAGATTGTTTCAAAACTGCTGTGTCAAAAGGAAGGTTCAACTCTGTTACTTGAGTACACACATCAAAAAGAAGTTTACTGAGAATGCTTTGTTTCTGGTTTTTATGAGAAGATATTTCCTTTTTCACCATAGGCCTCAAAGCACTGCAAATCTCCACTTCCAAATATTACAAAAAGAGTGTTTCAAACCTGCTCTATGAAAGGAAGTTTTCAACTCTATGAGTGGAATGTAAACATTACAGAGAAGTTTCAGAGAATGCATCTGTCTTGAGCTTCTATGAAGAAATTCCCGTTTCCAACGAAATCTTAAAATCTATCCAAATATCCACCTGCAGATCCTACAAAAGGAGTGTTTCCAAAATGCTGTATCAAAACAAAGGTTCAACTGTGTTCGTTTAGGACACACATCACAAATAAGTTTCTGAGAATCCTTCTCTCTAGTTTTTATTTGAAGATATTTCCTTTCTCCCTGTAGGCCTGAAAGCGCTTGAAATGTCCACTTCCAGATACTACAGAAAGAGTGTTTCAAACCTGCACTCTGAAAAGGAATGTTCAATTCCGTGACTTGAATGCAAACATCAGAAAGAAGTTCCTGAGAATGCTTCTCTCTAGATTTTATACGTCATCCCGTTTCCAACGAAATCCACAAAGCTATCCAATTATCCACTTTCAGATTCCACAAAAAGAGTGTTTTGAATTGCTCTGTAACAGAAATGTTCAACTCTGTTAGTTGAATACACACATCACAAACAAGTTTCTGAGACGGCTTCTGTCTAGTTTTTATGGGAAGATATTTCCTTTTAACCATAGGCCTCAAAGAGCTCGAAATATCCACTTCCAGGTAGTGCCGAAAGAGTGTTTCAAACCTACTCTATAAAAGGGAATATTCAACTCTGTGACTTGAATGCAAACATCACAAAGCAGTTTCTGAGAATGCTTCCGTCTAGCATTTTCTATGAAGATATTCCCGTTTCCAACGAAATCTTCAAAGCTATCTAAATATCAACTTGCAGATTCTACTAAAGGAATGTCTCCAAAATGCTGTATCCAAACAAAGGTTCAGCTCTGTGAATTGAGGACATACAGCACAAAGAAGTTTCTGAGAATGCTCCTGTCTGGATTTTATAGGAAGATAACCCGTTTCCAACGAAATCCTCAAAGCTATCCAAATATCCACTTGCAGATTCTACCAAAAGAGTGTTTCAAAACTACTCTGTCAAAAGGAAGGTTCAACACTGTTACTTGAGTACACACAACACAAAGAAGTTTCTGAGAATGCTTCTTTCTGGTTTTTATGAGAAGATATTTCCTTTTTCACCATAGGCCTCAAAGAGCTCGAAATGTCCGCTTCCAGGTAGGGCAGAAAGAGTGTTTCAAACCTGCTCTATGAAAGGAAGTGTTCAACTCTACTGAGTTGAATGCAAACATCACAGAGATGTTTCCGAGAATGCTTCTGTCTTGATTTTATAGGAAGATATTCCGGTTTCCAACGAAATCTTCAAAGCTATCCAAATATCCACCTGCAGATTCTACAAAAGGAGTGTTTCCAAAATGCTGTATCAAAACAAAGGTTCAACTCTGTTAGTTGAGGACACACATCACAAATAAGTTTCTGAGAATGCTTCTGTCTAGTTTTTATTTGAAGGTATTTCCTTTCTCTCCATAGGCCTGAAAGCGCTTGAAATGCCCACTTCCAGATACTAGAGAAAGAGTGTTTCAAACCTGCTCTATGAAAGGGAATGTTCAATTCTGTGACTTGAATGCAAACATCACAAAGAAGTTCCTGAGAATGCTTCTCTCTAGATATTATATGTCATCCCGTTTCCAACGAAATCCTCAAAGCTATCCAAATATCCATTTGCAGATTCTACAAAAAGAGTGTTTCAAAACTGCTCTGTCAAAAGGATGGTTCAACACTGTTACATGAGTACACACAACACAAAGAAGTTTCTGAGAATGCTTCTTTCTGGTTTATATGAGAAGATATTTCCTTTTTCACCATAGGACTCAAAGCGCTCGAAATGTCCTCTTCCAGGTAGTGCAGAAACAGTGTTTCAAACAGGCTCTATGAAAGGAAGTGTTCAACTCCATGAACTGAATGCAAACATCACTGAGAAGTTTCTGAGAATGCTTCTGTTTGATTTTATATGAAGAAATTCCCGTTTCCAACGAAATCTTCAGAGCTATCCACATATCCACCTGCAGATTCTACAAAAGGAGTGTTTCCAAAATGCTGTATCAAAACCAAGGTTCAACTCTGTTAGTTGAGGACACACATCACAAATAAGTTTCTGAGAATGCTTCTGTCTAGATTTTATATGAAGATATCCCCTTTCCAACGAATCCCTCTAAGCTATCCAAATATCCACCTGCAGATTCTACAAAAAGAGTGTTTCCAAAATGCTGTATCAAAACAAAGTTTCAACTCTGTTAGTTGAGGACACACATCACAAATAAGTTTCTGAGGATGCTTCTGTCTAGTTTTTATTTGAAGATATTTCCTTTCTCCCCATAGGCCTGAAAGCGCTTGAATTGTCCACTTCCAGATACTACAGAATGAGTGTTTCAAACCTGCTCTATCAAAGTGAATGTTCAATTCTGTGACTTCAATGCAAACATCACAAAGTAGTTCCTGAGAATGCTTCTCTCTAGATTTTATACGTAATCCCGCTTCCAACGAAATCCTCAGAGCCATCCGAATATCCACTTTCTGATTCCACAAAAAGAGTGTTTTAAAACGGCTCTGTAAAAACAAAAGTTCAACTCTGTTAGTTGAATACACACATCACAAATAAGTTTCTGAGAATGCTTCTGTCTAGTTTTTATGGGAAGATATTTCCTTTTTCACCATAGGCCTCAAAGCGCTCGAAATGTCCGCTTCCAGATAGTGCAGAAAGAGTGTTTCAAACGTGCTCTATAAAAGGGAATATTCAACTCTGTGACTTGAATGGAAACATCACAAAGCAGTTTCTGAGAATGCTTCCCTCTAGATTTTATATGGAGATATTCCCTTTTCCAACGAAATCTTCAAATCTATCTAAATATCAACTTGCAGATTCTACTCAAGGAATGTTTCCAAAATGCTGTATCCAGGCAATGGTTCAACTCTGTTAATTGAGGACATACAGCACAAAGAAGTTTCTGAGAATGCTTCTGTCTAGATTTTATATGAAGATATCCCGTTTCCAACGAAATCCTCAAAGCTATCCAAATATCCACTTGCAGATTCTACAAAAAGATTGTTTCAAAACTGCTGTGTCAAGAGGAAGGTTCAACTCTGTTACTTGAGTACACACATCAAAAAGAAGTTTCTGAGAATGCTTGTTTCTGGTTTTTATGAGAAGATATTTCCTTTTTCACCATAGGCCTCAAAGCGCTGCAAATGTCCACTTCCAAATATTACAAAAAGAGTGTTTCAAACCTGCTCTATGAAAGGAAGTTTTCAACTCTATGAGTGGAATGCAAACATCACAGAGAAGTTTCTGAGAATGCATCTGTCTTGAGCTTCTATGAAGAAATTCCCGTTTCCAACGAAATCTTAAAATCTATCCAAATATCCACCTGCAGATCCTACAAAAGGAGTGTTTCCAAAATGCTGTATCAAAACAAAGGTTCAACTGTGTTCGTTTAGGACACACATCACAAATAAGTTTCTGAGAATCCTTCTGTCTAGTTTTTATTTGAAGATATTTCCTTTCTCCCCGTAGGCCTGAAAGCGCTTGAAATGTCCACTTCCAGATACTACAGAAAGAGTGTTTCAAACCTGCACTCTGAAAAGGAATGTTCAATTCTTTGACTTGAATGCAAACATCAGAAAGAAGTTCCTGAGAATGCTTCTCTCTAGATTTTATACGTCATCCCGTTTCCAACGAAATCCACAAAGCTATCCAATTATCCACTTTCAGATTCCACAAAGAGTGTTTTAAAATTGCTCTGTAACAGAAATGTTCAACTCTGTTAGTTGAATACACACATCACAAACAAGTTTCTGAGACGGCTTCTGTCTAGTTTTTATGGGAAGATATTTCCTTTTAACCATAGGCCTCAAAGAGCTCGAAATATCCACTTCCAGGTAGTGCCGAAAGAGTGTTTCAAACCTACTCTATAAAAGGGAATATTCAACTCTGTGACTTGAATGCAAACATCACAAAGCAGTTTCTGAGAATGCTTCCGTCTAGATTTTCTATGAAGATATTCCCGTTTCCAACGAAATCTTCAAAGCTATCTAAATATCAACTTGCAGATTCTACTAAAGGAATGTCTCCAAAATGCTGTATCCAAACAAAGGTTCAGCTCTGTGAATTGAGGACATACAGCACAAAGAAGTTTCTGAGAATGCTCCTGTCTGGATTTTATAGGAAGATAACCCGTTTCCAACGAAATCCTCAAAGCTATCCAAATATCCACTTGCAGATTCTACCAAAAGAGTGTTTCAAAACTGCTCTGTCAAAAGGAAGGTTCAACACTGTTACTTGAGTACACACAACACAAAGAAGTTTCTGAGAATGCTTCTTTCTGGTGTTTATGAGAAGATATTTCCTTTTTCACCATAGGCCTCAAAGCGCCCGAAATGTCCGCTTCCAGGTAGTGCAGAAAGAGTGTTTCAAACCTGCTCTATGAAAGGAAGTGTTCAACTCTACTGAGTTGAATGCAAACATCACAGAGATGTTTCCGAGAATGCTTCTGTCTTGATTTTATATGAAGATATTCCGGTTTCCAACGAAATCTTCAAAGCTATCCAAATATCCACCTGCAGATTCTACAAAAGGAGTGTTTCCAAAATGCTGTATCAAAACAAAGGTTCAACTCTGTTAGTTGAGGACACACATCACAAATAAGTTTCTGAGAATGCTTCTGTCTAGTTTTTATTTGAAGGTATTTCCTTTCTCTCCATAGGCCTGAAAGCGCTTGAAATGCCCACTTCCAGATACTAGAGAAAGAGTGTTTCAAACCTGCTCTATGAAAGGGAATGTTCAATTCTGTGACTTGAATGCAAACATCACAAAGAAGTTCCTGAGAATGCTTCTCTCTAGATTTTATACGTAATCCCGCTTCCAACGAAATCCTCAGAGCCATCCGAATATCCACTTTCTGATTCCACAAAAAGAGTGTTTTAAAACGGCTCTGTAAAAACAAAAGTTCAACTCTGTTAGTTGAATACACACATCACAAACAAGTTTCTGAGAATGCTTCCGTCTAGTTTTTATGGGAAGATATTTCCTTTTTCACCATAGGCCTCAAAGCGCTCGAAATCTCCACTTCCAGGGAGTGCAGAAAGAGTGTTTCAAACCTGCTCTTTAAAAGAATATTTAACTCTGTGACTTGAATGCAAACATCACAAAGCAGTTTCTGACAATGCTTCCGTCTAGATTTTTTATGAAGATATTCCCGTTTCCAACGAAATCTTCAAAGCTATCTAAATATCAACTTGCAGATTCTACTAAAGGAATGTTTCCAAAATGCTGTATCCAAACAAAGGTTCAACTCTGTGAATTGAGGACATACAGCACAAAGAAGTTTCTGAGAATGCTTCTGTCTAGATTTAATATGAAGATAACCCGTTTCCAACGAAATCCTCAAAGCTATCCAAATATCCACTGGCAGATTCTACAAAAAGAGTGTTTCAAAACTGCTCTGTCAAAAGGATGGTTCAACACTGTTACATGAGTACACACAACACAAAGAAGTTTCTGAGAACCCTTCTTTCTGGTTTTTATGAGAAGATATTTCCCTTTTCACCATAGGCCTCAAAGCGCTCGAAATGTCCACTTCCAGGTAGTGCAGAAAGAGTGTTTCAAACCTGCTCTATGAAAGGAAGTGTTCAACTCCATGAGCTGAATGCAAACATCACAGAGAAGTTTCTGAGAATGCTTCTGTTTGATTTTATATGAAGAAATTCCCGTTTCCAACGAAATCTTCAAAGCTATCCACATATCCACCTGCAGATTCTTCAAAAGGAGTGTTTCCAAAATGCTGTATCAAAACCAAGGTTCAACTCTGTTAGTTGAGGACACACATCACAAATAAGTTTCTGAGAATGCTTCTGTCTAGATTTTATATGAAGATATCCCCTTTCCAACGAATCCCTCTAAGCTATCCAAGTATCCACCTGCAGATTCTACAAAAAGAGTGTTTCCAAAATGCTGTATCAAAACAAAGTTTCAACTCTGTTAGTTGAGGACACACATCACAAATAAGTTTCTGAGGATGCTTCTGTCTAGTTTTAATTTGAAGATATTTCCTTTCTCCCCATAGGCCTGAAAGCGCTTGAAATGTCCACTTCCAGATACTACAGCATGAGTGTTTCAAACCTGCTCTATCAAAGTGAATGTTCAATTCTGTGACTTCAATGCAAACATCACAAAGTAGTTCCTGAGAATGCTTCTCTCTACATTTTATATGTAATCCCGCTTCCAACGAAATCCTCAAAGCCATCCGAATATCCACTTTCTGATTCCACAAAAAGATTGTTTTAAAACTGCTCTGTAAAAACAAAAGTTCAAGTCTGTTAGTTGAATACACACATCACAAACAAGTTTCTGAGAATGCTTCTGTCTAGTTTTTATGGGAAGATATTTCCTTTTTCACCATAGGCCTCAAAGCGCTCGAAATGTCCACTTCCAGATAGTGCCGAAAGAGTGTTTCAAACGTGCTCTATAAAAGGGAATATTCAACTCTGTGACTTGAATGGAAACATCACAAAGCAGTTTCTGAGAATGCCTCCGTCTAGATTTTATATGAAGATATTCCCGTTTCCAACGAAATCTTCAAAGCTATCTAAATATCAACTTGCAGATTCTACTAAAGGAATGTTTCCAAAATGCTGTATCCAAGCAATGGTTCAACTCTGTTAATTGAGGACATACAGCACAAAGAAGTTTCTGAGAATGCTTCTGTCTAGATTTTATATGAAGATATCCCGTTTCCAACGAAATCCTCAAAGCTATCCAAATATCCACTTGCAGATTCTACAAAAAGATTGTTTCAAAACTGCTGTGTCAAAAGGAAGGTTCAACTCTGTTACTTGAGTACACACATCAAAAAGCAGTTTCTGAGAATGCTTGTTTCTGGTTTTTATGAGAAGATATTTCCTTTTTCACCATAGGCCTCAAAGCGCTGCAAATGTCCACTTCCAAATATTACAAAAAGAGTGTTTCAAACCTGCTCTATGAAAGGAAGTTTTCAACTCTGTGAGTGGAATGCAAACATCACAGAGAAGTTTCTGAGAATGCATCTGTCTTGAGTTTATATGAAGAAATTCCCGTTTCCAATGAAATCTTAAAATCTATCCAAATATCCACCTGCAGATTCTACAAAAGGAGTGTTTCCAAAATGCTGTATCAAAACAAAGGTTCAACTGTGTTCGTTTAGGACACACATCACAAATAAGTTTCTGAGAATCCTTCTGTCTAGTTTTTATTTCAAGATATTTCCTTTCTCCCCATAGGCTTGAAAGCGCTTGAAATGTCCACTTCCAGATACTACAGAGTGTTTCAAACCTGCACTATGAAAAGGAATGTTCAATTCTGTGACTTGAATGCAAACATCAGAAAGAAGTTCCTGAGAATGCTTCTCTCTAGATTTTAAACGTAATCCCGTTTCCAACGAAATCCACAAAGCTATCCAATTATCCACTTTCAGATTCCACCAAAAGACTGTTTTAAAACTGCTCTGTAAAAAGAAATGTTCAACGCTCTTAGTTGAATACACACATCTCAAACAAGTTTCTGAGAAGGCTTCCGTCTAGTTTTTATGGGAAGATATTTCCTTTTTCACCATAGGCCTCAAAGCGCTCGAAATCTCCACTTCCAGGGAGTGCAGAAAGAGTGTTTCAAACCTGCTCTATAAAAGAATATTTAACTCTGTGACTTGAATGCAAACATCACAAAGCAGTTTCTGACAATGCTTCCGTCTAGAGTTTTTATGAAGATATTCCCGTTTCCAACGAAGTCTTCAAACCTATCTAAATATCAACTTGCAGATTCTACTAAAGGAATGTTTCCAAAATGCTGTATCCAAACAAAGGTTCAACTCTGTGAATTGAGGACATACAGCACAAAGAAGTTTCTGAGAATGCTTCTGTCTAGATTTAATATGAAGATAACCCGTTTCCAACGAAATCCTCAAAGCTATCCAAATATCCACTTGCAGATTCTACAAAAAGAGTGTTTCAAAACTGCTCTGTCAAAAGGATGGTTCAACACTGTTACATGAGTACACACAACACAAAGAAGTTTCTGAGAACGCTTCTTTCTGGTTTTTATGAGAAGATATTTCCTTTTTCACCATAGGCCTCAAAGCGCTCGAAATGTCCACTTCCAGGTAGTGCAGAAAGAGTGTTTCAAACCTGCTCTATGAAAGGAAGTGTTCAACTCCATGAGCTGAATGCAAACATCACAGAGAAGTTTCTGAGAATGCTTCTGTTTGATTTTATGTGAAGAAATTCCCGTTTCCAACGAAATCTTCAAAGCTATCCACATATCCACCTGCAGATTCTTCAAAAGGAGTGTTTCCAAAATGCTGTATCAAAACCAAGGTTCAACTGTGTTAGTTGAGGACACACATCACAAATAAGTTTCTGAGAATGCTTCTGTCTAGATTTTATATGAATTTATCCCCTTTCCAACGAATCCCTCTAAGCTATCCAAATATCCACCTGCAGATTCTACAAAAAGAGTGTTTCCAAAATGCTGTATCAAAACAAAGTTTCAACTCTGTTAGTTGAGGACACACATCACAAATAAGTTTCTGAGGATGCTTCTGTCTAGTTTTAATTTGAAGATATTTCCTTTCTCCCCATAGGCCTGAAAGCGCTTGAAATGTCCACTTCCAGATACTACAGAATGAGTGTTTCAAACCTGCTCTATCAAAGTGAATGTTCAATTCTGTGACTTCAATGCAAACATCACAAAGTAGTTCCTGAGAATGCTTCTCTCTAGATTTTATATGTAATCCCGCTTCCAACGAAATCCTCAAAGCCATCCGAATATCCACTTTCTGATTCCACAAAAAGATTGTTTTAAAACTGCTCTGTAAAAACAAAAGTTCAAGTCTGTTAGTTGAATACACACATCACAAACAAGTTTCTGAGAATGCTTCTGTCTAGTTTTTATGGGAAGATATTTCCTTCTTCACCATAGGCCTCAAAGCGCTCGAAATGTCCGCTTCCAGATAGTGCAGAAAGAGTGTTTCAAACGTGCTCTATAAAAGGGAATATTCAACTCTGTGACTTGAATGGAAACATCACAAAGCAGTTTCTGAGAATGCTTCCCTCTAGATTTTATATGGAGATATTCCCTTTTCCAACGAAATCTTCAAATCTATCTAAATATCAACTTGCAGATTCTACTCAAGGAATGTTTCCAAAATGCTGTATCCAGGCAATGGTTCAACTCTGTTAATTGAGGACATACAGCACAAAGAAGTTTCTGAGAATGCTTCTGTCTAGATTTTATATGAAGATATCCCGTTTCCAACGAAATCCTCAAAGCTATCCAAATATCCACTTGCAGATTCTACAAAAAGATTGTTTCAAAACTGCTGTGTCAAAAGGAAGGTTCAACTCTGTTACTTGAGTACACACATCAAAAAGAAGTTTCTGAGAATGCTTGTTTCTGGTTTTTATGAGAAGATATTTCCTTTTTCACCATAGGCCTCAAAGCGCTGCAAATGTCCACTTCCAAATATTAGAAAAAGAGTGTTTCAAACCTGCTCTATGAAAGGAAGTTTTCAACTCTATGAGTGGAATGCAAACATCACAGAGAAGTTTCTGAGAATGCATCTGTCTTGAGCTTCTATGAAGAAATTCCCGTTTCCAACGAAATCTTAAAATCTATCCAAATATCCACCTGCAGATCCTACAAAAGGAGTGTTTCCAAAATGCTGTATCAAAACAAAGGTTCAACTGTGTTCGTTTAGGACACACATCACAAATAAGTTTCTGAGAATCCTTCTGTCTGGTTTTTATTTGAAGAGATTTCCTTTCTCCCCGTAGGCCTGAAAGCGCTTGAAATGTCCACTTCCAGATACTACAGAAAGAGTGTTTCAAACCTGCACTCTGAAAAGGAATGTTCAATTCTGTGACTTGAATGCAAACATCAGAAAGAAGTTCCTGAGAATGCTTCTCTCTAGATTTTATACGTCATCCCGTTTCCAACGAAATCCACAAAGCTATCCAATTATCCACTTTCAGATTCCACAAAGAGTGTTTTAAAATTGCTCTGTAACAGAAATGTTCAACTCTGTTAGTTGAATACACACATCACAAACAAGTTTCTGAGACGGCTTCTGTCTAGTTTTTATGGGAAGATATTTCCTTTTAACCATAGGCCTCAAAGAGCTCGAAATATCCACTTCCAGGTAGTGCCGAAAGAGTGTTTCAAACCTACTCTATAAAAGGGAATATTCAACTCTGTGACTTGAATGCAAACATCACAAAGCAGTTTCTGAGAATGCTTCCGTCTAGATTTTCTATGAAGATATTCCCGTTTCCAACGAAATCTTCAAAGCTATCTAAATATCAACTTGCAGATTCTACTAAAGGAATGTCTCCAAAATGCTGTATCCAAACAAAGGTTCAGCTCTGTGAATTGAGGACATACAGCACAAAGAAGTTTCTGAGAATGCTCCTGTCTGGATTTTATATGAAGATAACCCGTTTCCAACGAAATCCTCAAAGCTATCCAAATATCCACTTGCAGATTCTACCAAAAGAGTGTTTCAAAACTGCTCTGTCAAAAGGAAGGTTCAACACTGTTACTTGAGTACACACAACACAAAGAAGTTTCTGAGAATGCTTCTTTCTGGTTTTTATGAGAAGATATTTCCTTTTTCACCATAGGCCTCAAAGCGCTCGAAATGTCCGCTTCCAGGTAGTGCAGAAAGAGTGTTTCAAACCTGCTCTATGAAAGGAAGTGTTCAACTCTACTGAGTTGAATGCAAACATCACAGAGATATTTCCGAGAATGCTTCTGTCTTGATTTTATATGAAGATATTCCGGTTTCCAACGAAATCTTCAAAGCTATCCAAATATCCACCTGCAGATTCTACAAAAGGAGTGTTTCCAAAATGCTGTATCAAAACAAAGGTTCAACTCTGTTAGTTGAGGACACACATCACAAATAAGTTTCTGAGAATGCTTCTGTCTAGTTTTTATTTGAAGGTATTTCCTTTCTCTCCATAGGCCTGAAAGCGCTTGAAATGCCCACTTCCAGATACTAGAGAAAGAGTGTTTCAAACCTGCTCTATGAAAGGGAATGCTCAATTCTGTGACTTGAATGCAAACATCACAAAGAAGTTCCTGAGAATGCTTCTCTCTAGATATTATATGTCATCCCGTTTCCAACGAAATCCTCAAAGCTATCCAAATATCCACTTGCAGATTCTACAAAAAGAGTGTTTCTAAACTGCTCTGTCAAAAGGATGGTTCAACACTGTTACATGAGTACACACAACACAAAGAAGTTTCTGAGAATGCTTCTTTCTGGTTTCTATGAGAAGATATTTCCTTTTTCACCATAGGACTCAAAGCGCTCGAAATGTCCTCTTCCAGGTAGTGCAGAAAGAGTGTTTCAAACCTGCTCTATGAAAGGAAGTGTTCAACTCCATGAGCTGAATGCAAACATCACTGAGAAGTTTCTGAGAATGCTTCTGTTTGATTTTATATGAAGAAATTCCCGTTTCCAACGAAATCTTCAGAGCTATCCACATATCCACATGCAGATTCTACAAAAGGAGTGTTTCCAAAATGCTGTATCAAAACCAAGGTTCAACTCTGTTAGTTGAGGACACACATCACAAATAAGTTTCTGAGAATGCTTCTGTCTAGATTTTATATGAAGATATCCCCTTTCCAACGAATCCCTCTAAGCTATCCAAATATCCACCTGCAGATTCTACAAAAAGAGTGTTTCCAAAATGCTGTATCAAAACAAAGGTTCAACTCTGTTAGTTGAGGACACACATCACAAATAAGTTTCTGAGGATGCTTCTGTCTAGTTTTTATTCGAAGATATTTCCTTTCTCACCATAGGCCTGAAAGCGCTTCAAATGTCCACTTCCAGATACTACAGAATGAGTGTTTCAAACCTGCTCTATCAAAGTGAATGTTCAATTCTGTGACTTCAATGCAAACATCACAAAGAAGTTCCTGAGAATGCTTCTCTCTAGATTTTATACGTAATCCCGCTTCCAAAGAAATCCTCAGAGCCATCCGAATATCCACTTTCTGATTCCACAAAAAGAGTGTTTTAAAACGGCTCTGTAAAAACAAAAGTTCAACTCTGTTAGTTGAATACACACATCACAAACAAGTTTCTGAGAATGCTTCTGTCTAGTTTTTATGGGAAGATATTTCCTTTTTCACCATAGGCCTCAAAGCGCTCGAAATGTCCACTTCCAGATAGTGCAGAAAGAGTGTTTCAATCGTGCTCTATAAAAGAGAATATTCAACTCTCTGACTTGAATGGAAACATCACAAAGCAGTTTCTGAGAATGCTTCCGTCTAGATTTTCTATGAAGATATTCCCGTTTCCAACGAAATCTTCAAAGCTATCTAAATATCAACTTGCAGATTCTACTCAAGGAATGTTTCCAAAATGCTGTATCCAAGCAATGGTTCAACTCTGTTAATTGAGGACATACAGCACAAACAAGTTTCTGAGAATGCTTCTGTCTAGATTTTATATGAAGATATCCCGTTTCCAACGAAATCCTCAAAGCTATCCAAATATCCACTTGCAGATTCTACAAAAAGATTGTTTCAAAACTGCTGTGTCAAAAGGAAGGTTCAACTCTGTTACTTGAGTACACACATCAAAAAGAAGTTTCTGAGAATGCTTGTTTCTGGTTTTTATAGAGAAGATATTTCCTTTTTCACCATAGGCCTCAAAGCGCTGCAAATGTCCACTTCCAAATATTACAAAAAGAGTGTTTCAAACCTGCTCTATGAAAGGAAGTTTTCAACTCTATGAGTGGAATGCAAACATCACAGAGAAGTTTCTGAGAATGCATCTGTCTTGAGCTTCTATGAAGAAATTCCCGTTTCCAACGAAATCTTAAAATCTATCCAAATATCCACCTGCAGATCCTACAAAAGGAGTGTTTCCAAAATGCTGTATCAAAACAAAGGTTCAACTGTGTTCGTTTAGGACACACATCACAAATAAGTTTCTGAGAATCCTTCTCTCTAGTTTTTATTTGAAGATATTTCCTTTCTCCCCATAGGCCTGAAAGCGCTTGAAATGTCCACTTCCAGATACTACAGAAAGAGTGTTTCAAACCTGCACTCTGAAAAGGAATGTTCAATTCTGTGACTTGAATGCAAACATCAGAAAGAAGTTCCTGAGAATGCTTCTCTCTAGATTTTATACGTCATCCCGTTTCCAACGAAATCCACAAAGCTATCCAATTATCCACTTTCAGATTCCACAGAAAGAGTGTTTTAAAATTGCTCTGTAACAGAAATGTTCAACTCTGGTAGTTGAATACACACATCACAAACAAGTTTCTGAGACGGCTTCTGTCTAGTTTTTATGGGAAGATATTTCCTTTTAACCATAGGCCTCAAAGAGCTCGAAATATCCACTTCCAGGTAGTGCCGAAAGAGTGTTTCAAACCTACTCTATAAAAGGGAATATTCAACTCTGTGACTTGAATGCAAACATCACAAAGCAGTTTCTGAGAATGCTTCCGTCTAGATTTTCTATGAAGATATTCCCGTTTCCAACGAAATCTTCAAAGCTATCTAAATATCAACTTGCAGATTCTACTAAAGGAATGTCTCCAAAATGCTGTATCCAAACAAAGGTTCAGCTCTGTGAATTGAGGACATACAGCACAAAGAAGTTTCTGAGAATGCTCCTGTCTGGATTTTATATGAAGATAACCCGTTTCCAACGAAATCCTCAAAGCTCTCCAAATATCCACTTGCAGATTCTACCAAAAGAGTGTTTCAAAACTGCTCTGTCAAAAGGAAGGTTCAACACTGTTACTTGAGTACACACAACACAAAGAAGTTTCTGAGAATGCTTCTTTCTGGTTTTTATGAGAAGATATTTCCTTTTTCACCATAGGCCTCAAAGCACTCGAAATGTCCGCTTCCAGGTAGTGCAGAAAGAGTGTTTCAAACCTGCTCTATGAAAGGAAGTGTTCAACTCTACTGAGTTGAATGCAAACATCACAGAGATGTTTCCGAGAATGCTTCTGTCTTGATTTTATATGAAGATATTCCGGTTTCCAACGAAATCTTCAAAGCTATCCAAATATCCACCTGCAGATTCTACAAAAGGAGTGTTTCCAAAATGCTGTATCAAAACAAAGGTTCAACTCTGTTAGTTGAGGACACACATCACAAATAAGTTTCTGAGAATGCTTCTGTCTAGTTTTTATTTGAAGGTATTTCCTTTCTCTCCATAGGCCTGAAAGCGCTTGAAATGCCCACTTCCAGATACTAGAGAAAGAGTGTTTCAAACCTGCTCTATGAAAGGGAATGTTCAATTCTGTGACTTGAATGCAAACATCACAAAGAAGTTCCTGAGAATGCTTCTCTCTAGATATTATATGTCATCCCGTTTCCAACGAAATCCTCAAAGCTATCCAAATATCCACTTGCAGATTCTACAAAAAGAGTGTTTCAAAACTCCTCTGTCAAAAGGATGGTTCAACACTGTTACATGAGTACACACAACACAAAGAAGTTTCTGAGAATGCTTCTTTCTGGTTTCTATGAGAAGATATATCCTTTTTCACCATAGGACTCAAAGCGCTCGAATTGTCCTCTTCCAGGTAGTGCAGAAAGAGTGTTTCAAACCTGCTCTATGAAAGGAAGTGTACAACTCCATGAGCTGAATGCAAACATCACTGAGAAGTTTCTGAGAATGCTTCTGTTTGATTTTATATGAAGAAATTCCCGTTTCCAACGAAATCTTCAGAGCTATCCACATATCCACCTGCAGATTCTACAAAAGGAGTGTTTCCAAAATGCTGTATCAAAACCAAGGTTCAACTCTGTTAGTTGAGGACACACATCACAAATAAGTTTCTGAGAATGCTTCTGTCTAGATTTTATATGAAGATATCCCCTTTCCAACGAATCCCTCTAAGCTATCCAAATATCCACCTGCAGATTCTACAAAAAGAGTGTTTCCAAAATGCTGTATCAAAACAAAGTTTCAACTCTGTTAGTTGAGGACACACATCACAAATAAGTTTGAGGATGCTTCTGTCTAGTTTTTATTCGAAGATATTTCCTTTCTCACCATAGGCCTGAAAGCGCTTGAAATGTCCACTTCCAGATACTACAGAATGAGTGTTTCAAACCTGCTCTATCAAAGTGAATGTTCAATTCTGTGACTTCAATGCAAACATCACAAAGAAGTTCCTGAGAATGCTTCTCTCTAGATTTTATACGTAATCCCGCTTCCAACGAAATTCTCAGAGCCATCCGAATATCCACTTTCTGATTCCACAAAAAGAGTGTTTTAAAACGGCTCTGTAAAAACAAAAGTTCAACTCTGTTAGTTGAATACACACATCACAAACAAGTTTCTGAGAATGCTTCTGTCTAGTTTTTATGGGAAGATATTTCCTTTTTCACCATAGGCCTCAAAGCGCTCGAAATGTCCGCTTCCAGATAGTGCAGAAAGAGTGTTTCAAACGTGCTCTATAAAAGGGAATATTCAACTCTGTGACTTGAATGGAAACATCACAAAGCAGTTTCTGAGAATGCTTCCCTCTAGATTTTATATGGAGATATTCCCTTTTCCAACGAAATCTTCAAATCTATCTAAATATCAACTTGCAGATTCTACTCAAGGAATGTTTCCAAAATGCTGTATCCAGGCAATGGTTCAACTCTGTTAATTGAGGACATACAGCACAAAGAAGTTTCTGAGAATGCTTCTGTCTAGATTTTATATGAAGATATCCCGTTTCCAACGAAATCCTCAAAGCTATCCAAATATCCACTTGCAGATTCTACAAAAAGATTGTTTCAAAACTGCTGTGTCAAGAGGAAGGTTCAACTCTGTTACTTGAGTACACACATCAAAAAGAAGTTTCTGAGAATGCTTGTTTCTGGTTTTTATGAGAAGATATTTCCTTTTTCACCATAGGCCTCAAAGCGCTGCAAATGTCCACTTCCAAATATTACAAAAAGAGTGTTTCAAACCTGCTCTATGAAAGGAAGTTTTCAACTCTATGAGTGGAATGCAAACATCACAGAGAAGTTTCTGAGAATGCATCTGTCTTGAGCTTCTATGAAGAAATTCCCGTTTCCAACGAAATCTTAAAATCTATCCAAATATCCACCTGCAGATCCTACAAAAGGAGTGTTTCCAAAATGCTGTATCAAAACAAAGGTTCAACTGTGTTCGTTTAGGACACACATCACAAATAAGTTTCTGAGAATCCTTCTCTCTAGTTTTTATTTGAAGATATTTCCTTTCTCCCTGTAGGCCTGAAAGCGCTTGAAATGTCCAATTCCAGATACTACAGAAAGAGTGTTTCAAACCTGCACTCTGAAAAGGAATGTTCAATTCTGTGACTTGAATGCAAACATCAGAAAGAAGTTCCTGAGAATGCTTCTCTCTAGATTTTATACGTCATCCCGTTTCCAACGAAATCCACAAAGCTATCCAATTATCCACTTTCAGATTCCACAAAAAGAGTGTTTTGAATTGCTCTGTAACAGAAATGTTCAACTCTGTTAGTTGAATACACACATCACAAACAAGTTTCTGAGACGGCTTCTGTCTAGTTTTTATGGGAAGATATTTCCTTTTAACCATAGGCCTCAAAGAGCTCGAAATATCCACTTCCAGGTAGTGCCGAAAGAGTGTTTCAAACCTACTCTATAAAAGGGAATATTCAACTCTGTGACTTGAATGCAAACATCACAAAGCAGTTTCTGAGAATGCTTCCGTCTAGATTTTCTATGAAGATATTCCCGTTTCCAACGAAATCTTCAAAGCTATCTAAATATCAACTTGCAGATTCTACTAAAGGAATGTTTCCAAAATGCTGTATCCAAACAAAGGTTCAGCTCTGTGAATTGAGGACATACAGCACAAAGAAGTTTCTGAGAATGCTCCTGTCTGGATTTTATATGAAGATAACCCGTTTCCAAGGAAATCCTCAAAGCTATCCAAATATCCACTTGCAGATTCTACAAAAAGAGTGTTTCAAAACTGCTCTGTCAAAAGGAAGTTTCAACACTGTTACTTGAGTACACACAACACAAAGAAGTTTCTGAGAATGCTTGTTTCTGGTTTTTATGAGAAGATATTTCCTTTTTCACCATAGGCCACAAAGCGCTGCAAATGTCCACTTCCAAATATTACAAAAAGAGTGTTTCAAACCTGCTCTATGAAAGGAAGTTTTCAACTCTATGAGTGGAATGCAAACGATCACAGAGAAGTTTCGTGAGAATGCATCTGTCTTGAGTTTATATGAAGAAATTCCCGTTTCCAACGAAATCTTAATATCTACCAAATATCCACCTGCAGATTCTACAAAGGGAGTGTTTCCAAAATGCTGTATCAAAACAAAGGTTCAACTGTGTTCGTTTAGGACACACATCACCAATAAGTTTCTGAGAATCCTTCTGTCTAGTTTTTATTTGAAGGTATTTCCTTTCTCTCCATAGGCCTGAAAGCGCTTGAAATGCCCACTTCCAGATACTAGAGAAAGAGTGTTTCAAACCTGCTCTATGAAAGGGAATGTTCAATACTGTGACTTGAATGCAAACATCACAAAGAAGTTCCTGAGAATGCTTCTCTCTAGATATTATATGTCATCCCGTTTCCAACGAAATCCTCAAAGCTATCCAAATATCCACTTGCAGATTCTACAAAAAGAGTGTTTCAAAACTCCTCTGTGAAAAGGATGGTTCAACACTGTTACATGAGTACACACAACACAAAGAAGTTTCTGAGAATGCTTCTTTCTGGTTTCTATGAGAAGATATTTCCTTTTTCACCATAGGACTCAAAGCGCTCGAAATGTCCTCTTCCAGGTAGTGCAGAAAGAGTGTTTCAAACCGGCTCTATGAAGGGAAGTGTTCAACTCCATGAACTGAATGCAAACATCACTGAGAAGTTTCTGAGAATGCTTCTGTTTGATTTCATATGAAGAAATTCCCGTTTCCAACGAAATCTTCAGAGCTATCCACATATCCACCTGCAGATTCTACAAAAGGAGTGTTTCCAAAATGCTGTATCAAAACCAAGGTTCAACTCTGTTAGTTGAGGACACACATCACAAATAAGTTTCTGAGAATGCTTATCTGTCTAGATTTTATATGAAGATATTCCCTTTCCAAAAAATCCCTCTAAGCTATCCAAATATCCACCTGCAGATTTTACAAAAAGTGTGTTTCCAAAATGCTGTATCAAAACAAAGTTTCAACTCTGTTAGTTGAGGACACACATCACAAATAAGTTTCTGAGGATGCTTCTGTCTAGTTTTTATTCGAAGATATTTCCTTTCTCACCATAGGCCTGAAAGCGCTTGAAATGTCCACTTCCAGATCCTACAGAATGAGTGTTTCAAACCTGCTCTATCAAAGTGAATGTTCAATTCTGTGACTTCAATGCAAACATCACAAAGAAGTTCCTGAGAATGCTTCTCTCTAGATTTTATATGTAATCCCGCTTCCAACGAAATCCTCAAAGCCATCCGAATATCCACTTTCTGATTCCACAAAAAGATTGTTTTAAAACTGCTCTGTAAAAACAAAAGTTCAAGTCTGTTAGTTGAATACACACATCACAAACAAGTTTCTGAGAATGTTTCTGTCTAGTTTTTATGGGAAGATATTTCCTTTTTCACCATAGGCCTCAAAGCGCTCGAAATGTCCACTTCCAGATAGTGCAGAAAGAGTGTTTCAAACGTGCTCTATAAAAGAGAATATTCAACTCTGTGACTTGAATGGAAACATCACAAAGCAGTTTCTGAGAATGCCTCCGTCTAGATTTTATATGAAGATATTCCCGTTTCCAACGAAATCTTCAATGCTATCTAAATATCAACTTGCAGATTCTACTAAAGGAATGTTTCCAAAATGCTGTATCCAAGCAATGGTTCAACTCTGTTAATTGAGGACATACAGCACAAAGAAGTTTCTGAGAATGCTTCTGTCTAGATTTTATATGAAGATATCCCGTTTCCAACGAAATCCTCAAAGCTATCCAAATATCCACTTGCAGATTCTACAAAAAGATTGTTTCAAAACTGCTGTGTCAAAAGGAAGGTTCAACTCTGTTACTTGAGTACACACATCAAAAAGCAGTTTCTGAGAATGCTTGTTTCTGGTTTTTATGAGAAGATATTTCCTTTTTCACCATAGGCCTCAAAGCGCTGCAAATGTCCACTTCCAAATATTACAAAAAGAGTGTTTCAAACCTGCTCTATGAAAGGAAGTTTTCAACTCTATGAGTGGAATGCAAACATCACAGAGAAGTTTCTGAGAATGCATCCGTCTTGAGATTATATGAAGAAATTCCCGTTTCCAACGAAATCTTAAAATCTATCCAAATATCCACCTGCAGATTCTACAAAAGGAGTGTTTCCAAAATGCTGTATCAAAACAAAGGTTCAACTGTGTTCGTTTAGGACACACATCACAAATAAGTTTCTGAGAAGCCTTCTGTCTAGTTTTTATTTGAAGATATTTCCTTTCTCCCCGTAGGCCTGAAAGCGCTTGAAATGTCCACTTCCAGATACTACAGAAAGAGTGTGTTTCAAACCTGCACTCTGAAAAGGAATGTTCAATTCTGTGACTTGAATGCAAACATCAGAAAGAAGTTGCCTGAGAATGCTTCTCTCTAGATTTTATACTGTCATCCCGTTTCCAACGAAATCCACAAAGCTATCCAATTATCCACTTTCAGATTCCACAAAAAGAGTGTTTTAAAATTGCTCTGTAACAGAAATGTTCAACTCTGGTAGTTGAATACACACATCACAAACAAGTTTCTGAGACGGCTTCTGTCTAGTTTTTATGGGAAGATATTTCCTTTTAACCATAGGCCTCAAAGAGCTCGAAATATCCACTTCCAGGTAGTGCCGAAAGAGTGTTTCAAACCTACTCTATAAAAGGGAATATTCAACTCTGTGACTTGAATGCAAACATCACAAAGCAGTTTCTGAGAATGCTTCCGTCTAGATTTTCTATGAAGATATTCCCGTTTCCAACGAAATCTTCAAAGCTATCTAAATATCAACTTGCAGATTCTACTAAAGGAATGTCTCCAAAATGCTGTATCCAAACAAAGGTTCAGCTCTGTGAATTGAGGACATACAGCACAAAGAAGTTTCTGAGAATGCTCCTGTCTGGATTTTATATGAAGATAACCCGTTTCCAACGAAATCCTCAAAGCTCTCCAAATATCCACTTGCAGATTCTACCAAAAGAGTGTTTCAAAACTGCTCTGTCAAAAGGAAGGTTCAACACTGTTACTTGAGTACACACAACACAAAGAAGTTTCTGAGAATGCTTCTTTCTGGTTTTTATGAGAAGATATTTCCTTTTTCACCATAGGCCTCAAAGCGCTCGAAATGTCCGCTTCCAGGTAGTGCAGAAAGAGTGTTTCAAACCTGCTCTATGAAAGGAAGTGTTCAACTCTACTGAGTTGAATGCAAACATCACAGAGATGTTTCCGAGAATGCTTCTGTCTTGATTTTATATGAAGATATTCCGGTTTCCAACGAAATCTTCAAAGCTATCCAAATATCCACCTGCAGATTCTACAAAAGGAGTGTTTCCAAAATGCTGTATCAAAACAAAGGTTCAACTCTGTTAGTTGAGGACACACATCACAAATAAGTTTCTGAGAATGCTTCTGTCTAGTTTTTATTTGAAGGTATTTCCTTTCTCTCCATAGGCCTGAAAGCGCTTGAAATGCCCACTTCCAGATACTAGAGAAAGAGTGTTTCAAACCTGCTCTATGAAAGGGAATGTTCAATTCTGTGACTTGAATGCAAACATCACAAAGAAGTTCCTGAGAATGCTTCTCTCTAGATATTATATGTCATCCCGTTTCCAACGAAATCCTCAAAGCTATCCAAATATCCACTTGCAGATTCTACAAAAAGAGTGTTTCAAAACTGCTCTGTCAAAAGGATGGTTCAACACTGTTACATGAGTACACACAACACAAAGAAGTTTCTGAGAATGCTTCTTTCTGGTTTCTATGAGAAGATATTTCCTTTTTCACCATAGGACTCAAAGCGCTCGAAATGTCCTCTTCCAAGTAGTGCAGAAAGAGTGTTTCAAACCTGCTCTATGAAAGGAAGTGTACAACTCCATGAGCTGAATGCAAACATCACTGAGAAGTTTCTGAGAATGCTTCTGTTTGATTTTATATGAAGAAATTCCCGTTTCCAACGAAATCTTCAGAGCTATCCACATATCCACATGCAGATTCTACAAAAGGAGTGTTTCCAAAATGCTGTATCAAAACCAAGGTTCAACTCTGTTAGTTGAGGACACACATCACAAATAAGTTTCTGAGAATGCTTCTGTCTAGATTTTATATGAAGATATCCCCTTTCCAACGAATCCCTCTAAGCTATCCAAATATCCACCTGCAGATTCTACAAAAAGAGTGTTTCCAAAATGCTGTATCAAAACAAAGTTTCAACTCTGTTAGTTGAGGACACACATCACAAATAAGTTTGAGGATGCTTCTGTCTAGTTTTTATTCGAAGATATTTCCTTTCTCACCATAGGCCTGAAAGCGCTTGAAATGTCCACTTCCAGATACTACAGAATGAGTGTTTCAAACCTGCTCTATAAAAGTGAATGTTCAATTCTGTGACTTCAATGCAAACATCAGAAAGAAGTTCCTGAGAATGCTTCTCTCTAGATTTTATATGTAATCCCGCTTCCAACGAAATCCTCAGAGCCATCCGAATATCCACTTTCTGATTCCACAAAAAGAGTGTTTTAAAACGGCTCTGTAAAAACAAAAGTTCAACTCTGTTAGTTGAATACACACATCACAAACAAGTTTCTGAGAATGCTTCCGTCTAGTTTTTATGGGAAGATATTTCCTTTTTCACCATAGGCCTCAAAGCGCTCGAAATCTCCACTTCCAGGGAGTGCAGAAAGAGTGTTTCAAACCTGCTCTATAAAAGAATATTTAACTCTGTGACTTGAATGCAAACATCACAGAGCAGTTTCTGACAATGCTTCCGTCTAGATTTTTTATGAAGATATTCCCGTTTCCAACGAAATCTTCAAAGCTATCTAAATATCAACTTGCAGATTCTACTAAAGGAATGTTTCCAAAATGCTGTATCCAAACAAAGGTTCAACTCTGTGAATTGAGGACATACAGCACAAAGAAGTTTCTGAGAATGCTTCTGTCTAGATTTAATATGAAGATAACCCGTTTCCAACGAAATCCTCAAAGCTATCCAAATATCCACTGGCAGATTCTACAAAAAGAGTGTTTCAAAACTGCTCTGTCAAAAGGATGGTTCAACACTGTTACATGAGTACACACAACACAAAGAAGTTTCTGAGAACGCTTCTTTCTGGTTTTTATGAGAGGATATTTCCTTTTTCACCATAGGCCTCAAAGCGCTCGAAATGTCCACTTCCAGGTAGTGCAGAAAGAGTGTTTCAAACCTGCTCTATGAAAGGAAGTGTTCAACTCCATGAGCTGAATGCAAACATCACAGAGAAGTTCCTGAGAATGCTTCTGTTTGATTTTATATGAAGAAATTCCCGTTTCCAACGAAATCTTCAAAGCTATCCACATATCCACCTGCAGATTCTTCAAAAGGAGTGTTTCCAAAATGCTGTATCAAAACCAAGGTTCAACTCTGTTAGTTGAGGACCCACATCACAAATAAGTTTCTGAGAATGCTTCTGTCTAGATTTTATATGAATTTATCCCCTTTCCAACGAATCCCTCTAAGCTATCCAAGTATCCACCTGCAGATTCTACAAAAAGAGTGTTTCCAAAATGCTGTATCAAAACAAAGTTTCAACTCTGTTAGTTGAGGACACACATCACAAATAAGTTTCTGAGGATGCTTCTGTCTAGTTTTAATTTGAAGATATTTCCTTTCTCCCCATAGGCCTGAAAGCGCTTGAAATGTCCACTTCCAGATACTACAGAATGAGTGTTTCAAACCTGCTCTATCAAAGTGAATGTTCAATTCTGTGACTTCAATGCAAACATCACAAAGTAGTTCCTGAGAATGCTTCTCTCTAGATTTTATATGTAATCCCGCTTCCAACGAAATCCTCAAAGCCATCCGAATATCCACTTTCTGATTCCACAAAAAGATTGTTTTAAAACTGCTCTGTAAAAACAAAAGTTCAAGTCTGTTAGTTGAATACACACATCACAAACAAGTGTCTGAGAATGCTTCTGTCTAGTTTTTATGGGAAGATATTTCCTTTTTCACCATAGGCCTCAAAGCGCTCGAAATGTCCACTTCCAGATAGTGCAGAAAGAGTGTTTCAAACGTGCTCTATAAAAGGGAATATTCAACTCTGTGACTTGAATGGAAACATCACAAAGCAGTTTCTGAGAATGCTTCCCTCTAGATTTTATATGGAGATATTCCGTTTTCGAACGAAATCTTCAAATCTATCTAAATATCAACTTGCAGATTCTACTCAAGAAATGTTTCCAAAATGCTGTATGCAAGCAATGGTTCAACTCTGTTAATTGAGGTCATACAGCACAAAGAAGTTTCTGAGAATGCTTCTGTCTAGATTTTATATGAAGATATCCCGTTTCCAACGAAATCCTCAAAGCTATCCAAATATCCACTTGCAGATTCTACAAAAAGATTGTTTCAAAACTGCTGTGTCAAAAGGAAGGTTCAACTCTGTTACTTGAGTACACACATCAAAAAGAAGTTTCTGAGAATGCTTGTTTCTGGTTTTTATGAGAAGATATTTCCTTTTTCACCATAGGCCTCAAAGCGCTGCAAATGTCCACTTCCAAATATTACAAAAAGAGTGTTTCAAACCTGCTCTATGAAAGGAAGTTTTCAACTCTATGAGTGGAATGCAAACATCACAGAGAAGTTTCTGAGAATGCATCTGTCTTGAGTTTATATGCAGAAATTCCCGTTTCCAACGAAATCTTAAAATCTATCCAAATATCCACCTGCAGATCCTACAAAAGGAGTGTTTCCAAAATGCTGTATCAAAACAAAGGTTCAACTGTGTTCGTTTAGGACACACATCACAAATAAGTTTCTGAGAATCCTTCTGTCTAGTTTTTATTTGAAGATATTTCCTTTCTCCCCGTAGGCCTGAAAGCGCTTGAAATGTCCACTTCCAGATACTACAGAAAGAGTGTTTCAAACCTGCACTCTGAAAAGGAATGTTCAATTCTGTGACTTGAATGCAAACATCAGAAAGAAGTTCCTGAGAATGCTTCTCTCTAGATTTTATACGTCATCCCGTTTCCAACGAAATCCACAAAGCTATCCAATTATCCACTTTCAGATTCCACAAAGAGTGTTTTAAAATTGCTCTGTAACAGAAATGTTCAACTCTGTTAGTTGAATACACACATCACAAACAAGTTTCTGAGACGGCTTCTGTCTAGTTTTTATGGGAAGATATTTCCTTTTAACCATAGGCCTCAAAGAGCTCGAAATATCCACTTCCAGGTAGTGCCGAAAGAGTGTTTCAAACCTACTCTATAAAAGGGAATATTCAACTCTGTGACTTGAATGCAAACATCACAAAGCAGTTTCTGAGAATGCTTCCGTCTAGATTTTCTATGAAGATATTCCCGTTTCCAACGAAATCTTCAAAGCTATCTAAATATCAACTTGCAGATTCTACTAAAGGAATGTCTCCAAAATGCTGTATCCAAACAAAGGTTCAGCTCTGTGAATTGAGGACATACAGCACAAAGAAGTTTCTGAGAATGCTCCTGTCTGGATTTTATAGGAAGATAACCCGTTTCCAACGAAATCCTCAAAGCTATCCAAATATCCACTTGCAGATTCTACCAAAAGAGTGTTTCAAAACTGCTCTGTCAAAAGGAAGGATCAACACTGTTACTTGAGTACACACAACACAAAGAAGTTTCTGAGAATGCTTCTTTCTGGTTTTTATGAGAAGATATTTCCTTTTTCACCATAGGCCTCAAAGCGCTCGAAATGTCCGCTTCCAGGTAGTGCAGAAAGAGTGTTTCAAACCTGCTCTATGAAAGGAAGTGTTCAACTCTACTGAGTTGAATGCAAACATCACAGAGATGTTTCCGAGAATGCTTCTGTCTTGATTTTATATGAAGATATTCCGGTTTCCAACGAAATCTTCAAAGCTATCCAAATATCCACCTGCAGATCCTACAAAAGGAGTGTTTCCAAAATGCTGTATCAAAACAAAGGTTCAACTGTGTTCGTTTAGGACACACATCACAAATAAGTTTCTGAGAACCCTTCTGTCTAGTTTTTATTTGAAGATATTTCCTTTCTCCCCGTAGGCCTGAAAGCGCTTGAAATGTCCACTTCCAGATACTACAGAAAGAGTGTTTCAAACCTGCACTCTGAAAAGGAATGTTCAATTCTGTGACTTGAATGCAAACATCAGAAAGAAGTTCCTGAGAATGCTTCTCTCTAGATTTTATACGTCATCCCGTTTCTAACGAAATCCACAAAGCTACCCAAATATCCACTTTCAGATTCCACAAAAAGAGTGTTTTAAAATTGCTCTGTAACAGAAATGTTCAACTCTGTTAGTTGAATACACACATCACAAACAAGTTTCTGAGACGGCTTCTGTCTAGTTTTTATGGGAAGATATTTCCTTTTAACCATAGGCCTCAAAGAGCTCGAAATATCCACTTCCAGGTAGTGCCGAAAGAGTGTTTCAAACCTACTCTATAAAAGGGAATATTCAACTCTGTGACTTGAATGCAAACATCACAAAGCAGTTTCTGAGAATGCTTCCATCTAGATTTTCTATGAAGATATTCCCGTTTCCAACGAAATCTTCAAAGCTATCTAAATATCAACTTGCAGATTCTACTAAAGGAATGTCTCCAAAATGCTGTATCCAAACAAAGGTTCAGCTCTGTGAATTGAGGACATACAGCACAAAGAAGTTTCTGAGAATGCTCCTGTCTGGATTTTATATGAAGATAACCCGTTTCCAACGAAATCCTCAAAGCTATCCAAATATCCACTTGCAGATTCTACAAAAAGAGTGTTTCAAAACTGCTCTGTCAAAAGGATGGTTCAACACTGTTACATGAGTACACACAACACAAAGAAGTTTCTGAGAATGCTTCTTTCTGGTTTCTATGAGAAGATATTTCCTTTTTCACCATAGGACTCAAAGCGCTCGAAATGTCCTCTTCCAGGTAGTGCAGAAAGAGTGTTTCAAACCGGCTCTATGAAAGGAAGTGTTCAACTCCATGAACTGAATGCAAACATCACTGAGAAGTTTCTGAGAATGCTTCTGTTTGATTTTATATGAAGAAATTCCCGTTTCCAACGAAATCTTCAGAGCTATCCACATATCCACCTGCAGATTCTACAAAAGGAGTGTTTCCAGAATGCTGTATCAAAACCAAGGTTCAACTCTGTTAGTTGAGGACACACATCACAAATAAGTTTCTGAGAATGCTTCTGTCTAGATTTTATATGAAGATATCCCCTTTCCAACGAATCCCTCTAAGCTATCCAAATATCCACCTGCAGATTCTACAAAAAGAGTGTTTCCAAAATGCTGTATCAAAACAAAGTTTCAACTCTGTTAGTTGAGGACACACATCACAAATAAGTTTCTGAGGATGCTTCTGTCTAGTTTTTATTCGAAGATATTTCCTTTCTCACCATAGGCCTGAAAGCGCTTGAAATGTCCACTTCCAGATCCTACAGAATGAGTGTTTCAAACCTGCTCTATCAAAGTGAATGTTCAATTCTGTGACTTCAATGCAAACATCACAAAGAAGTTCCTGAGAATGCTTCTCTCTAGATTTTATATGTAATCCCGCTTCCAACGAAATCCTCAGAGCCATCCGAATATCCACTTTCTGATTCCACAAAAAGAGTGTTTTAAAACGGCTCTGTAAAAACAAAAGTTCAACTCTGTTAGTTGAATACACACATCACAAACAAGTTTCTGAGAATGCTTCTGTCTAGTTTTTATGGGAAGATATTTCCTTTTTCACCATAGGCCTCAAAGCGCTCGAAATGTCCGCTTCCAGATAGTGCAGAAAGAGTGTTTCAAACGTGCTCTATAAAAGAGAATATTCAACTCTGTGACTTGAATGGAAACATCACAAAGCAGTTTCTGAGAATGCTTCCCTCTAGATTTTATATGGAGATATTCCCTTTTCCAACGAAATCTTCAAATCTATCTAAATATCAACTTGCAGATTCTACTCAAGGAATGTTTCCAAAATGCTGTATCCAGGCAATGGTTCAACTCTGTTAATTGAGGACATACAGCACAAAGAAGTTTCTGAGAATGCTTCTGTCTAGATTTTATATGAAGATATCCCGTTTCCAACGAAATCCTCAAAGCTATCCAAATATCCACTTGCAGATTCTACAAAAAGATTGTTTCAAAACTGCTGTGTCAAAAGGAAGGTTCAACTCTGTTACTTGAGTACACACATCAAAAAGAAGTTTCTGAGAATGCTTGTTTCTGGTTTTTATGAGAAGATATTTCCTTTTTCACCATAGGCCTCAAAGCGCTGCAAATGTCCACTTCCAAATATTACAAAAAGAGTGTTTCAAACCTGCTCTATGAAAGGAAGTTTTCAACTCTATGAGTGGAATGCAAACATCACAGAGAAGTTTCTGAGAATGCATCTGTCTTGAGCTTCTATGAAGAAATTCCCGTTTCCAACGAAATCTTAAAATCTATCCAAATATCCACCTGCAGATCCTACAAAAGGAGTGTTTCCAAAATGCTGTATCAAAACAAAGGTTCAACTGTGTTCGTTTAGGACACACATCACAAATAAGTTTCTGAGAATCCTTCTCTCTAGTTTTTATTTGAAGATATTTCCTTTCTCCCTGTAGGCCTGAAAGCGCTTGAAATGTCCACTTCCAGATACTACAGAAAGAGTGTTTCAAACCTGCACTCTGAAAAGGAATGTTCAATTCTGTGACTTGAATGCAAACATCAGAAAGAAGTTCCTGAGAATGCTTCTCTCTAGATTTTATACGTCATCCCGTTTCCAACGAAATCCACAAAGCTATCCAATTATCCACTTTCAGATTCCACAAAAAGAGTGTTTTAAATTGCTCTGTAACAGAAATGTTCAACTCTGTTAGTTGAATACACACATCACAAACAAGTTTCTGAGACGGCTTCTGTCTAGTTTTTATGGGAAGATATTTCCTTTTAACCATAGGCCTCAAAGAGCTCGAAATATCCACTTCCAGGTAGTGCCGAAAGAGTGTTTCAAACCTACTCTATAAAAGGGAATATTCAACTCTGTGACTTGAATGCAAACATCACAAAGCAGTTTCTGAGAATGCTTCCGTCTAGATTTTCTATGAAGATATTCCCGTTTCCAACGAAATCTTCAAAGCTATCTAAATATCAACTTGCAGATTCTACTAAAGGAATGTCTCCAAAATGCTGTATCCAAACAAAGGTTCAGCTCTGTGAATTGAGTACATACAGCACAAAGAAGTTTCTGAGAATGCTCCTGTCTGGATTTTATAGGAAGATAACCCGTTTCCAACGAAATCCTCAAAGCTCTCCAAATATCCACTTGCAGATTCTACCAAAAGAGTGTTTCAAAACTGCTCTGTCAAAAGGAAGGTTCAACACTGTTACTTGAGTACACACAACACAAAGAAGTTTCTGAGAATGCTTCTTTCTGGTTTTTATGAGAAGATATTTCCTTTTTCACCATAGGCCTCAAAGCGCTCGAAATGTCCGCTTCCAGGTAGTGCAGAAAGAGTGTTTCAAACCTGCTCTATGAAAGGAAGTGTTCAACTCTACTGAGTTGAATGCAAACATCACAGAGATGTTTCCGAGAATGCTTCTGTCTTGATTTTATATGAAGATATTCCGGTTTCCAACGAAATCTTCAAAGCTATCCAAATATCCACCTGCAGATTCTACAAAAGGAGTGTTTCCAAAATGCTGTATCAAAACAAAGGTTCAACTCTGTTAGTTGAGGACACACATCACAAATAAGTTTCTGAGAATGCTTCTGTCTAGTTTTTATTTGAAGGTATTTCCTTTCTCTCCATAGGCCTGAAAGCGCTTGAAATGCCCACTTCCAGATACTAGAGAAAGAGTGTTTCAAACCTGCTCTATGAAAGGGAATGTTCAATTCTGTGACTTGAATGCAAACATCACAAAGAAGTTCCTGAGAATGCTTCTCTCTAGATATTATATGTCATCCCGTTTCCAACGAAATCCTCAAAGCTATCCAAATATCCACTTGCAGATTCTACAAAAAGAGTGTTTCAAAACTCCTCTGTCAAAAGGATGGTTCAACACTGTTACATGAGTACACACAACACAAAGAAGTTTCTGAGAATGCTTCTTTCTGGTTTCTATGAGAAGATATTTCCTTTTTCACCATAGGACTCAAAGCGCTCGAAATGTCCTCTTCCAAGTAGTGCAGAAAGAGTGTTTCAAACCTGCTCTATGAAAGGAAGTGTACAACTCCATGAGCTGAATGCAAACATCACTGAGAAGTTTCTGAGAATGCTTCTGTTTGATTTTATATGAAGAAATTCCCGTTTCCAACGAAATCTTCAGAGCTATCCACATATCCACCTGCAGATTCTACAAAAGGAGTGTTTCCAAAATGCTGTATCAAAACCAAGGTTCAACTCTGTTAGTTGAGGACACACATCACAAATAAGTTTCTGAGAATGCTTCTGTCTAGATTTTATATGAAGATATCCCCTTTCCAACGAATCCCTCTAAGCTATCCAAATATCCACCTGCAGATTCTACAAAAAGAGTGTTTCCAAAATGCTGTATCAAAACAAAGTTTCAACTCTGTTAGTTGAGGACACACATCACAAATAAGTTTGAGGATGCTTCTGTCTAGTTTTTATTCGAAGATATTTCCTTTCTCACCATAGGCCTGAAAGCGCTTGAAATGTCCACTTCCAGATACTACAGAATGAGTGTTTCAAACCTGCTCTATAAAAGTGAATGTTCAATTCCGTGACTTCAATGCAAACATCAGAAAGAAGTTCCTGAGAATGCTTCTCTCTAGATTTTATACGTAATCCCGCTTCCAACGAAATCCTCAGAGCCATCCGAATATCCACTTTCTGATTCCACAAAAAGAGTGTTTTAAAACGGCTCTGTAAAAACAAAAGTTCAACTCTGTTAGTTGAATACACACATCACAAACAAGTTTCTGAGAATGCTTCTGTCTAGTTTTTATGGGAAGATATTTCCTTTTTCACCATAGGCCTGAAAGCGCTCGAAATGTCCGCTTCCAGATAGTGCAGAAAGAGTGTTTCAAACGTGCTCTATAAAAGGGAATATTCAACTCTGTGACTTGAATGGAAACATCACAAAGCAGTTTCTGAGAATGCTTCCCTCTAGATTTTATATGGAGATATTCCCTTTTCCAACGAAATCTTCAAATCTATCTAAATATCAACTTGCAGATTCTACTCAAGGAATGTTTCCAAAATGCTGTATCCAGGCAATGGTTCAACTCTGTTAATTGAGGACATACAGCACAAAGAAGTTTCTGAGAATGCTTCTGTCTAGATTTTATATGAAGATATCCCGTTTCCAACGAAATCCTCAAAGCTATCCAAATATCCACTTGCAGATTCTACAAAAAGATTGTTTCAAAACTGCTGTGTCAAGAGGAAGGTTCAACTCTGTTACTTGAGTACACACATCAAAAAGAAGTTTCTGAGAATGCTTGTTTCTGGTTTTTATGAGAAGATATTTCCTTTTTCACCATAGGCCTCAAAGCGCTGCAAATGTCCACTTCCAAATATTACAAAAAGAGTGTTTCAAACCTGCTCTATGAAAGGAAGTTTTCAACTCTATGAGTGGAATGCAAACATCACAGAGAAGTTTCTGAGAATGCATCTGTCTTGAGCTTCTATGAAGAAATTCCCGTTTCCAACGAAATCTTAAAATCTATCCAAATATCCACCTGCAGATCCTACAAAAGGAGTGTTTCCAAAATGCTGTATCAAAACAAAGGTTCAACTGTGTTCGTTTAGGACACACATCACAAATAAGTTTCTGAGAATCCTTCTCTCTAGTTTTTATTTGAAGATATTTCCTTTCTCCCTGTAGGCCTGAAAGCGCTTGAAATGTCCACTTCCAGATACTACAGAAAGAGTGTTTCAAACCTGCACTCTGAAAAGGAATGTTCAATTCTGTGACTTGAATGCAAACATCAGAAAGAAGTTCCTGAGAATGCTTCTCTCTAGATTTTATACGTCATCCCGCTTCCAACGAAATCCACAAAGCTATCCAATTATCCACTTTCAGATTCCACAAAGAGTGTTTTAAAATTGCTCTGTAACAGAAATGTTCAACTCTGTTAGTTGAATACACACATCACAAACAAGTTTCTGAGACGGCTTCTGTCTAGTTTTTATGGGAAGATATTTCCTTTTAACCATAGGCCTCAAAGAGCTCGAAATATCCACTTCCAGGTAGTGCCGAAAGAGTGTTTCAAACCTACTCTATAAAAGGGAATATTCAACTCTGTGACTTGAATGCAAACATCACAAAGCAGTTTCTGAGAATGCTTCCGTCTAGATTTTCTATGAAGATATTCCCGTTTCCAACGAAATCTTCAAAGCTATCTAAATATCAACTTGCAGATTCTACTAAAGGAATGTCTCCAAAATGCTGTATCCAAACAAAGGTTCAGCTCTGTGAATTGAGGACATACAGCACAAAGAAGTTTCTGAGAATGCTCCTGTCTGGATTTTATATGAAGATAACCCGTTTCCAACGAATTCCTCAAAGCTATCCAAATATCCACTTGCAGATTCTACCAAAAGAGTGTTTCAAAACTGCTCTGTCAAAAGGAAGGTTCAACACTGTTACTTGAGTACACACAACACAAAGAAGTTTCTGAGAATGCTTCTTTCTGGTTTTTATGAGAAGATATTTCCTTTTTCACCATAGGCCTCAAAGCGCTCGAAATGTCCGCTTCCAGGTAGTGCAGAAAGAGTGTTTCAAACCTGCTCTATGAAAGGAAGTGTTCAACTCTACTGAGTTGAATGCAAACATCACAGAGATGTTTCCGAGAATGCTTCTGTCTTGATTTTATATGAAGATATTCCGGTTTCCAACGAAATCTTCAAAGCTATCCAAATATCCACCTGCAGATTCTACAAAAGGAGTGTTTCCAAAATGCTGTATCAAAACAAAGGTTCAACTCTGTTAGTTGAGGACACACATCACAAATAAGTTTCTGAGAATGCTTCTGTCTAGTTTTTATTTGAAGGTATTTCCTTTCTCTCCATAGGCCTGAAAGCGCTTGAAATGCCCACTTCCAGATACTAGAGAAAGAGTGTTTCAAACCTGCTCTATGAAAGGGAATGTTCAATTCTGTGACTTGAATGCAAACATCACAAAGAAGTTCCTGAGAATGCTTCTCTCTAGATATTATATGTCATCCCGTTTCCAACGAAATCCTCAAAGCTATCCAAATATCCACTTGCAGATTCTACAAAAAGAGTGTTTCAAAACTGCTCTGTCAAAAGGATGGTTCAACACTGTTACATGAGTACACACAACACAAAGAAGTTTCTGAGAATGCTTCTTTCTGGTTTATATGAGAAGATATTTCCTTTTTCACCATAGGACTCAAAGCGCTCGAAATGTCCTCTTCCAGGTAGTGCAGAAAGAGTGTTTCAAACCGGCTCTATGAAGGGAAGTGTTCAACTCCATGAACTGAATGCAAACATCACTGAGAAGTTTCTGAGAATGCTTCTGTTTGATTTCATATGAAGAAATTCCCGTTTCCAACGAAATCTTCAGAGCTATCCACATATCCACCTGCAGATTCTACAAAAGGAGTGTTTCCAAAATGCTGTATCAAAACCAAGGTTCAACTCTGTTAGTTGAGGACACACATCACAAATAAGTTTCTGAGAATGCTTCTGTCTAGATTTTATATGAAGATATCCCCTTTCCAACGAATCCCTCTAAGCTATCCAAATATCCACCTGCAGATTCTACAAAAAGAGTGTTTCCAAAATGCTGTATCAAAACAAAGTTTCAACTCTGTTAGTTGAGGACACACATCACAAATAAGTTTCTGAGGATGCTTCTGTCTAGTTTTAATTTGAAGATATTTCCTTTCTCCCCATAGGCCTGAAAGCGCTTGAAATGTCCACTTCCAGATACTACAGAATGAGTGTTTCAAACCTGCTCTATCAAAGTGAATGTTCAATTCTGTGACTTCAATGCAAACATCACAAAGTAGTTCCTGAGAATGCTTCTCTCTACATTTTATATGTAATCCCGCTTCCAACGAAATCCTCAAAGCCATCCGAATATCCACTTTCTGATTCCACAAAAAGATTGTTTTAAAACTGCTCTGTAAAAACAAAAGTTCAAGTCTGTTAGTTGAATACACACATCACAAACAAGTTTCTGAGAATGCTTCTGTCTAGTTTTTATGGGAAGATATTTCCTTTTTCACCATAGGCCTCAAAGCGCTCGAAATGTCCACTTCCAGATAGTGCAGAAAGAGTGTTTCAAACGTGCTCTATAAAAGGGAATATTCAACTCTGTGACTTGAATGGAAACATCACAAAGCAGTTTCTGAGAATGCTTCCCTCTAGATTTTATATGGAGATATTCCCTTTTCCAACGAAATCTTCAAATCTATCTAAATATCAACTTGCAGATTCTACTCAAGGAATGTTTCCAAAATGCTGTATCCAGGCAATGGTTCAACTCTGTTAATTGAGGACATACAGCACAAAGAAGTTTCTGAGAATGCTTCTTTCTGGTTTCTATGAGAAGATATTTCCTTTTTCACCATAGGACTCAAAGCGCTCGAAATGTCCTCTTCCAGGTAGTGCAGAAAGAGTGTTTCAAACCTGCTCTATGAAAGGAAGTGTTCAACTCCATGAGCTGAATGCAAACATCACTGAGAAGTTTCTGAGAATGCTTCTGTTTGATTTTATATGAAGAAATTCCCGTTTCCAACGAAATCTTCAGTAGCTATCCACATATCCACCTGCAGATTCTACAAAAGGAGTGTTTCCAAAATGCTGTATCAAAACCAAGGTTCAACTCTGTTAGTTGAGGACACACATCACAAATAAGTTTCTGAGAATGCTTCTGTCTAGATTTTATATGAAGATATCCCCTTTCCAACGAATCCCTCTAAGCTATCCAAATATCCACCTGCAGATTCTACAAAAAGAGTGTTTCCAAAATGCTGTATCAAAACAAAGTTTCAACTCTGTTAGTTGAGGACACACATCACAAATAAGTTTCTGAGGATGCTTCTGTCTAGTTTTTATTCGAAGATATTTCCTTTCTCACCATAGGCCTGAAAGCGCTTGAAATGTCCACTTCCAGATACTACAGAATGAGTGTTTCAAACCTGCTCTATCAAAGTGAATGTTCAATTCCGTGACTTCAATGCAAACATCAGAAAGAAGTTCCTGAGAATGCTTCTCTCTAGATTTTATACGTAATCCCGCTTCCAACGAAATCCTCAGAGCCATCCGAATATCCACTTTCTGATTCCACAAAAAGAGTGTTTTAAAACGGCTCTGTAAAAACAAAAGTTCAACTCTGTTAGTTGAATACACACATCACAAACAAGTTTCTGAGAATGCTTCTGTCTAGTTTTTATGGGAAGATATTTCCTTTTTCACCATAGGCCTCAAAGCGCTCGAAATGTCCGCTTCCAGATAGTGCAGAAAGAGTGTTTCAAACGTGCTCTATAAAAGGGAATATTCAACTCTGTGACTTGAATGGAAACATCACAAAGCAGTTTCTGAGAATGCTTCCCTCTAGATTTTATATGGAGATATTCCCTTTTCCAACGAAATCTTCAAATCTATCTAAATATCAACTTGCAGATTCTACTCAAGGAATGTTTCCAAAATGCTGTATCCAGGCAATGGTTCAACTCTGTTAATTGAGGACATACAGCACAAAGAAGTTTCTGAGAATGCTTCTGTCTAGATTTTATATGAAGATATCCCGTTTCCAACGAAATCCTCAAAGCTATCCAAATATCCACTTGCAGATTCTACAAAAAGATTGTTTCAAAACTGCTGTGTCAAGAGGAAGGTTCAACTCTGTTACTTGAGTACACACATCAAAAAGAAGTTTCTGAGAATGCTTGTTTCTGGTTTTTATGAGAAGATATTTCCTTTTTCACCATAGGCCTCAAAGCGCTGCGAATGTCCACTTCCAAATATTACAAAAAGAGTGTTTCAAACCTGCTCTATGAAAGGAAGTTTTCAACTCTATGAGTGGAATGCAAACATCACAGAGAAGTTTGCTGAGAATGCATCTGTCTTGAGCTTCTATGAAGAAATTCCCGTTTCCAACGAAATCTTAAAATCTATCCAAATATCCACCTGCAGATCCTACAAAAGGAGTGTTTCCAAAATGCTGTATCAAAACAAAGGTTCAACTGTGTTCGTTTAGGACACACATCACAAATAAGTTTCTGAGAATCCTTCTGTCTAGTTTTTATTTGAAGATATTTCCTTTCTCCCCGTAGGCCTGAAAGCGCTTGAAATGTCCACTTCCAGATACTACAGAAAGAGTGTTTCAAACCTGCACTCTGAAAAGGAATGTTCAATTCTGTGACTTGAATGCAAACATCAGAAAGAAGTTCCTGAGAATGCTTCTCTCTAGATTTTATACGTCATCCCGTTTCCAACGAAATCCACAAAGCTATCCAATTATCCACTTTCAGATTCCACAAAAAGAGTGTTTTAAAATTGCTCTGTAACAGAAATGTTCAACTCTGTTAGTTGAATACACACATCACAAACAAGTTTCTGAGACGGCTTCTGTCTAGTTTTTATGGGAAGATATTTCCTTTTAACCATAGGCCTCAAAGAGCTCGAAATATCCACTTCCAGGTAGTGCCGAAAGAGTGTTTCAAACCTACTCTATAAAAGGGAATATTCAACTCTGTGACTTGAATGCAAACATCACAAAGCAGTTTCTGAGAATGCTTCCGTCTAGATTTTCTATGAAGATATTCCCGTTTCCAACGAAATCTTCAAAGCTATCTAAATATCAACATGCAGATTCTACTAAAGGAATGTCTCCAAAATGCTGTATCCAAACAAAGGTTCAGCTCTGTGAATTGAGGACATACAGCACAAAGAAGTTTCTGAGAATGCTCTTGTCTGGATTTTATATGAAGATAACCCGTTTCCAACGAAATCCTCAAAGCTCTCCAAATATCCACTTGCAGATTCTACCAAAAGAGTGTTTCAAAACTGCTCTGTCAAAAGGAAGGTTCAACACTGTTACTTGAGTACACACAACACAAAGAAGTTTCTGAGAATGCTTCTTTCTGGTTTTTATGAGAAGATATTTCCTTTTTCACCATAGGCCTCAAAGCGCTCGAAATGTCCGCTTCCAGGTAGTGCAGAAAGAGTGTTTCAAACCTGCTCTATGAAAGGAAGTGTTCAACTCTACTGAGTTGAATGCAAACATCACAGAGATGTTTCCGAGAATGCTTCTGTCTTGATTTTATATGAAGATATTCCGGTTTCCAACGAAATCTTCAAAGCTATCCAAATATCCACCTGCAGATTCTACAAAAGGAGTGTTTCCAAAATGCTGTATCAAAACAAAGGTTCAACTCTGTTAGTTGAGGACACACATCACAAATAAGTTTCTGAGAATGCTTCTGTCTAGTTTTTATTTGAAGGTATTTCCTTTCTCTCCATAGGCCTGAAAGCGCTTGAAATGCCCACTTCCAGATACTAGAGAAAGAGTGTTTCAAACCTGCTCTATGAAAGGGAATGTTCAATTCTGTGACTTGAATGCAAACATCACAAAGAAGTTCCTGAGAATGCTTCTCTCTAGATATTATATGTCATCCCGTTTCCAACAAAATCCTCAAAGCTATCCAAATATCCACTTGCAGATTCTACAAAAAGAGTGTTTCAAAACTCCTCTGTCAAAAGGATGGTTCAACACTGTTACATGAGTACACACAACACAAAGAAGTTTCTGAGAATGCTTCTTTCTGGTTTCTATGAGAAGATATTTCCATTTTTCACCATAGGACTCAAAGCGCTCGAAATGTCCTCTTCCAGGTAGTGCAGAAAGAGTGTTTCAAACCTGCTCTATGAAAGGAAGTGTACAACTCCATGAGCTGAATGCAAACATCACTGAGAAGTTTCTGAGAATGCTTCTGTTTGATTTTATATGAAGAAATTCCCGTTTCCAACGAAATCTTCAGAGCTATCCACATATCCACATGCAGATTCTACAAAAGGAGTGTTTCCAAAATGCTGTATCAAAACCAAGGTTCAACTCTGTTAGTTGAGGACACACATCACAAATAAGTTTCTGAGAATGCTTCTGTCTAGATTTTATATGAAGATATCCCCTTTCCAACGAATCCCTCTAAGCTATCCAAATATCCACCTGCAGATTCTACAAAAAGAGTGTTTCCAAAATGCTGTATCAAAACAAAGTTTCAACTCTGTTAGTTGAGGACACACATCACAAATAAGTTTGAGGATGCTTCTGTCTAGTTTTTATTCGAAGATATTTCCTTTCTCACCATAGGCCTGAAAGCGCTTGAAATGTCCACTTCCAGATCCTACAGAATGAGTGTTTCAAACCTGCTCTATCAAAGTGAATGTTCAATTCTGTGACTTCAATGCAAACATCACAAAGAAGTTCCTGAGAATGCTTCTCTCTAGATTTTATACGTAATCCCGCTTCCAACGAAATCCTCAGAGCCATCCGAATATCCACTTTCTGATTCCACAAAAAGAGTGTTTTAAAACGGCTCTGTAAAAACAAAAGTTCAACTCTGTTAGTTGAATACACACATCACAAACAAGTTTCTGAGAATGCTTCTGTCTAGTTTTTATGGGAAGATATTTCCTTTTTCACCATAGGCCTCAAAGCGCTCGAAATGTCCGCTTCCAGATAGTGCAGAAAGAGTGTTTCAAACGTGCTCTATAAAAGGGAATATTCAACTCTGTGACTTGAATGGAAACATCACAAAGCAGTTTCTGAGAATGCTTCCCTCTAGATTTTCTATGGAGATATTCCCTTTTCCAACGAAATCTTCAAATCTATCTAAATATCAACTTGCAGATTCTACTCAAGAAATGTTTCCAAAATGCTGTATCCAGGCAATGGTTCAACTCTGTTAATTGAGGACATACAGCACAAAGAAGTTTCTGAGAATGCTTCTGTCTAGATTTTATATGAAGATATCCCGTTTCCAACGAAATCCTCAAAGCTATCCAAATATCCACTTGCAGATTCTACAAAAAGATTGTTTCAAAACTGCTGTGTCAAAAGGAAGGTTCAACTCTGTTACTTGAGTACACACATCAAAAAGAAGTTTCTGAGAATGCTTGTTTCTGGTTTTTATGAGAAGAATATTTCCTTTTTCACCATAGGCCTCAAAGCGCTGCAAATGTCCACTTCCAAATATTACAAAAAGAGTGTTTCAAACGTGCTCTATGAAAGGAAGTTTTCAACTCTATGAGTGGAATGCAAACATCACAGAGAAGTTTCGGAGAATGCATCTGTCTTGAGCTTCTATGAAGAAATTCCCGTTTCCAACGAAATCTTAAAATCTATCCAAATATCCACCTGCAGATCCTACAAAAGGAGTGTTTCCAAAATGCTGTATCAAAACAAAGGTTCAACTGTGTTCGTTTAGGACACACATCACAAATAAGTTTCTGAGAATCCTTCTGTCTAGTTTTTATTTGAAGATATTTCCTTTCTCCCCGTAGGCCTGAAAGCGCTTGAAATGTCCACTTCCAGATACTACAGAAAGAGTGTGTTTCAAACCTGCACTCTGAAAAGGAATGTTCAATTCTGTGACTTGAATGCAAACATCAGAAAGAAGTTCCTGAGAATGCTTCTCTCTAGATTTTATACGTCATCCCGTTTCCAACGAAATCCACAAAGCTATCCAATTATCCACTTTCAGATTCCACAAAAAGAGTGTTTTAAAATTGCTCTGTAACAGACATGTTCAACTCTGGTAGTTGAATACACACATCACAAACAAGTTTCTGAGACGGCTTCTGTCTAGTTTTTATGGGAAGATATTTCCTTTTAACCATAGGCCTCAAAGAGCTCGAAATATCCACTTCCAGGTAGTGCCGAAAGAGTGTTTCAAACCTACTCTATAAAAGGGAATATTCAACTCTGTGACTTGAATGCAAACATCACAAAGCAGTTTCTGAGAATGCTTCCCGTCTAGATTTTCTATGAAGATATTCCCGTTTCCAACGAAATCTTCAAAGCTATCTAAATATCAACTTGCAGATTCTACTAAAGGAATGTCTCCAAAATGCTGTATCCAAACAAAGGTTCAGCTCTGTGAATTGAGGACATACAGCACAAAGAAGTTTCTGAGAATGCTCCTGTCTGGATTTTATATGAAGATAACCCGTTTCCAACGAAATCCTCAAAGCTATCCAAATATCCACTTGCAGATTCTACCAAAAGAGTGTTTCAAAACTGCTCTGTCAAAAGGAAGGTTCAACACTGTTACTTGAAGTACACACAACACAAAGAAGTTTCTGAGAATGCTTCTTTCTGGTTTTTATGAGAAGATATTTCCTTTTTCACCATAGGCCTCAAAGCGCTCGAAATCTCCACTTCCAGGGAGTGCAGAAAGAGTGTTTCAAACCTGCTCTGTAAAAGAATATTTAACTCTGTGACTTGAATGCAAACATCACAAAGCAGTTTCTGACAATGCTTTCGTCTAGATTTTTTATGAAGATATTCCCGTTTCCAACGAAATCTTCAAAGCTATCTAAATATCAACTTGCAGATTCTACTAAAGGAATGTTTCCAAAATGCTGTATCCAAACAAAGGTTCAACTCTGTGAATTGAGGACATACAGCACAAAGAAGTTTCTGAGAATGCTTCTGTCTAGATTTAATATGAAGATAACCCGTTTCCAACGAAATCCTCAAAGCTATCCAAATATCCACTTGCAGATTCTACAAAAAGAGTGTTTCAAAACTGCTCTGTCAAAAGGATGGTTCAACACTGTTACATGAGTACACACAACACAAAGAAGTTTCTGAGAACGCTTCTTTCTGGTTTTTATGAGAAGATATTTCCTTTTTCACCATAGGCCTCAAAGCGCTCGAAATGTCCACTTCCTGGTAGTGCAGAAAGAGTGTTTCAAACCTGCTCTATGAAAGGAAGTGTTCAACTCCATGAGCTGAATGCAAACATCACAGAGAAGTTTCTGAGAATGCTTCTGTTTGATTTTATATGAAGAAAGTCCCGTTTCCAACGAAATCTTCAAAGCTATCCACATATCCACCTGCAGAGTCTACAAAAGGAGTGTTTCCAAAATGCTGTATCAAAACCAAGGTTCAACTCTGTTAGTTGAGGACACACATCACAAATAAGTTTCTGAGAATGCTTCTCTCTAGATTTTATATGAAGATATCCCCTTTCCAACGAATCCCTCTAAGCTATCCAAATATCCACCTGCAGATCCTACAAAAAGAGTGTTTCCAAAATGCTGTATCAAAACAAAGTTTCAACTCTGTTAGTTGAGGACATACATAACAAATAAGTTTCTGAGGATGCTTCTGTCTAGTTTTTATTTGAAGATATTTTCTTTCTCACCATAGGCCTGAAAGCGCTTGAAATGTCCGCTTCCAGATACTACAGAATGAGTGTTTCAAACCTGCTCTATCAAAGTGAATGTTCAATTCTGTGACTTCAATGCAAACATCACACAGTAGTTCCTGAGAATGCTTCTCTCTAGATTTTATATGTAATCCCGCTTCCAACGAAATCCTCAAAGCCATCCGAATATCCACTTTCTGATTCCACAAAAAGATTGTTTTAAAACTGCTCTGTAAAAACAAAAGTTCAAGTCTGTTAGTTGAATACACACATCACAAACAAGTTTCTGAGAATGCTTCTGTCTAGTTTTTATGGGAAGATATTTCCTTTTTCACCATAGGCCTCAAAGCGCTCGAAATGTCCACTTCCAGATAGTGCAGAAAGAGTGTTTCAAACGTGCTCTAGAAAAGAGAATATTCAACTCTGTGACTTGAATGGAAACATCACAAAGCAGTTTCTGAGAATGCCTCCGTCTAGATTTTATATGAAGATATTCCCGTTTCCAACGAAATCTTCAAATCTATCTAAATATCAACTTGCAGATTCTACTAAAGGAATGTTTCCAAAATGCTGTATCCAAGCAATGGTTCAACTCTGTTAATTGAGGACATACAGCACAAAGAAGTTTCTGAGAATGCTTCTGTCTAGATTTTATATGAAGATATCCCGTTTCCAACGAAATCCTCAAAGCTATCCAAATATCCACTTGCAGATTCTACAAAAAGATTGTTTCAAAACTGCTGTGTCAAAAGGAAGGTTCAACTCTGTTACTTGAGTACACACATCAAAAAGCAGTTTCTGAGAATGCTTGTTTCTGGTTTTTATGAGAAGATATTTCCTTTTTCACCATAGGCCTCAAAGCGCTCGAAATGTCCACTTCCAGGTAGTGCAGAAAGAGTGTTTCAAACCTGCTCTATGAAAGGAAGTGTTCAACTCCATGAGCTGAATGCAAACATCACAGAGAAGTTTCTGAGAATGCTTCTGTTTGATTTTATATGAAGAAATTCCCGTTTCCAACGAAATCTTCAAAGCTATCCACATATCCACCTGCAGATTGTACAAAAGGAGTGTTTCCAAAATGCTGTATCAAAACCAAGGTTCAACTCTGTTAGTTGAGGACACAAATCACAATTAAGTTTCTGAGAATGCTTCTGTCTAGATTTTATATGAAGATATCCCCTTTCCAACGAATCCCTCTAAGCTATCCAAATATCCACCTGCAGATTCTACAAAAAGAGTGTTTCCAAAATGCTGTATCAAAACAAAGTTTCAACTCTGTTAGTTGAGGACACACATCACAAATAAGTTTCTGAGGATGCTTCTCTCTAGTTTTTATTTGAAGATATTTCCTTTCTCCCCATAGGCCTGAAAGCGCTTGAATTGTCCGCTTCCAGATACTACAGAATGAGTGTTTCAAACCTGCTCTATCAAAGTGAATGTTCAATTCTGTGACTTCAATGCAAACATCACAAAGTAGTTCCTGAGAATGCTTCTCTCTAGATTTTATATGTAATCCCGCTTCCAACGAAATCCTCAGAGCCATCCGAATATCCACTTTCTGATTCCACAAAAAGAGTGCTTTAAAACTGCTCTGTAGAAACAAAAGTTCAACTCAGTTGAATACACACATCACAAACAAGTTTCTGAGAATGCTTCTGTCTAGTTTTTATGGGAAGATATTTCCTTTTTCACCATAGGCCTCAAAACGCTCGAAATGTCCACTTCCAGATAGTGCAGAAAGAGTGTTTCAAACGTGCTCTAGAAAAGAGAATATTCAACTCTGTGACTTGAATGGAAACATCACAAAGCAGTTTCTGAGAATGCTTCCGTCTAGATTTTATATGAAGATATTCCCGTTTCCAACGAAATCTTCAAATCTATCTAAATATCAACTTGCAGATTCTACTAAAGGAATGTTTCCAAAATGCTGTATCCAAGCAATGGTTCAACTCTGTTAATTGAGGACATACAGCACAAAGAAGTTTCTGAGAATGCTTCTGTCTAGATTTTATATGAAGATATCCCGTTTCCAACGTAATCCTCAAAGCTATCCAAATATCCACTTGCAGATTCTACAAAAAGATTGTTTCAAAACTGCTGTGTCAAAAGGAAGGTTCAACTCTGTTACTTGAGTACACACATCAAAAAGAAGTTTCTGAGAATGCTTGTTTCTGGTTTTTATGAGAAGATATTTCCTTTTTCACCATAGGCCTCAAAGCGCTGCAAATGTCCACTTCCAAATATTACAAAAAGAGTGTTTCAAACCTGCTCTATGAAAGGAAGTTTTCAACTCTATGAGTGGAATGCAAACATCACAGAGAAGTTTCGGAGAATGCATCTGTCTTGAGTTTATATGAAGAAATTCCCGTTTCCAACGAAATCTTAAAATCTATCCAAATATCCACCTGCAGATTCTACAAAGGGAGTGTTTCCAAAATGCTGTATCAAAACAAAGGTTCAACTGTGTTCGTTTAGGACACACATCACCAATAAGTTTCTGAGAATCCTTCTGTCTAGTTTTTATTTGAAGATATTCCCTTTCTCCCCGTAGGCCTGAAAGCGCTTGAAATGTCCACTTCCAGATACTACAGAAAGAGTGTTTCAAACCTGCACTCTGAAAAGGAATGTTCAATTCTGTGACTTGAATGCAAACATCAGAAAGAAGTTCCTGAGAATGCTTCTCTCTAGATTTTATACGTCATCCCGTTTCCAACGAAATCCACAAAGCTATCCAATTATCCACTTTCAGATTCCACAAAGAGTGTTTTAAAATTGCTCTGTAACAGAAATGTTCAACTCTGTTAGTTGAATACACACATCACAAACAAGTTTCTGAGACGGCTTCTGTCTAGTTTTTATGGGAAGATATTTCCTTTTAACCATAGGCCTCAAAGAGCTCGAAATATCCACTTCCAGGTAGTGCCGAAAGAGTGTTTCAAACCTACTCTATAAAAGGGAATATTCAACTCTGTGACTTGAATGCAAACATCACAAAGCAGTTTCTGAGAATGCTTCCGTCTAGATTTTCTATGAAGATATTCCCGTTTCCAACGAAATCTTCAAAGCTATCTAAATATCAACTTGCAGATTCTACTAAAGGAATGTCTCCAAAATGCTGTATCCAAACAAAGGTTCAGCTCTGTGAATTGAGGACATACAGCACAAAGAAGTTTCTGAGAATGCTCCTGTCTGGATTTTATATGAAGATAACCCGTTTCCAACGAAATCCTCAAAGCTATCCAAATATCCACTTGCAGATTCTACCAAAAGAGTGTTTCAAAACTGCTCTGTCAAAAGGAAGGTTCAACACTGTTACTTGAGTACACACAACACAAAGAAGTTTCTGAGAATGCTTCTTTCTGGTTTTTATGAGAAGATATTTCCTTTTTCACCATAGGCCTCAAAGCGCTCGAAATGTCCGCTTCCAGGTAGTGCAGAAAGAGTGTTTCAAACCTGCTCTATGAAAGGAAGTGTTCAACTCTACTGAGTTGAATGCAAACATCACAGAGATGTTTCCGAGAATGCTTCTGTCTTGATTTTATATGAAGATATTCCGGTTTCCAACGAAATCTTCAAAGCTATCCAAATATCCACCTGCAGATTCTACAAAAGGAGTGTTTCCAAAATGCTGTATCAAAACAAAGGTTCAACTCTGTTAGTTGAGGACACACATCACAAATAAGTTTCTGAGAATGCTTTCTGTCTAGTTTTTACTTGAAGATATTTCCTTTCTCACTATAGGCCTGAAAGCGCTTGAAATGTCCACTTCCAGATACTAGAGAAAGAGTGTTTCAAACCTGCTCTATGAAAGGGAATGTTCAATTCTGTGACTTGAATGCAAACATCACAAAGAAGTTCCTGAGAATGCTTCTCTCTAGATTTTATACGTAATCCCGTTTCCAACGAAATCCACAAAGCTATCCAATTATCCACTTTCAGATTCCACAAAAAGAGTGTTTTAAAACTGCTCTGTAGAAAGAAATGTTCAACGCTCTTAGTTGAATACACACATCTCAAACAAGTTTTCTGAGAAGGCTTCCGTCTAGTTTTTATGGGAAGATATTTCCTTTTTCACCATAGGCCTCAAAGCGCTCGAAATGTCCACTTCCAAGAAGTCCGGAAAGAATGTTTCAAACCTGCTCTATAAAAGCGAATATTCAACTCTGTGACTTGAATGCAAACATCACAAAGCAGTTTCTGAGAATGCTTCCGTCTAGATTTTATATGAAGATATTCCCGTTTCCAACGAAATCTTCAAATCTATCTAAATATCAACTTGCAGATTCTACTAAAAGAATGTTTCCAAAATGCTGTATCCAAGCAATGGTTCAACTCTGTTAATTGAGGACATACAGCACAAAGAAGTTTCTGAGAATGCTTCCTGTCTAGATTTTATATGAAGATATCCCGTTTCCAACGAAATCCTCAAAGCTATCCAAATATCCACTTGCAGATTCTACAAAAAGATTGTTTCAAAACTGCTGTGTCAAAAGGAAGGTTCAACTCTGTTACTTGAGTACACACATCAAAAAGCAGTTTCTGAGAATGCTTGTTTCTGGTTTTTATGAGAAGATATTTCCTTTTTCACCATAGGTCTCAAAGCGCTGCAAATGTCCACTTCCAAATATTACAAAAAGAGTGTTTCAAACCTGCTCTATGAAAGGAAGTTTTCAAATCTGTGAGTGGAATGCAAACATCACAGAGAAGTTTCTGAGAATGCATCTGTCTTGAGTTTATATGAAGAAATTCCCGTTTCCAATGAAATCTTAAAATCTATCCAAATATCCACCTGCAGATTCTACAAAAGGAGTGTTTCCAAAATGCTGTATCAAAACAAAGGTTCAACTGTGTTCGTTTAGGACACACATCACAAATAAGTTTCTGAGAATCCTTCTGTCTAGTTTTTATTTGAAGATATTTCCTTTCTCCCCATAAGGCCTGAAAGCGCTTGAAATGTCCACTTCCAGATACTACAGAAAGAGTGTTTCAAACCTGCACTATGAAAAGGAATGTTCAATTCTGTGACTTGAATGCAAACATCAGAAAGAAGTTCCTGAGAATGCTTCTCTCTAGATTTTATACGTCATCCCGTTTCCAACGAAATCCACAAAGCTATCCAATTATCCACTTTCAGATTCCACAAAAAGAGTGTTTTAAAACTGCTCTGTAAAAAGAAATTTTCAACGCTCTTAGTTGAATACACACATCTCAAACAAGTTTCTGAGAAGGCTTCTGTCTAGTTTTTATGGGAAGATATTTCCTTTTAACCATAGGCCTCAAAGAGCTCGAAATATCCACTTCCAGGTAGTGCCGAAAGAGTGTTTCAAACCTACTCTATAAAAGGGAATATTCAACTCTGTGACTTGAATGCAAACATCACAAAGCAGTTTCTGAGAATGCTTCCGTCTAGATTTTCTATGAAGATATTCCCGTTTCCAACGAAATCTTCAAAGCTATCTAAATATCAACTTGCAGATTCTACTAAAGGAATGTCTCCAAAATGCTGTATCCAAACAAAGGTTCAGCTCTGTGAATTGAGGACATACAGCACAAAGAAGTTTCTGAGAATGCTCCTGTCTGGATTTTATATGAAGATAACCCGTTTCCAACGAAATCCTCAAAGCTATCCAAATATCCACTTGCAGATTCTACCAAAAGAGTGTTTCAAAACTGCTCTGTCAAAAGGAAGGTTCAACACTGTTACTTGAGTACACACAACACAAAGAAGTTTCTGAGAATGCTTCTTTCTGGTTTTTATGAGAAGATATTTCCTTTTTCACCATAGGCCTCAAAGAGCTCGAAATGTCCGCTTCCAGGTAGGGCAGAAAGAGTGTTTCAAACCTGCTCTATGAAAGGAAGTGTTCAACTCTACTGAGTTGAATGCAAACATCACAGAGATGTTTCCGAGAATGCTTCTGTCTTGATTTTATAGGAAGATATTCCGGTTTCCAACGAAATCTTCAAAGCTATCCAAATATCCACCTGCAGATTCTACAAAAGGAGTGTTTCCAAAATGCTGTATCAAAACAAAGGTTCAACTCTGTTAGTTGAGGACACACATCACAAATAAGTTTCTGAGAATGCTTCTGTCTAGTTTTTATTTGAAGGTATTTCCTTTCTCTCCATAGGCCTGAAAGCGCTTGAAATGCCCACTTCCAGATACTAGAGAAAGAGTGTTTCAAACCTGCTCTATGAAAGGGAATGTTCAATTCTGTGACTTGAATGCAAACATCACAAAGAAGTTCCTGAGAATGCTCTTCTCTCTAGTATATTATATGTCATCCCGTTTCCAACGAAATCCTCAAAGCTATCCAAATATCCACTTGCAGATTCTACAAAAAGAGTGTTTCAAAACTGATCTGTCAAAAGGATGGTTCAACACTGTTACATGAGTACACACAACACAAAGAAGTTTCTGAGAATGCTTCTTTCTGGTTTCTATGAGAAGATATTTCCTTTTTCACCATAGGACTCAAAGCGCTCGAAATGTCCTCTTCCAGGTAGTGCAGAAAGAGTGTTTCAAACCTGCTCTATGAAAGGAAGTGTTCAACTCCATGAGCTGAATGCAAACATCACTGAGAAGTTTCTAAGAATGCTTCTGTTTGATTTTATATGAAGAAATTCCCGTTTCCAACGAAATCTTCAGAGCTATCCACATATCCACATGCAGATTCTACAAAAGGAGTGTTTCCAAAATGCTGTATCAAAACCAAGGTTCAACTCTGTTAGTTGAGGACACACATCACAAATAAGTTTCTGAGAATGCTTCTGTCTAGATTTTATATGAAGATATCCCCTTTCCAACGAATCCCTCTAAGCTATCCAAATATCCACCTGCAGATTCTACAAAAAGAGTGTTTCCAAAATGCTGTATCAAAACAAAGTTTCAACTCTGTTAGTTGAGGACACACATCACAAATAAGTTTCTGAGAATGCTTCTGTCTAGTTTTTATTCGAAGATATTTCCTTTCTCACCATAGGCCTGAAAGCGCTTGAAATGTCCACTTCCAGATACTACAGAATGAGTGTTTCAAACCTGCTCTATCAAAGTGAATGTTCAATTCTGTGACTTCAATGCAAACATCACAAAGAAGTTCCTGAGAATGCTTCTCTCTAGATTTTATACGTAATCCCGCTTCCAACGAAATCCTCAGAGCCATCCGAATATCCACTTTCTGATTCCACAAAAAGAGTGTTTTAAAACGGCTCTGTAAAAACAAAAGTTCAACTCTGTTAGTTGAATACACACATCACAAACAAGTTTCTGAGAATGCTTCTGTCTAGTTTTTATGGGAAGATATTTCCTTTTTCACCATAGGCCTCAAAGCGCTCGAAATGTCCGCTTCCAGATAGTGCAGAAAGAGTGTTTCAAACGTGCTCTATAAAAGGGAATATTCAACTCTGTGACTTGAATGGAAACATCACAAAGCAGTTTCTGAGAATGTTTCCCTCTAGATTTTATATGGAGATATTCCCTTTTCCAACGAAATCTTCAAATCTATCTAAATATCAACTTGCAGATTCTACTCAAGGAATGTTTCCAAAATGCTGTATCCAGGCAATGGTTCAACTCTGTTAATTGAGGACATACAGCACAAAGAAGTTTCTGAGAATGCTTCTGTCTAGATTTTATATGAAGATATCCCGTTTCCAACGAAATCCTCAAAGCTATCCAAATATCCACTTGCAGATTCTACAAAAAGATTGTTTCAAAACTGCTGTGTCAAAAGGAAGGTTCAACTCTGTTACTTGAGTACACACATCAAAAAGAAGTTTCTGAGAATGCTTGTTTCTGGTTTTTATGAGAAGATATTTCCTTTTTCACCATAGGCCTCAAAGCGCTGCAAATGTCCACTTCCAAATATTACAAAAAGAGTGTTTCAAACCTGCTCTATGAAAGGAAGTTTTCAACTCTATGAGTGGAATGCAAACATCACAGAGAAGTTTCTGAGAATGCATCTGTCTTGAGTTTATGTGAAGAAATTCCCGTTTCCAACGAAATCTTAAAATCTCTCCAAATATCCACCTGCAGATCCTACAAAAGGAGTGTTTCCAAAATGCTGTATCAAAACAAAGGTTCAACTGTGTTCGTTTAGGACACACATCACAAATAAGTTTCTGAGAATCCTTCTGTCTAGTTTTTATTTGAAGATATTTCCTTTCTCCCCGTAGGCCTGAAAGCGCTTGAAATGTCCACTTCCAGATACTACAGAAAGAGTGTTTCAAACCTGCACTCTGAAAAGGAATGTTCAATTCTGTGACTTGAATGCAAACATCAGAAAGAAGTTCCTGAGAATGCTTCTCTCTAGATTTTATACGTCATCCCGTTTCCAACGAAATCCACAAAGCTATCCAATTATCCACTTTCAGATTCCACAAAAAGAGTGTTTTAAAATTGCTCTGTAACAGAAATGTTCAACTCTGTTAGTTGAATACACACATCACAAACAAGTTTCTGAGACGGCTTCTGTCTAGTTTTTATGGGAAGATATTTCCTTTTAACCATAGGCCTCAAAGAGCTCGAAATATCCACTTCCAGGTAGTGCCGAAAGAGTGTTTCAAACCTACTCTATAAAAGGGAATATTCAACTCTGTGACTTGAATGCAAACATCACAAAGCAGTTTCTGAGAATGCTTCCGTCTAGATTTTCTATGAAGATATTCCCGTTTCCAACGAAATCTTCAAAGCTATCTAAATATCAACTTGCAGATTCTACTAAAGGAATGTCTCCAAAATGCTGTATCCAAACAAAGGTTCAGCTCTGTGAATTGAGGACATACAGCACAAAGAAGTTTCTGAGAATGCTCCTGTCTGGATTTTATAGGAAGATAACCCGTTTCCAACGAAATCCTCAAAGCTATCCAAATATCCACTTGCAGATTCTACCAAAAGAGTGTTTCAAAACTGCTCTGTCAAAAGGAAGGTTCAACACTGTTACTTGAGTACACACAACACAAAGAAGTTTCTGAGAATGCTTCTTTCTGGTTTTTATGAGAAGATATTTCCTTTTTCACCATAGGCCTCAAAGCGCTCGAAATGTCCGCTTCCAGGTAGTGCAGAAAGAGTGTTTCAAACCTGCTCTATGAAAGGAAGTGTTCAACTCTACTGAGTTGAATGCAAACATCACAGAGATGTTTCCGAGAATGCTTCTGTCTTGATTTTATATGAAGATATTCCGGTTTCCAACGAAATCTTCAAAGCTATCCAAATATCCACCTGCAGATTCTACAAAAGGAGTGTTTCCAAAATGCTGTATCAAAACAAAGGTTCAACTCTGTTAGTTGAGGACACACATCACAAATAAGTTTCTGAGAATGCTTCTGTCTAGTTTTTATTTGAAGGTATTTCCTTTCTCTCCATAGGCCTGAAAGCGCTTGAAATGCCCACTTCCAGATACTAGAGAAAGAGTGTTTCAAACCTGCTCTATGAAAGGGAATGTTCAATTCTGTGACTTGAATGCAAACATCACAAAGAAGTTCCTGAGAATGCTTCTCTCTAGATATTATATGTCATCCCGTTTCCAACGAAATCCTCAAAGCTATCCAAATATCCACTTGCAGATTCTACAAAAAGAGTGTTTCAAAACTGCTCTGTCAAAAGGATGGTTCAACACTGTTACATGAGTACACACAACACAAAGAAGTTTCTGAGAATGCTTCTTTCTGGTTTCTATGAGAAGATATTTCCATTTTTCACCATAGGACTCAAAGCGCTCGAAATGTCCTCTTCCAGGTAGTGCAGAAAGAGTGTTTCAAACCTGCTCTATGAAAGGAAGTGTACAACTCCATGAGCTGAATGCAAACATCACTGAGAAGTTTCTAAGAATGCTTCTGTTTGATTTTATATGAAGAAATTCCCGTTTCCAACGAAATCTTCAGAGCTATCCACATATCCACATGCAGATTCTACAAAAGGAGTGTTTCCAAAATGCTGTATCAAAACCAAGGTTCAACTCTGTTAGTTGAGGACACACATCACAAATAAGTTTCTGAGAATGCTTCTGTCTAGATTTTATATGAAGATATCCCCTTTCCAACGAATCCCTCTAAGCTATCCAAATATCCACCTGCAGATTCTACAAAAAGAGTGTTTCCAAAATGCTGTATCAAAACAAAGTTTCAACTCTGTTAGTTGAGGACACACATCACAAATAAGTTTGAGGATGCTTCTGTCTAGTTTTTATTCGAAGATATTTCCTTTCTCACCATAGGCCTGAAAGCGCTTGAAATGTCCACTTCCAGATACTACAGAATGAGTGTTTCAAACCTGCTCTATCAAAGTGAATGTTCAATTCTGTGACTTCAATGCAAACATCACAAAGAAGTTCCTGAGAATGCTTCTCTCTAGATTTTATACGTAATCCCGCTTCCAACGAAATCCTCAGAGCCATCCGAATATCCACTTTCTGATTCCACAAAAAGAGTGTTTTAAAACGGCTCTGTAAAAACAAAAGTTCAACTCTGTTAGTTGAATACACACATCACAAACAAGTTTCTGAGAATGCTTCTGTCTAGTTTTTATGGGAAGATATTTCCTTTTTCACCATAGGCCTCAAAGCGCTCGAAATGTCCGCTTCCAGATAGTGCAGAAAGAGTGTTTCAAACGTGCTCTATAAAAGGGAATATTCAACTCTGTGACTTGAATGGAAACATCACAAAGCAGTTTCTGAGAATGCTTCCCTCTAGATTTTATATGGAGATATTCCCTTTTCCAACGAAATCTTCAAATCTATCTAAATATCAACTTGCAGATTCTACTCAAGGAATGTTTCCAAAATGCTGTATGCAAGCAATGGTTCAACTCTGTTAATTGAGGTCATACAGCACAAAGAAGTTTCTGAGAATGCTTCTGTCTAGATTTTATATGAAGATATCCCGTTTCCAACGAAATCCTCAAAGCTATCCAAATATCCACTTGCAGATTCTACAAAAAGATTGTTTCAAAACTGCTGTGTCAAGAGGAAGGTTCAACTCTGTTACTTGAGTACACACATCAAAAAGAAGTTTCTGAGAATGCTTGTTTCTGGTTTTTATGAGAAGATATTTCCTTTTTCACCATAGGCCTCAAAGCGCTGCAAATGTCCACTTCCAAATATTACAAAAAGAGTGTTTCAAACCTGCTCTATGAAAGGAAGTTTTCAACTCTATGAGTGGAATGCAAACATCACAGAGAAGTTTCTGAGAATGCATCTGTCTTGAGCTTCTATGAAGAAATTCCCGTTTCCAACGAAATCTTAAAATCTATCCAAATATCCACCTGCAGATCCTACAAAAGGAGTGTTTCCAAAATGCTGTATCAAAACAAAGGTTCAACTGTGTTCGTTTAGGACACACATCACAAATAAGTTTCTGAGAATCCTTCTGTCTAGTTTTTATTTGAAGATATTTCCTTTCTCCCCGTAGGCCTGAAAGCGCTTGAAATGTCCACTTCCAGATACTACAGAAAGAGTGTTTCAAACCTGCACTCTGAAAAGGAATGTTCAATTCTGTGACTTGAATGCAAACATCAGAAAGAAGTTCCTGAGAATGCTTCTCTCTAGATTTTATACGTCATCCCGTTTCCAACGAAATCCACAAAGCTATCCAATTATCCACTTTCAGATTCCACAAAGAGTGTTTTAAAATTGCTCTGTAACAGAAATGTTCAACTCTGTTAGTTGAATACACACATCACAAACAAGTTTCTGAGACGGCTTCTGTCTAGTTTTTATGGGAAGATATTTCCTTTTAACCATAGGCCTCAAAGAGCTCGAAATATCCACTTCCAGGTAGTGCCGAAAGAGTGTTTCAAACCTACTCTATAAAAGGGAATATTCAACTCTGTGACTTGAATGCAAACATCACAAAGCAGTTTCTGAGAATGCTTCCGTCTAGATTTTCTATGAAGATATTCCCGTTTCCAACGAAATCTTCAAAGCTATCTAAATATCAACTTGCAGATTCTACTAAAGGAATGTCTCCAAAATGCTGTATCCAAACAAAGGTTCAGCTCTGTGAATTGAGGACATACAGCACAAAGAAGTTTCTGAGAATGCTCCTGTCTGGATTTTATAGGAAGATAACCCGTTTCCAACGAAATCCTCAAAGCTATCCAAATATCCACTTGCAGATTCTACCAAAAGAGTGTTTCAAAACTGCTCTGTCAAAAGGAAGGTTCAACACTGTTACTTGAGTACACACAACACAAAGAAGTTTCTGAGAATGCTTGTTTCTGGTTTTTATGAGAAGATATTTCCTTTTTCACCATAGGCCTCAAAGAGCTCGAAATGTCCGCTTCCAGGTAGTGCAGAAAGAGTGTTTCAAACCTGCTCTATGAAAGGAAGTGTTCAACTCTACTGAGTTGAATGCAAACATCACAGAGATGTTTCCGAGAATGCTTCTGTCTTGATTTTATATGAAGATATTCCGGTTTCCAACGAAATCTTCAAAGCTATCCAAATATCCACCTGCAGATTCTACAAAAGGAGTGTTTCCAAAATGCTGTATCAAAACAAAGGTTCAACTCTGTTAGTTGAGGACACACATCACAAATAAGTTTCTGAGAATGCTTCTGTCTAGTTTTTATTTGAAGGTATTTCCTTTCTCTCCATAGGCCTGAAAGCGCTTGAAATGCCCACTTCCAGATACTAGAGAAAGAGTGTTTCAAACCTGCTCTATGAAAGGGAATGTTCAATTCTGTGACTTGAATGCAAACATCACAAAGAAGTTCCTGAGAATGCTTCTCTCTAGATATTATATGTCATCCCGTTTCCAACGAAATCCTCAAAGCTATCCAAATATCCACTTGCAGATTCTACAAAAAGAGTGTTTCAAAACTGCTCTGTCAAAAGGATGGTTCAACACTGTTACATGAGTACACACAACACAAAGAAGTTTCTGAGAATGCTTCTTTCTGGTTTTTATGAGAAGATATTTCCTTTTTCACCATAGGCCTCAAAGCGCTCGAAATGTCCACTTCCTGGTAGTGCAGAAAGAGTGTTTCAAACCTGCTCTATGAAAGGAAGTGTTCAACTCCATCAGCTGAATGCAAACATCACAGAGAAGTTTCTGAGAATGCTTCTGTTTGATTTTATATGAAGAAATTCCCGTTTCCAACGAAATCTTCAAAGCTATCCACATATCCACCTGCAGATCCTTCAAAAGGAGTGTTTCCAAAATGCTGTATCAAAACCAAGGTTCAACTCTGTTAGTTGAGGACACACATCACAAATAAGTTTCTGAGAATGCCTCTGTCTAGATTTTATATGAATTTATCCCCTTTCCAACGAATCCCTCTAAGCTATCCAAGTATCCACCTGCAGATTCTACAAAAAGAGTGTTTCCAAAATGCTGTATCAAAACAAAGTTTCAACTCTGTTAGTTGAGGACACACATCACAAATAAGTTTCTGAGGATGCTTCTGTCTAGTTTTAATTTGAAGATATTTCCTTTCTCCCCATAGGCCTGAAAGCGCTTGAAATGTCCACTTCCAGATACTACAGAATGAGTGTTTCAAACCTGCTCTATCAAAGTGAATGTTCAATTCTGTGACTTCAATGCAAACATCACAAAGTAGTTCCTGAGAATGCTTCTCTCTAGATTTTATATGTAATCCCGCTTCCAACGAAATCCTCAAAGCCATCCGAATATCCACTTTCTGATTCCACAAAAAGATTGTTTTAAAACTGCTCTGTAAAAACAAAAGTTCAAGTCTGTTAGTTGAATACACACATCACAAACAAGTTTCTGAGAATGCTTCTGTCTAGTTTTTATGGGAAGATATTTCCTTTTTCACCATAGGCCTCAAAGCGCTCGAAATCTCCACTTCCAGGGAGTGCAGAAAGAGTGTTTCAAACCTGCTCTATAAAAGAATATTTAACTCTGTGACTTGAATGCAAACATCACAGAGCAGTTTCTGACAATGGTTCCGTCTAGATTTTTTATGAAGATATTCCCGTTTCCAACGAAATCTTCAAAGCTATCTAAATATCAACTTGCAGATTCTACTAAAGGAATGTTTCCAAAATGCTGTATCCAAACAAAGGTTCAACTCTTTGAATTGAGGACATACAGCACAAAGAAGTTTCTGAGAATGCTTCTGTCTAGATTTTATATGAAGATATCCCGTTTCCAACGAAATCCTCAAAGCTATCCAAATATCCACTTGCAGATTCTACAAAAAGATTGTTTCAAAACTGCTGTGTCAAAAGGAAGGTTCAACTCTGTTACTTGAGTACACACATCAAAAAGCAGTTTCTGAGAATGCTTGTTTCTGGTTTTTATGAGAAGATATTTCCTTTTACACCATAGGCCTCAAAGCGCTGCAAATGTCCACTTCCAAATATTACAAAAAGAGTGTTTCAAACCTGCTCTATGAAAGGAAGTTTTCAACTCTGTGAGTGGAATGCAAACATCACAGAGAAGTTTCGGAGAATGCATCTGTCTTGAGTTTATATGAAGAAATTCCCGTTTCCAATGAAATCTTAAAATCTATCCAAATATCCACCTGCAGATTCTACAAAAGGAGTGTTTCCAAAATGCTGTATCAAAACAAAGGTTCAACTGTGTTCGTTTAGGACACACATCACAAATAAGTTTCTGAGAATCCTTCTGTCTGGTTTTTATTTGAAGAGATTTCCTTTCTCCCCGTAGGCCTGAAAGCGCTTGAAATGTCCACTTCCAGATACTACAGAAAGAGTGTTTCAAACCTGCACTCTGAAAAGGAATGTTCAATTCTGTGACTTGAATGCAAACATCAGAAAGAAGTTCCTGAGAATGCTTCTCTCTAGATTTTATACGTCATCCCGTTTCCAACGAAATCCACAAAGCTATCCAATTATCCACTTTCAGATTCCACAAAGAGTGTTTTAAAATTGCTCTGTAACAGAAATGTTCAACTCTGTTAGTTGAATACACACATCACAAACAAGTTTCTGAGACGGCTTCTGTCTAGTTTTTATGGGAAGATATTTCCTTTTAACCATAGGCCTCAAAGAGCTCGAAATATCCACTTCCAGGTAGTGCCGAAAGAGTGTTTCAAACCTACTCTATAAAAGGGAATATTCAACTCTGTGACTTGAATGCAAACATCACAAAGCAGTTTCTGAGAATGCTTCCGTCTAGATTTTCTATGAAGATATTCCCGTTTCCAACGAAATCTTCAAAGCTATCTAAATATCAACTTGCAGATTCTACTAAAGGAATGTCTCCAAAATGCTGTATCCAAACAAAGGTTCAGCTCTGTGAATTGAGGACATACAGCACAAAGAAGTTTCTGAGAATGCTCCTGTCTGGATTTTATATGAAGATAACCCGTTTCCAACGAAATCCTCAAAGCTATCCAAATATCCACTTGCAGATTCTACCAAAAGAGTGTTTCAAAACTGCTCTGTCAAAAGGAAGGTTCAACACTGTTACTTGAGTACACACAACACAAAG